>NC_000014.9:41486713-42111713 GCF_000001405.40 Homo sapiens | reverse complement strand
AGGGCCCTTTCTGCTCCATGCCCAGGTAGCAATCTGGGCAGTCAGAGCACCTGCTGGCCTATATAACAGTCTGAGTTGCCCCACCCTTCCTGTGCAGAGACCTTGGTGCAGGCAGGCCCTCTCTGCTTCAAGTCCAGGCAGATCTCCAGGCATTTGGAGGGCCCACTTGCTTGGATTAGCAGCCTGAGTCACCCCCACACTTCCTGTGCAGAGATGTGGATGCAGGGAGCACCTCTCTGATTTACATACAGACACATCTTCAGGCATTGGGAGAACCTATTATCTTGGACTGGCAGCCTGAGCTGCCCCGCTGTTTCTGCACGGAGATCATGGAGCAGTGGGTTTATCTCCAGGCATTTGGAGCATCTGCTCACTTGGACCTGCAGCCTGAGATGATCCACCCTTGCTGTGCAGAGATATGGTTGCAGGAAGGCCCCCTCTGCTTCATGCCTAGGCTGATGCCTAGGCTGACTTCTAGGCATTCAGAACAACTTCTTGCCTGACTCAAAAGCCTGAGTCTTCTACCATTCCTGTGCAGAAACTTGCAGCTGGACCCTCTCTGCTTCACATTCAGGCATAACTGCAGATATTTGGAGAACACACCCTCTTGGATTAGCAGCCAGAGTCACGCCTCCCTTTCTGTGCAGAGAACTGGGTGCAGAGAAGCCTTGCCTGTCTTATGCTCAAACATATCTCCATCTCCAAACATTCAGAGCAGATGCATGCCCATATTGGCAGCCTGAGCTGCCCAACCTTCCTGTACAGAGATTGTGGTGCAGCAGGCCCTTTCATGCTCCACAAACAGGCAGGTATCCAGGCATTTGAAGAAGCTTCTCACCTAGATTAGAAAACTGAGTCTCCTACCCTTCCTGTGCAAAGATCCAGGAGGAGTGAAGCCCTCCCTGTTCCATGGCCAGGCATTTCTCCAGGTATTCAGAGCACCTGCTCACTTGAATCAGCAGACTGAACTGACCCACCCTACCTATGCAGAGACCATGGTGAACTGGTGTTCTCGCAAACCCACTCCCAGGCAGATTAGCAGGCATCTAGAGCACTCACTCTCTTATATTAGGGGTGTAGGCAGCTCCACATCCTTGTGCAGAGAATTTGAGGCCAAGGAGGTTTCCAAGCTCCATGCCTAGGCACATGTCTGGGTGCTTGGTGGCCACACACTGAATTCTCCCTTACAGCTGGTACTTGTGCCTGCCATTGATGTTCTGTAGGCAATTCTGCTTGTTCTAGTACCTCCCATCTTGCCTCCTATCCCCTAGAGACTGAGAAGGGAGCTCAAACTACTGTGCACTCTGTGAATCAGCATATTGCCTGTAACAAAGATTATATACGCAGCCACAGTGGCTGCAGCCAATACATATCTATGAGCACCATCTACTGGCTTGTAGGTCAAACTGCACAGTCCAGTGAAAAACCTGCCAACAGAAGTGCATGGAGTTAAAGAAGCAAAGCCAAAGGACACTACCCAGCATTCTCTAGTCACATTCCCTAGAAAGGAAGAGAAAGGGGAAATAAAGGAAAAAATAAAAGCAATATTATAGTGAAAAAAAAAGAAAAAACTACCCACATGAAAGTAATTCCAAAAATTAGAGGTGTCAGCATCTCCAGATGAGAAGGAACCAGAACAAGAATTCTGGCACCATTAAAAATCTGAATGTAGTGACACCACCAAACGATCACACTAGCTCTCTAGCAATTTTCCCTAACCAAAATAGAAACTCAAAAATGACAGATAAAGAATTCAAAGCAAGGAAGTTGAACAAGATCCAAGACAAAGGTCACAACTGACACAAAGACATTTATGAAGCAACTAAGGAATTGAAGGAAGAGATAAACATCTTAAAAATAAATAGGTAAAATCTTCTGGAATTAAAAACCTCACTTAAAGACTTTCAAAATACAGTTGAAAGCTTTATCAGTAGACTGGACCAAGCAGAAGAAAAAAAAAATTGAGGTTGAAGACAAGTTGTCCAAACTTAGTCAGACAAAAATAAATAAAAAAGTATAGCAAAAAATGTACAAAGTCTTCAAGAAATATGAGGCTATGAAAAGTGCCAAAACCTACAAATTATAGGCATCCTGAGAGAGGATAAGAAAAAGTAAGCAACCTGGAAAACATAATTGAGGTAATAATTCAAGAAAATGTTGCTAACCTCGTTAGAGAGGTAGACATCCAAACACAGTCCAGTGAACAACTGTGAGATACTTAAAAAAATGAATATCACTGAGGCATATAGTTCTCAGACTGTTCAAGGGCAACACTAAAGGAAAGATCTTAAAGACAGCTAGAGAAAACAGTAAGATCACATATAAGAAAACTCTGCCAGGCTAACATCATACTTTCTTGTGGAAACCTAAGAAGCCAGGAGAGATTGGGAGCAGATTTTCAGCATTCTCAAAGCAATAAATTCCAACCACGAATTTCATATTCTGCCAAACTAAGATTCATAAGTGAACAATAAATAAAATCTTTTCCAGACAAGAAAGCACTAAGAAAATTTATTACCAGTAGATCAGCCTTACAAGAGATATTTAAGTGAGTCTAAAACATGGAAACAAAAGAACAATACCTGCAACCACAGAAACATATGTAAGTACATAGCCTGTAGACCCTTTAAAGCAACCAGACAATAGAAACTACAAAGCAACCAGCTCAAAGCTGCAAAATAGGATCAAAACCTCACACATTAATATTAATCTTGAATGTAAATGGTCTAAACACCCTGTTTAAAAAGGCAGAGTGACAAGCTGTATAAAATGCAACATCATTTGTCTGCTGTCTTAAATAGACCCATCTCACATTTAGTAACATCCATAGGCTCAAATTAAATCAATGGAGAAAGATCTATCTCACACACACACACTCAAAAAAAAAAAAAAAAAAAAAAAGAAAGAAAAGAAAAGAAAGCCGGGGTCACTATTTGTATATCAGATAAAACAGATGTTAAACCAACAGTAAAAAAGGACACAAAATGGCAATACATAATGATAACGGGTTTAATTCAACAGGAAAACCTAACTATCCTAAATCCTAAATATACAGGCAGCCAACATTTGAGCACTCAGATTCATAAAACAAGTATTTCTAGATATATGAAAAGAAACAGACAGCCACACTATAATAGTGAGATACGTCACCACCCCATGTACAGCTTCATATAGACTTTTGAAGCAGAATTTTTTTTTAAAAAAAAAGGAAATTCTGGACCTAAACACTTGACCAATTTTTCCTAATAGGCATCTTACAGAATACTCCATCTACCAACCTCAGAATATGCAGTCTTCTCATTTGCACACAGAAAATACTGTAAGATCAACCATATACTCGGCCATATAGCAAGTATCAGTAAATTTAAAACAATGAAATCATACCAACTACTCTCTCAGATCACAGTGGAATACAAATGGAAATCAAAGCCAAGAAGATCTCTCAAAACAATGCAATCACATAAAAACTAAACAACTTGCTCCTGAATAACTTCTGGGTAAACAACAAAATTAAGAAAGAAATAGAAAATTATTTGAAATGAATGAAAACAGAGACAAAATATGCCAAGATCGCTGAGATGCAGCAAAATCAATAGTAGGAGGAAATTTTATACTGTTAAACACCTACCTTAACAAGTTTTTTTAAATCTCAAATTATTGATCTAATATTACATCCAGAGTAATTAGAAAAATAAGAACAAACTAACCTCAAAGCTGGCAGAAGAAAAGATATGACTAAAATCAGAGCTGAACTGAACAAAATTGCAACCCCAAAATGAAAACAAATCATCAACAAAACCAGAAGTTGGTTATTTGATAGACCAGCAAGATTGATAGACCACTAGCTAGATTAACAAAGAAAAAAGAAGAGAAGATGTAAAGAATAATCAGAAACCACAAAAGTAACATTGCAACAAATCCCACAGAAATACAAAAGATCCTCAGAGACGATTATGAACATCTCTATGCAAACAAACTAGAAAATCTAGAGGAAATGGATAAATTCTTGGAAACACACCACCTTCCAAGATTGAATCAGGTAGAAATGGAAAGCCTGACCAGGTCATTATCGAATTCTGAAATTGAATCATGATTTTGAAAAACCCTACAAACCAAAAAACAAAAACAAAACCACACTAACAAAGAGACTAGGTGGATTCACGGCCAAATTCTATCAGACAAACAAAGAAGAGCTGGTACCAATTTTACTGAAACTTTTCCAAAAGAAATTGACGAGAAAGGACTCCTTCCTAACTCATTCTATAATGATAGCATCACTCTGCCACCAAAACCTCCTAAAGAGACAACAACACAAAAGAAAACCACAGCACAATATGTCTGATGAACATAGATTAAAAAATCCTCAACAATATACTAGCAAACCAAGACCAGAAGCACATCAAAAAGTTAATTCACCAAGATCAACTAGAATTCATTTCTGGGATGACAGGTTGGTTCAACATATGCAAATCAGTAAATGTGATTTACCAAATAAACCAAATCTAAACTACAAACCATATGTTCATCTCAATAGATGCAGAAAAAGCAATCAACAAAACCCAACATTCTTTCATGATAATAGAATCCTCAACAAACTAGGTATCAAGAGAACACACCTCAAAATGAAAAGAGCCATCTATGCAAACCCACAGTTCACATCATACTGAATAGGCAAAAGCTAGAAGCATTCCCCTTAAGAACAGGAATAATGCAAGGATGCCCACTATCAACTATCCTGCTCAACATTGTACTCAGAGTCCTAGCCAGAGCAATCAGACAAGAGAAAGAAATAAAAGGCATCCAAGTAGCAAAAGAAGAGGTGAAATTATCTCTCTTCACTGATGATATGATTCTATGCCTAGTAAACCCTAAAAACTCTACTAAATGGCTTTGTGATCTAATAAATTTTAGTAAAGTTTCAGGATACAAAATAAACGGAGAAGAATCAGTATCATTTATATATAAAAATAATGTTCAAGCTGGGAGTCAAATAAAAAATGCAACTTAATTTACAGTAGTCACAAAAATAATGAAATACCTAGGAATACATTTAATCAAGAAGGTGAAAATCTCTGCAAGAACAACTACAAAACACTGCTGAAAGAGTGTTCCATAGATGACACAAACAAATGGAAAACATTTTATACTCATGGATTGGAAGAAAAAGTATCATTAAAATGGCCATACTGTCCAAAGCAATCTACAAATTCAATGCTAGTCCTATCAAACTACCAATGTCATTTTGTACAGAATTAGAAAAAAAAATTTCTTCTAAAATTCATATAGAGCCAAAAATATAAATAGCCAAAGCAATCCTAAGAAAAAAGAACAAACCCAGAGGTATAATATTACCCAATATCAAACTATACTACAAGGCTACAGTAACCAGACAGCATGGTAGTGGTACTAAACAGAAAAATAGAACACTAGAATAGAGAATCCAAAAATAAAGCCATGCACCTACAGACATCTAGTCTTCCACAAATTTGATAAAAATAAGCAATGGGAAAAGAACTCCCTGTTCAATAAACGGTGTGACAGATGCTGAAGAATGGAAATGGACTCCTACCCTGTCACCATATGCAAAAATTAACTTCAGTATAGATGTACAAGCCTTGTCTACTTGTGCTCCACTTCTAGCAGCTCTCTTGAGAGGGGCCAGGTAGTGTCTACAGTTTATACATTTATTACCCCTGTGCTAGGCCCCTTGATCTGGAGCATGAGGAATAGAGAGCTTAAGGGTACTTTGAAAAGAGCAATGATGAGGTTCCTGTTGCTCTGTGAACATGCCACTCGTCAACACTGCTGGGTAGAGACACATGGGCATGCTGTCTGAAAGATGAAGAAGAGAGAGATAGTTAATGTTTTTTATAATGTTACATCTTCTTAGTTGTTATTACTTTTTCATTGTTTTCTTATTTATTTTTCTTTGCAACTTTTATTTTAGGCTCAAGGATACATGTGCAGATTTGTTACATAGAATTTATAAATACAAAAAGTGGGACTCATAGATGATCTCTGATACTTGTTTAAACATGCAATTTGTTCTCTTGTCTGCATCAAAACTAATTCTGAAGAATATGTTAATTTTTAAGTGGAAGAATACATAGTTTGAATTTTTCACTTTATAACCATGCATAAATAGGCAAGGATCTGCCTCTGTTCTTTTCTTTTATAGAGAGAAAACAGAAATGTCAAAATTAATTAAATTAAACTTAAATGATACAAGCAATTGTTTAACCAGTCATCTGGATAATTCAAAGCAGATAATACAGCATTGACTTAAAGAGAATGGATAGTAACTGGATACTTTTATACTCAAACATCAATGAAATCCACTGGTAATTACCCAAATTCTAGTGTCATTTTGTCTGTAAAAGTACAGTTTAAATACCTGCCTGGCATAGCACTAGATGAAGTTGACCTAATCATTTTGTTTATTTAACCATTTATTTTGACAGAGGGCAAAATAAGTTTGCATTACATTTCCTCTCCCTTTTATTAAACTATTGAACTGATTTTAATTCACCACAGATTTTGGGGAAAAATATGAACCTTTGGAAATCAGAGCCTTTAGTTACTCAATTTTAATAGGTATACCACTAAGTTATTACTTTATAAGGGCCCTTTATAGTAAATGAAAAATACATAATTGTGAGGACATGAACAAGTAATACCAGAAAAAAATAGAAGAAAAAATAATTTTTTAAAAAAATCAATGGAACCTTACACAGTACCATGAAGATAATATGCCACCATAATAACGTGTCATGAATGGCAGGGTAATTAATTCAATTTTCTACACCTGAGGTCCATACAAAACACAAAAATGGAAAAATGCTCAGCCAAATGAGATATAACAGAAAACTAACTTTGGCATTTCCAGTGCAGTGAATTTGTATAATTTCTTGTTGCTTTGGCATTCATTTTGAATACAAATTTATCTTTCTTATACCAGAAGCTGGTCTCAGTCACCTTTGACACAGTTTCCATTTCTACATCATATCCAAATGGCAAGAGATAAGAACTTAGTGGCATCTCTTTCATCTGGCAGGCTGGGCTCCCAGCTTTCCAGCATCTTCCTTTAAAGAAACTAGACAGACATTTGCCTGCAAACTTAATGTGACCTATTCACTACTCCCTTAACTGTGAGTTGCTGCATGTTTTTCTCTCTCTCTACTCGACCCCTTCATTCCTTTATCCAGTGATTCAGGGATGGAGGACTGCCCTTCCAACTCATTAGGCCTGGGATTTGTAAATAAAAATCTTTTAACTTTTTTCCTATAGTGATGGTGTCTTAAATTTGTACCTTCCATATGAAGAACAAGGAGCTACCCCAAACTAGTTTCCTGGGACACCAGTGGGGAACACAAGGTTGGGCTTCTGTGCCAGAGTAATGATCAGGTAAGCAAAAACTGGACACAGGTCAAACAAAAGCCATAGGGGCACCTGCCAGTACAAACAAGTTTTCTGTGTGCAGAACCCCCCGGTTGTGGGTTGGACAATGAGACATTAGGCCATCTTCCATGTAAAGGAAGTATCCTGTGAAAGGTACACTGTGAATGTTCACGTCCAGCTCCCCTTTATTTCTCATTTGGGGAGGTTGACTAGCCATTCTGGTACTAAAACCCCAGTGTAGCTGGGGGCTTTCAAAACATCCAGTTTCAAAATTATGTGATGTAAGTCAAAATATGGCTAGCTAGGGAGCCCAAAGCCCAATGGTATTGCTCTCAGTAAATCACCTGTCTACTGTACTATCAATTTCAGATTTCAGAAGATTCCAAGTAAAAGAGAGAACATTTGATGGAAATGAAATGCATAAGAACAAACAGATAAAATGTGGAAAAAATTAAAAAGTTCTATATTTTAACAATTATAAGTGGGTTTATTAAAACATTTTTGTGTATCTAGGTTTTCTTTCCAAATATGCATTAGTCCGTTTGATATCTACCCTGTGTAGTTTAGTATAACAAAATGCAAAAATTAGATTTAATTTAAAATCAATATCCTTTTTCACTTGATGAAATTGATCAATAAAATGTTAAAAAATATTGATAACTACCAGGTCAATGACATAATTATAAATTTTCTTTCTGACTTTATTCTCATGGAATAACCCATTTGTTCACCCTATTTTGCCAAACCAATTTATTTATTTTTCTCAAACATTTCATATCTTTTCATTGACTCTTCCCTCTAGCAGAAGATTGTCTTGATTCTTTCATCCACTTCCAGATTTCCTCAAATATCTCTCCTCAGTGAGACTTACTCTTATATCTGTATTTATTGGTTCAACCTCCTCTGATGCCAAATTTTTTATTTTCCCACCGTGTTTATTTTTGCTCATTTCCACGGTACACTTCATAATTTAACTTACCATGAGGTTTATTTATTTATTGTGTAAATGTTAATTATCTATCTCCTCCTGCTACAACATAAGCTTACCAAAGGCAATCATTTGTTTTATTTACTGCTATGACCTGAGAACTTGCTGGCATCAGCAGACACCAGATACATATTCGTGAAATTAATTAATAAATATTTTTAACACAATTTTAACAAAAGCTATAGGTACTTGAAATAAATTCTAAAATTTTAATGGGCTTTTATTCATGTAAATTTGTTGTAAAATTAGTCCCTGGCAGATATGTATTTTGTTTTTTTAAAGCATTAAAGTGTAGCTAATTGCTTAAAGGCATTAGTAAAGAAACTTCAAGGATATAGGCTATGTATTTAAAGTGAAATTTTTTTCCATTTTCAATAAAACATGCTGCAACTAACATACAAAGTCATATGTTTATCTTGTTTGAATATTCAGTTCTAAATAAGAAATATCTATTTTCCTATATTTTATCCCTAAGATAAAAAAGTTATTGAAGAATGGCATAATAATCAATTTACTAGTATAAGTTCTTAATCATATTGTGTGAAATGATTTTTTTAAGCATTAGTGGAGGAGAATACTTCCCGCCGAAGTCTACAACCTGAGCTCACAGAAAAAATAATTGGTATTTTAACAAGGTATTCAAACACCTAACGAAGAAATAAAGCTATCTGATCATCATTGTATTAGGGTAAATTTATCACAACTCTCAGAGTAACCAGCTCTGAAGACATGGAATTAAATACTGGGTGAGAACAACAAATTCTCCTGAAGGGAGAGGGTTATGGACTGAACTATGCAACCTAAAATTCATAAGTTGAAGGCTTAGCACTCAACATGACTCAGTATGGAGGTAAGGCTTTCAAGGAGGTAATAAAGTTAATTGAGGTCATAAGAGTGAGCCCCTCATGGAATAAGACTGATGTCCTTATAAGAAAAAGAAGAGACACCAGAGACCTTTCTTTCTCTGTCTCTGTACAGGCACAGAGGAAAGGTCATATAAGGACAGAGCAAGAAGTTGACCATCTGCAAACCAAGAAGAGAGTCCTCAAGCAAAACCAGTCCTGCTTTTATCTTGACCTTGAACTTCAAATCTTGAGAACTGTGAAAAAATTCATTTCTGCCACTTAAGCCACCCAGACCATGGTGTCTTGTTATGGCAGCCCTTGTAGACGAATACAAGGAGTAAGAAAGGGTTAGGTTATCTGACATCATTCTATATAAGCCAGGTGTAATGTTTACACACTTATTATGAAGGCTACACTCTTGTCAAATATTTAGAAATTGCAACAGAAGGAATTTCAGAAAAATCTCTGTAGTCTTGTCTTAAGAAACTTTGACCATAATTATAAAATCTGCTTGCCTTCTAGTGTTAGACACTTCTGAGCTACTGAGTAGTCAAGAAAAATGAGTAGCAGATTAAGAGATTTTACTATAAATCTCTTGTAACAATCTTTATAACTGGATACTTTAATTTTAAATGTTTAATCTAGAGTACTCATTGTACTAAGTCTGGCTTTCTGATCATTGCCACTTGTGGAGATAATGAAATGTACATAGGCTTACAATTTATCAAAGGTAATTTTTCCTTCAGGTAATTTAATTTATGAATTAGACTCTTACTAGATTATTTTACCCAATTGTCACACTAGCATCATTCTGTAAAAAATTATCTTCTGCAAGTACAGATATAGTAGAAAAAAAGGCGTTAAGTTTTTCTTTCTTTCGAACACACACAAGTACACACAACAAAATTATATACTACTGGAAGCAATGACTTGTACAGTTGAAGAAATAATGAAAGAGTGACATTCTAAAGAATATGAAAAATTAGCACCAAGAAAACTTGATTCTGCTAATCCAACAGATATTTCAACAACACTTAGAATGCTTTCATCTGAACATCTTACTTTTACTAATTATAGGAAAAATGTTTATGTAAGTATTACATAAAAAAATTTTCAGTCAGTAGATTGTTTATAGTAATTTGTAATGGTTTTATTTAGGGTAATATCTGAAGTAGTTTTCTTTTTAATTTTTTTAATTGGCAAGTAAAAATGATATATTTATGGTGTACAACAGAATGATTGAATATATGTATACATTGCAGTATGATTAGATCAAACTAATTAACATATCTATCACCTCAACTATCATTATTTTTTCTTGCAAAAACATTTAAAATCTACTCTCAGAAATTTTCACTGTAAGGTATATTGTTATTAACTATAGTCACCATGATATATAATAGATCTTTTACTCTATATTCTAGTAGAACCTATTCCTTCTAATTGATATTTTGTATTTTTTGACCAAATTCTCCACAATTCCCCAACTCCAGCCTCTGTTAACCAGCATTTTATTATAATTTGTATAATATTTTCTGTTACTATGAGTTCAACTTTTTTACACTCCATGTATAAGTGAGATCACATGGTATTTGTCTTTCTGTGCCTGGGTTATTTCACTTAATTTCCTCCAGGTTCATTCATGTTGTCACAAATGGCAAGATTTACTTCATTTGTAAGGTAAACTATTATTGCATTGTGTATATATAACACATTTTCTTTATTCATTTATCTGTTGATGGACACTTAGGTTATTTCTGTGTCTTGGCTGTGACAAATAATGCTGCAATGAACATGGGAGTGCATGTATCTCTTTCACATGCTAACTTCATTTCCTTTGGATATATACCCAGTAGTGGAATTTCTAGGTCATATGGTAGACCTATTTTTAACTCTTTGAGAAAATTCTATACTAGTTTCCATAATGGCTGTACCAACTTACTTTCTCACCAAGAGTGTACAAGAGTTCCCATTTATCTACATCCTAGCCAACACTTGTTATCTTTCATCCTTTTAAATAACAGCCATTATAACAGGTGTAAGGTGATTTCTTTAATCTGATATTGAGCTTTTTTCTTTCTTTTCTTTATTTTACCTGTTGGGTATTTGTATATATATTTTTAAGAAATTTTGCTCATGCTTTAATGATATTATTTGTTTTCTTACCATTGAATTGTTTGAGTTACTTACATATTTTCGATAGTATACTTTTATCAGATGTGTAGTTTGCAAATATTTTCCCTGATTCCAGAGAATGTTTTCTTACTTGGTTTATTATTTTCTCACTGTACAATAACGTTTTAGTTTGATGCAATCTCATCTTTGCTTTTGTTTTCTGTGCTTTTGGAGTAATTTCCAAAAACTCATTTCCAAGACCAATGTCTTGGGGCCTTTCTTCTATGTTGTCTTCTAGTAATTTTACAGTTTTAGGTCTTACATAAGTATTGGATTCATAATGAGTTGACTTTTGTAAATAGTGTGAGATAAGGGTTTAATTTCATTCTTCTGTATGTGGATATCCAGTTTTCTAAATACCATTTATTGAAAAGACTATTCTTTCCCCATTGTGTATTCTTGGCATCTTAGTTGAAAATCAATTGACTGTAACTGCATAGATTTATTTCTGTGCTTTCTAGTCTATCGCATTTCTCTCTCTGTCTGTGTGTGTGTGTGTGTGTGTGTGTGTGTGTATATATATATACATATATATATATATATGCATATGGTTTTACCTCAGTACCATGCTGTTCTGACAACTATAGCTTTGTAACAGATTTTGTAGTACATATTGATGTATCCGGCTTCATTCTTTCTACACAAGAGTGCTATGGCTGTTCTGGGCCTCCAGTTCTTTTGAGTTTTCATACATATTTTAGAATTTTATTTATTTCTGTGAAAAATGTCATTAATATTTTGATAGGGATTGCATTAAATCTGTATATCGCTTTAGGTAGTATGGATATTTTAATAATATTCTCATCCATAAACATATACTGTCTTTCAATATATTTGTGTCTATTTCAATTTTTCATCAATGATTTATAGTTTCAGTGTACAGATAGTTTACTTCCTTGTTCAAATTTAATCCTAGGGATTTTATTTTTATTTTTGTAGCTGTTTAAATGAGATAGTTTTCTCCATATGTTTTTTGGATAGTTTGTTGTTAGTATATATAAGTGCTACTGATTTTTGTTATGCTGATATTGTATCCTGCAATTTTATTGAATTTGTTTATATAACAGTTGTTTGGTGGAGTCTTCTGGATTTTCTGTATATAAGATCATGTCATCTACAGACCACAACAATTTACTTCTTCCTTCCTAATTTGAATGCCTTTTATTTATTCTTCCTTAACTATTCTGGCTAGGACTTGCAGAACTATGCTAAATAGAAGTCCCTAGCATGAACATCCTTGTCTTTTTCCTGAGGAAAATATTTTAACTTTTCACCATTGATTATAATTTTAAAAATATTTTTCTAAGTAAGGGAATATTATATTTCTGCCATTGCCTGCATGTGCATTGACAAAAATTTTTTAGGCAAAAAATAAAAATACATCATTTAATAAGTGTTGGTAAACTAAGACCATGTATCATCATAGTTGAAGCAATAAAAACCTTGAACAGTTAGGGCCTATTACTGTCATACATACAGTAAAAGGTGCAATATTTAATTTTCATTAGTCATTTATAGTAGCTATTATAGCTATTTACTGGCATACAGATTAGTCCGGACATCCAGTGTTTCCAGCCTAGTGTAACCTAGCCTTTAGTTCTTGCTACTCTTATGTGTGTGGCAGGGGGGTCACCCTTCGCCATTGTCTATCTTGATCACCTATTTCTGCCCCTCTATGTAATTAAAGTGTCAACAGAATTGAGAGTAAGAACATCTTTCCTTACATGTTTCTGTGCTTCATTTTAAAATTAGTGTAGAGTCATGTGTTATTGATAATATTGGGGAATTAACATTGAAATATTTTCATGCGCATGTGAAAGGAACAAGGGAAGGGGCACGATGTTGGGAGCTGATGAGTGGGTGAAGGACAGTTATTTTTATGAGTCTTTTTTTTTTTTTTTTTTTTTTTTGAGACAGAGTCTCACTCTGTCGCCCAGGCTGGAGTGCAGTGGCGCGATCTCGGCTCACTCAAAGTTCCGCCTCCCAGGTTCACGCTGTTCTCCTGCCTCAGCCTCCTGAGTAGCTGGGACTATAGGCGCCCGCCACTACGCCCAGCTAATTTTTTGTATATTTAGTAGAGATGGGGTTTCACCGTGTTAGCCAGGAAGGTCTCGATCTCCTGACCTCGTGATCCGCCCGCCTCGGCCTCCTAAAGTGCTGGGATTACAGGTGTGAGCCACCGTGCCTGGCGTATGAGTCTTCTAATATGAGAAACATTATAGCAAGTTTGCTGACCAAATAAAATAATACAGTTGAAGGAATTGATAATAAATGTAAAATAATTCCAGGCAAAAATTACTTGAGTAAACCATTGTAAAAAATTCAGTGGATAATTGTATAATAAATGTTAGTAAAATAATTATTATACTGAATTAACCATGATGTTGGATTGCAGAGAAAAGACTTAGACAAGTCTTTCTCCATCATATGAACAAAGACATTTTACTTACATTTTCGGGACAGTAAGATCAGCTCTTTTTCTGAAAGCAGTATTTGCTGAAGGATACATCACGTGTTTTCTCCTTTATCTCTGAGGCTTTAATTGAATAAGCATTTTTAGGAACGGTCTTTTCACTTTTTTTCTCAACCACCTGTCCACTGAATTATAAGAGTGAACTTTTGCAAAGGGATTTGTCAGATATTCATAACCTCACAGTCATTTTTGTTATTATTGCAGTCACCTATGTGAGTTTGAATGTGGCTATTATAGTTGCAACAAAGAGAAAGAAAGTATGAAAAAAAGCAGAATAAACCTTCAATCAATGAACAGTAGAGATATTAAATAACTGCAGGAAAGTCAAATGCAGCGGCTAGAGTATTTCCAAAATATCATTTTTGTAACTGTTACAGGTCTCCAAGACACTAATAAAGGTTCTTTAGTTAATGTCTTTACAAAGAAGGCTCTTTCATCTGTATGTGATTTTGCACATGCCGATCGCTCTGGTTGTGCTGTAATTTCTTGCCTAATCTGATGGTATTCATTCAATTTTTCTAGGATCAACTAAATGTTATTTTTCCTGTCATGACATCTTTAGGGGGAGTATTTTTTTTTTTTTTTTTTTTTTTTTTTTTTTTTTTGAGACGGAGTCTCGCTCTGTCGCCCAGGCCGGACTGCGGACTGCAGTGGCGCAATCTCGGCTCACTGCAAGCTCCGCTTCCCGGGTTCACGCCATTCTCCTGCCTCAGCCTCCCGAGTAGCTGGGACTACAGGCGCCCGCCACCGCGCCTGGCTAATTTTTTTTTTGTATTTTTAGTAGAGACGGGGTTTCACCTTGTTAGCCAGGATGGTCTCGATCTCCTGACCTCATGATCCACCCGCCTCGGCCTCCCAAAGTGCTGGGATTACAGGCGTGAGCCACCGCGCCCAGCCTAGGGGGAGTATTTTTGTGAGTCTAAATTTATTTGTACATGTTTCTGCAACAGTTTATATTAGCTACTTATTTGGCATTAGATTTCTATATTTGTCTCACCCGTGAGACCTCATCCCTAGAGAATAAGTTCTGAATCTTGTCCCTTTGTCACAACACTTTTGTTGTATAAATGATGGCAGCGATGACCCCTCTGAAGCGGCCCCTGGGAAGATGCCTGCTGCAGTAGGAGCCAGGAACAGGCAGAAGTCCCACACACTTCCAAGTTGGCAGGGTAGGAGCCTTGAACTTCCTGGGCAAAACTGTAGCTGCTCATCTGCAGCTGAAGACTTTGACCTCCCTGTGCTCCTGGGGGCTGGGAGCAGGCAGGAGCCCCATCTTCCTGGGTGCAGCTGCAGCAGTGCAAGCTGCAGGTGTGGACCTGGGCATTTCTACATTCTCAGGGGCCTGGAAAGCTCCCCACTCACACAAAACCCCCACAGGCTCAGAAGTGCCTGTTCCCACTGCCTGGCCTCTCCCAGCTCCTGGCATCTACTCTGATCTGGGAGCAAGTTGAGGCTGAGCCTAGGTGCTGTCACAATCTGGCCAGGTGTGCACACATCCAGGCAGCACTGATGCACCAGCTCCCTGCAGCCTTTGTGCCCTCTGAACTTTGGGCATGATAAGCAAGAGAAGAAGACCAATGGGGTGCTGAGAGCAGCTCAGGGCACGCCTGCAGGTCCCCCCTCAGCATAAACAGCCTGAGCACCATGAACAACAGCAGGAGGCAGACAGGCTTGTGGGGGAAAGGGCAGGCCCTTGGTAAAGCCCACCTTCAAGCTTGGGGAAGGCCTGAAGCCTGGGGGTTAGGCTACCAGTCCTATGGACTGGAATGAGAACTAATGGTGCTTTTTCTGGGCCCACCCATGGCCACCCATGGACCAATCAGCATGCACTGCCTCCCCTCTGAAACCCTTAAAAATTTCCAGACTTATCCAGACTGGAGCATTGCAGAGGTTGGTCAGCTGCTGAGAGGAGCTACCCACTCTAGAGTCTCCTCTCAGCTGAGAGCTGAGCAGATCTTGGGACTACCAGCTGCAGAGAGAAGCTACATACTCCAGGGTCTCATCTTTGCTGAGAGCTGAACACTCAATGGGATGGCCTGCCTGCAGAGAGGCGCTACCCATTGCAGGTCTCCTCTGAGCCGTTCTAATGCTCAATACAGCTCCTCTTCACCTTGCTCACACTCCATTTGTCCACATACCTCATTCTTCCTGGATACAGGACAAGAAATCAGGACCTGCTGAATGGTAGGGCTGGGCTGAAAGAGCTGTAAGAAAAGCAGGGCTGAAACATGTCCCTGTTGTTCACCACATTGCAGGTGACAAGGAGAGGAAAGAAGATCTGTGACTCTTTGGGGAGCCCAGATCTAGGAGCTCCCTGAAACAGATCTGTGACACCCTCTCTGGGGCTCTGCAGTTCCTTGGCATCTCAAAGCTTCTAGGTGCCACTGTGTTCCCTGTTGCCAGCTGTGGAAGCAGCTTGCGGTATGCCTGGTCAAGTCACAGCCTTGCAGGGGGCCAGTGCCCATTCCAGTGGCTGGAGCTGCCTGCTCCACTGCAGCTGGCATGCCTGGCTGTGAGCAGTGGCTGGGCCCAATGCTTGCTGTCTCAAGCACCCCTCACCACTCTGTGTGTGACTCGCTCTTGGCAAGCATGAGATTTGGGCTGGTAGTGTGAGCCAAGGGTGGCCTGCCAGACCTAGTGAGTGGAACAATCCAGTATGCCAGAGTAAAAACTCAGGCAAAGGCACCATTAGCCATAGAGGTTTCCAGCTGGTGAAGCGACACCCCAAGGATCCTGTGACATAAATGAATTATGTTTTGTGAAAAAAATCAAATAATAGGAAATACAATTTGCCAATTCAAATGAAGTATGGAAATAGAATCCAATTAATTCATTTATCTACAATATTGTGTTTTGTAGATTTATAGATAGATTCGTTTTAGATTGAATTTACCCAGCATTAATATTATACATTGAGGACGAACAAAGTTGTATCCTTGACTTCCAGAATAATGGAAACTAGAGATATACACACGAGATTAAACAGTCTGATAGTATATTATAAAGGAACTACAAAGGGTCATAGGATAAAAATAATCAGTTAATTATAATAATTGGGAGATAGAAAAACATTTGTATCAAAGAAATTCTTTAGGTTAGAACTTAAAAGAAGTGGTGGATTGTGGCAAGTAAGGTGGAATTCAGGGAAAACAAATGATGGTAACTAAGGGAGAGAATAGAAAACCTTGACATGAAGAGTGTAGTTTCGTTATTATGGGGCTACTCAAGATTGGTGTAAGCGGAGCAGGAACACACCTACTACTACAAAACTCAGGAGGTCAGATAAAAGACCTCCCTCTTTCTTTCCAACTATTTCTAAATGTGTCCTAAACTTGAAAACATGAAAGTGTATTAGGGTTCTCTGGAGAGACAGAGATAGTAGGATATATGCATATATGAAACGGAGTTTATTAAGGAGAATTACCTCCCATGATCACAAGGTGAAGTCCCACAATGCGCCATTTGCAAGCTGAGGAGCAGAGAAGCCTGAGTAGAGGCTCAGCCTGAGTCCCAAAACCTCAAAAGTAGGGAAGATGACGGTGCAGCCCTTAAGTCTATGGCCGAAGTCCCGAAAGCCTCTGGCAAACCACTGGTGTAAGCCCAAGAGTTCAAAAGCTAAAAATCTGAAGTCTGATGTTCAGAGCAGGAAGCATCCAGCAAGGGAGAAAAATGAAGGCCCTTAGCAAATCAGCTTCTTCCACCTTCTTCGGCCTGTTTTTTCTAGCTGTGCTGGCAGCAGATTGGAGGGTCACTGACTCAAATGTTAATCTCCTCTGGCAACACCCATAGACACCCATGTACACTCAGAAACAGTACTTTTCGTCCTTCAATCGAATCAAGTTGACATTTAATATTAACCATCACAGATAGCTTCATCTGGATACTATGAATTAATAAAACCATGCAAAGATATAAGAAACAGTCTGAAATCTGACCCTTGAGCTTCATTCCTCTCTACTTTTCTGAGTTATTCATGAAGCTTCCACTTCCTTTCTGTCTTCCATTTATTGAAATTTTAGCACATATATTAATTCAAATATTTGCACTGTAGCATCAAATTCATACATTTTCTTTGTAATTTGGTGGGGTACAGGTAGAGAAGAGATAAATATGTATGGACGATCAACTATGATTAAACAAAGTCTCCAATATATGAAATTTCTATGCTGATTATATCACGTGTTTTCTGTGCAAACATATTGTAAAGTTAATAGCTGCAAAATATTCCATTACATATATGTAAAATATTTTACTTAAGCTACTATGTTGGAAATTATAGATTGTTACCAAACTCCACTAAATGAGACATTAGAATGCCTATCATTTCATGTAAAGGTTTCTTATACAATTAAGCATGCTCTATATTTAAAAACAAGACAAAATTACAATTACCAATAACACATGCATAATTGAAAGTTCATGATACGTTTACAAATGCATTCCCTGAAGAATTCTATGATTTTTTACAGCTGATGTATAAAAGTGCTTCTGTGGTCATTTGTTTAAAGTGACATTATGAAACTCTGGGGGAAGCCTTTCCCATTATTGTTTATGGTCAATGAAATCCTGTGGAGATAGAAGATTCTCATGTGGAATTATTACTCTGGTATTAATTTGGAAGATAAGCATCTAAATAGATGGTTTCTCTTCAAATAGGTAACCAACTATCCAAAAATCATTTATTGAGTAATATATTGTCTTTTTGATAATATTTTGTCTTCATTATTTGACATTATTTGACATTTAATGTGTGTATTTCCTTTAAATATATATTATATATATGTAATATATATACTTATGTAATATATATGTAATATATATAATATATATTACATATATATTATATATTACATATATATTATATATATTACATATATAATATATATTACATATATATTATATATTACATATATATAATATATATTACATATATAATATATATTACATATATATTATATATTACATATATATTATATATATTACATATATAATATATATATTATATATGTTATATATTATATATAACATATATAATATATTATATATATATTACATTATATATATATATATATATATATATATATATATATATATATATATGGAGAGAGAGAGAGAGACAGAGAGAGAGAGAGAGAGTCTTCCCTGGGTGTAGTAGGCAGAATAATGACCCCAAAATATATTCATGTTCTAATCCCCGGAACATTTGTGTATGTTGCCTTACATGGCAAAAGGAACTTTGCTGATGTGATTAATATAAAAGTCTTGAGATGAAGAGGTTATTTTGGGTTATCTAGGTCACTCCAATGTAATCTCAAGTGTCCTAAAAAGAAAGAGACAGGAGTGTCAGTTACAGAAAGAGGTGACTATGAAAGGATAGAGAAAGAGAGACAGAAATTTGAAGATGCTATGCTGCTGGCTTTGAAAATGGAGGAAAGGGCCATGAGTCAAGGAATATAAGCAGTCCCTAGAAGCTAGCAAAGGCAAGGAAACAGATTTTTCCCTAGAGCCTTCAGAGAGAATGCAGCCTTGCCAAACCACTTTAGACTTTTGAACTCAGAGCTGTGAAAGAATCAATTTGTGTTTTTTTAAGCCACTAAGTTTGTAATAATTTGTTATGGCTACAATAGGAAACTAATACATTGGGTTATTAATTCTATTCCATTAAATGGCAGTGCCTAATTCCTCTGAAAGCACACTTTATTTCTATCATCATAGCAATTAATATGTTATACTAACTGCCTTTTCACTTTTCCATGCCCCCACTTCCCAACACCAAGAAAAATGGTAAACTCTGCAATGCCAGATTGTCTCCCTCTCCTTCAGTTGATTGTCAATGCCCAGGAAAATATAATACACAATAAGGATGTGTAGGTCCATTCCCATGCTGCTATAAAGAACTGCCTGAGACTAGGTAATTCATAAAGGAAAGAGATTTAATGGATTCACAGTTCCACATGGCTGGGGAGGCCTCAGGAAACTTACAATCATGGCAGAAGGGGAAGCAAACACATCCTTCTTCACATGAATGGCAAGAAGGAGAAGTGCTAAGCAAAAGGGTGAAAAAGCCCCTTATAGAACCATGAGATCTCATGAGAACTCACTCACTGTCATGAGAGCAGCAGCATGGGACTAATTGCCCACATTATTAAATCACCTCCCCTTTGGTCCCTCCCATGACACATGGAGATTATGGGAATTGCAATTCAAGATGAGATTTGGGTGGGGACACAGCCAAACCCTATCAGAGAGCAATAAATATTTGTTGAATGAAAAAATTACTAGAAAATTTTAATGGTTTTGTAAATGAGGTCTTTGTGTAGTTTAATATTTATCCTAAAAATACCTAATTTATATTATTTCAAATGTTCCCCAATGATGAAGTGATCACTTTTAAATAAAATTTATTTTAAAAATTTAAAAGATTTTTTTTTACTTTAATAAATTTTATTATTGTATTGAATGCAACTCTAAGAAAGTCTCATAATTACTGGGTCAATATGTGGCCTTCTAAATGTTTGTTTTTATTGATTTAATTTCTGTCGTTTAATTTTTTTTAACTAAGAGTGGCTAAGAGAAATGAACCCATGTAAACTTTCCCTTTATGTGCTACTGGAGTGATTTGCCTTGCTTTCTCGGTGCTAAGAAAATTTTTGGTCTTTTTTTGGAAGTTATTGTATGCTAATTTGGTGAGAGTTATGTTTTTTTGCAGGGTTTGCTTTTTCACATGCACAGGAGAAATCTTCAACTAGTCGTATTTTCAATTTCACTTTGTCCACCAGGAAAACATACCGTCACCCTGCAACTCAACTACAGTAACTATGTAGCATCTAATGATTTGTATGTAAGCAACTTTGCTTTCTTTGATTTCTTGACTTCACTTTCACATTTTCTCTGACCCTGTATTTGTACATTATACTACATATATTACAATTAGTTAAGTGAAATCATTTGTTTCCCAAGACAAAGACTTATAAAAACAACTCCAAATGAATTATTACTGGTAAAAGGCAAAGCTTTCGATGTTCATAATTTGACTTATAAATAGCTTCTTTAGTAAACACTTGAATTTTGACAGTTTCACATTTTATATTCTTTATTTCTAGGTATGCACATTTACTTCAGAATGTGATAAACCTGTCTAAATGTTTTAAACATTTATACCTCTTATTTCTGTTTTATATATCATTACATCACTTAAAATTTCTGTACCTTAAATAGAAGTAATGAAAGCAGTGTTTCATGCTTTCTACAGGATTAATAGAAAGACTCATTTATGGACACCCATTACTAAAAGCAAAATATTTATATTTTTTATTGGATCTTTATTTTTATTTTTAAATGCTCTCATATTTCAAATGTAAACTCAGAGGAAAAAGGAACCATGACTCTATTATTTTATTCAGCAAACATTTATTAACTTATCCATAAATACCATGAGTCAATGACTGTTCACAAATTATTCAGATGAAGATAACTGAGTCACTATCCTCAATAAATTTACGGACTACTGGGTAATTGCAATACGGATTGGTATGATCCATGACATTCCTAATGCATCGCAGAACATAAGCTGATTCTACTATGGATAAGCATGAAGACAGAAATCATATAGGAAACTTCCTTGACTCTTGCAGGTTTGCATTTGTATGCATCACATCTATATCATCCACCAGAAAAGTATTCATTAATTGTTAAGAAAATTTTATTGTGATACTTTTCCTAAAACAAAACTTAAACAAATAAAAATTCCACTAATAGCTGAGTGTTTTTAATTGCAATAAATTAAATGTTTAATTCATTTTATTATATTTTTTATTATCTTTGTGTAGAATTATTTGCCAATAACAGTCTTGGTATTTTGAATGAGCTCATTTTTGGAATTAAAACAGAGAAAACAGTATCATAGCAGCCTTACAAGTGATAATTGAGGCTAAGGGTTATTGGTAATTGGGGATTGGGGACATTGAATGCTACAATCAAGGCTATATAGCAAATTGTTAACAGAATACTTTAAAAAATTTATATTGAACTCCTATCCCACCATTCTTGATACTAGCTACTAATTATTTATTTGCACTTTGTTTTGCATTCCAGTTCAAATTATATACCTCTGCTTCAGAATTTTGATAAGAATTTATATTATATACAGTATATTATTATATACTACATATTATATAAGTCTAATATTTTAAATATATATTGCATACACATGTAACACATTGTATATTAATACAAACATCTCCACTTAAAACTGTAATAAATGCCAGCTCAACTTGTATAAAACCAAATTTGTTATTTTTCTCCTCCAGACCTGAGCCACCTACAATGTTTCTCAGTTGTTGGCAAATTTATTCCTTTACTTACTCAGTCCAAAACTTTGCAGTTACCCTTACTCTCTTTAACACACCTTCCATCCTGTCTATCAGAAAAAAAACAAAAAACAAACAAACAAAAAAAAAAACTTGGAAATTTCACATTCAAAATACATCCATTAATCCAAAAACTTTTCATAGCCCAGGCTCCCTGACATGTTTTATCCAGAAAATGATAGCTATAGTAATCCTTAAAAAAATGTAAATCAGATTAGATTAGGACATTCCTCTGCAACCTCTGCATACAACTCTCACTGAATCCATAATACGGTCAGAATAAAAGCCACTACAAGGTTCTAATCCTTCCTTTCCTTTACTTCTGATTGCATTTCCTACCATTCTCTCAATGGTTCACTCTCTTCTAGCTGAGATGGTTTTCTTAAAATTCCTGGTAACTGTCAAGTATACTCCCCCTTAGGGCCTTTGCAATTACTCTAGTTCTGCTTTCACCACTCTCCAACCTGACAATCAGCTGTTAATTTCCTCACCTTATCAAGTCTTGCTCTAATATCACCATTTCATTCACCCTAACATTGCATTACTCCCTCAGCCCATTTTTCTTATATTTTTAATAACACCTATCATTTTGCAACATTTTATAAAATGCATAATGTTACTTTTCTGTTATGTTTACTATATGTCTCCTCAATTACAATATAAGCTTCATAAGGGCAAATATTTTTATTTGGTTCCTTGATGGAGCCCAAGAATATGAATGGTGACTGGCACAACTAGGAGCTCCATCAATGTGAATGAATGAGTGAATTTTAAAAGGTGAGAGATTGCAATATGGCAATGCCATATTAGTACCATTTCTAAGATGGTGAATGTCTTAATAAAATTTAATAAAAAATTATATTGGAAGATACTTTCTAACTGAACTAAATTTTATTTGAAATAACTAAATATACAACACTCTTTTATTCTTAAATCAAACATATACAAATTTTATACTTACCTGGAAATTTAAAATTTTACCTAACTCTAACTTTTTATATTGCATTAATGCATTCCACCAGTACTTTATTATATAATAATTCTACTTTTTCACTTTTTATTTACAAGTAAAACTTACCATTGTGTCATCTTAACACAGTTTATATCAAGGCTAAATACCTTGTTTTATTTATTTATTTTTCCATACAAAAGTATCTCCTTCCAAACTTTTGGATCCAAATACCAAACTGAAAAACTTACATTCTTCCAGCCTTGAAAAAATAACAATAACAACAACAAAAAACACCACATGGCCTTTAAGATGATATGATCCTTGACCCTATAGTTTCATGTAGTTTCAATAGCCCTGTCTGCCAAACTGAAGATAGAAAACCCATTCTACCTCCTGCTGTTGCCACTCAGTACTGTATCACTGAGTGTTTCAAAAGACACCTTCTCAAAAACAGCATGAAGTAAACTGCTTTCTAATATGAGAAAAACAGCCTTGACTCTGAACATCACTTGGAGGTCAATTTCACTCTCTTAGCTTTTTTCTTCATTTTCAATGAGTTTTTCAGACAGAGGTATAGATATAATCTCTCTCTCTCTCATGCACACACACACACACTCTCTATAAAACACGTACACACACACACAGAGAATTCCCAAATATCACAATCTTCTATATTGTGTATAACTTTGTGTTTTAAATCTTGTTGTCTTAAAATTTGGGTTCAAATCATCTTTCTCTTTTCTTGCTCCTTCTATTCATTTTATAACCAGAAGTAATTGGATATAAAGACCTTAAATTTAGTCACAACTGAAATAACTGATTTGCACTTTATATATTTGACATTATTGCCTGCGAAGTTGAAATATTGACTCTGCACTTGTTTTGTTATTGTTGTTTCTTCCCCAAACCTCCACCTTAATCACACAGCTGTATGTGTCTTCCACAGCCTCCTGTATTGCTTTTCATTTAGTTGGAATAATTTTCCATAATTTAGATGTTTGATAGGTAACTATATTTGTCAAATCTTCTAAGGCAGTGTTGCCCAGCTGTTGGCTTTTTTTTTTCATTTTAAAGGGAAAATATTTCTGTGATACTCAGTAGATGATAAAAAGTCATTTGATAAAAGTCGAAACTCATACTTAGAAAATTTCTATATAAAATACAAACAGAAACTAATATACATTGAATATCAGAAAACATAAAAGCAAATATCTTGAATATGAAAACCTGAAAATTAATATGATAATATACGAAAGTATCTGGCTCCAAAATATTACAAAGATCAATTTTTTATTACTCTAGGAAACAAAAACTTAAAAAATGGCAAGCAAATATATTCTCTTTGAAATAGCAACCAAAAGTTAAAATGCAGACAAATTAATATAACAAATATCCCAACTATGAAAAATGATTTTAAGAAACACAACATAATATTTGAATAAATTAGTTATAACATGTTCTTGAATGAAAATAATCAAAATGTAAAAATATCGATGTCCCCCTTTAATATACAAATTTAATAGAAAATTTCTATATAAAATACAAATAAAAACTAATATACATTGTTTATACATTATTTTATGTATATATACACACACATATATATAAATGAAGCCACGCTAATCTAATCTCCTGATAATGGCAAAAACATCTTAAGTACAACGTTGGGAAAAGAAGGACCTATTTATTAAATAATAATAACCTCACTAAAAAACTACAGGAAGAAGATAAAAACTGAATTCTTGTCATACGTCATATAGGAAAACATTCTAGGACATGGGGAAGAGCAAGAAGGCAAAATAGAAGGCTACACTGATCATCGCCGCCACCACCCCACCACAAGGACACCAATTTAACAACTACCTACACACAAAAAACACCTTCATAACAGGCAAAAAGTCAGGTGAGCACTCACAGAATGTTGTTTTTAATTCATGTTGCTGAAAGATGCACCGAAGAGGGTCTTAAGTTAAAAACGTCATTCCTTCCGAATCCCCTTTAAGTGGCGGTGTGATGTGGAGAGCATTTTTGTGCACTGGGAAGAGGGAGAGTCCAAAAATGATGATGCATTGAACTCAGAGTTGCCTTATTATAATAAAGAACAAAATGAGACCCAACTGAGCTTGTGGTCACCCATGGAGGGAGCATTGAACTCAGTCCTAGGCAGAGGGGAATTGACAATGCGAGTGGTGAGAAATTGATATCTCACAAGCCTCACCACCATGGGCTAAAGTGCACCGAGGCTCCAAATAAACCTGAAAGGTGGTCTAGGACACTAGGACTGCAAATCTTAAACAAGTCCTAGTGCTGAACAGGGACCAGAGACAGCAGACTAGGGGCTAGAGCAACCTACTGAGGCACCAGCTGGGAAAGCTAAGAGAGTGTCGGTATCATCTCTCCTCTAAACCCAGTCTGCACAGTTTATGGCTCCAAAAGATATCCCTTCCCTCCACTTGAGGAGAGGAAAGGGCAGAATAGGGAAGACTTTATCTTGCATCTTGAATACCAGCTCAGCCACAGCAGAATGTGGCTCCGGTCAGAGTCATGAGGCCCCCTTTCCAGGCCCTAGCTCCTGGATGACATTTGTAGACACACTCTGGGCCAGAAGGGAGCCCATTGCCTTGAAAGAAATGGCCTAGTACTGGCAGGATTCATCACCTGCTAACTGAGGAGCCCTTGGGCCCTGAATAACTAGCAGTGTTACCTAGCTACTATGTCAATGGCCTTGGGTGAGACTCAGAGACTTGCCAGATTCAGGTACTAGCTCAGCCACAATGAGGTAGAGCACCAAGCAGACTCTTGGAGTCCCCAGTTCAAGAACTTGGCTCTTGGAGGGCATTTCTGAACCCACCCTGGGCCAGAGGAGCGCCTACAACCCTGAAGAGTGAGTCCCAGGCAAAGTCAGCATTCACCACAAGCTGACTTAAGAGACCCTGGGCCTTTAGGAAACATCAGTGGTAGTCTTCAGTACTCCCAGTGGGCCTGTGGTGATGGTAATCATAGGGTAAGGAACCTCAGCCTTTGTAAAGGGGTGGGAAGGGCTGCATCTTGTGTTTCGAGTTACAGCTTAGCCATAGTACAGTACAACACCAGATAGACTTCAAAGGATTTTCACTCCAGTCTCTAGATCCCAGACAGCACCTCTGGACACATCTGAGGACTGGGGGAACTCACTGCCTAGAAATGAAGGACCCAGCCTATCTGACTTTGCTGTCTGCTGACTGTAGAGTCCCAAGTCCTTGAACAAACATAGGTGGTAGTCAGGTAGTGGTTACAGTGGTCCTTCGTTGAGACACAGTACTGTTCTCACTTTAGGTCTGATCCCGCAGAGTCTTAGAGGTGATGTCCACAACCACCCACTTCCAGGTGGCTTATAACAGAGAAGAGAAAAAGAGTCTTTGCCTGGTAATCCAGATAATTATTCCAAATCTTCTTCAAGATTATCAAGGTGGTACCTTTATGCATCTGCAAGAATCACAGTATTACTGGGCTTGTGGTGCCTCCTAAAGCCGATATAGCTTAGATCACTGCACCCAAGTCCTTTCAAATGTCTGGAAAGCATCCCCAAGATGGACGAGTACAAACAAGTCCAGACTAAGGAGACTACAATAAATATCTAACTCTTCAATGGCCAGCACAGACAAACATCTACATGTATCAAGACCATCCAGGAAAACCTAAAATCACCAAATCAACTAAACAAGGTACTAGGGACCAATCCTGGAAAAAAACAGATATGTGGCCTTTCAGAGAGAGATAATTCAAAACAGCTGTGTTGAGAAAAGTCAAAAAAATTCAAGGTAACCCAGAGGAGGAATTCAGAATTCTATCAGATAAATTTAACAAAAAGATTGAAATCATTAAAGGGAATTAAACAGAAATTCTGGAGCTGAAAAATGAAGTTGGCATATGGAAGACTGCATCAGGGTCTTTTAATAGCAAAATTGATAACCAGAAGAAAGAATTAGTGAGCTTGAAGACAGGCTATTTGAAAATACATAGTCAGAGGAGACAAATGAAAAAAGAATTTAAAAAATAAAGCACACCCAAAGGATTTAGAAAATAGCCTCAAAATGGCAAATCTAAGAGTTATCGGCCTTAAAGAGGAGGTAGAGAAAGTGACAGGGGTAGAAAGTTTATTCAAAGGGTTAATAACAGAGAACTCCCTAAAGACAAAGAAGGATATTAATATCCAAGTCCACAAAGGTTATAGAGCACCAAGCAGATTTAACCAAAAGAACTACTTCAAGACATTTAATAATCAAACTCCCAAATGTTAAGGATAAAGAACGTACCTTAAAGCAGCAACACAATAGAAACAAATAACATGTAATGGAGCTCCAATACATCTAGCAGCAGATTTTCAGCGGAAACCTTACAGGAGGAGATAGTGGCATGACAAATTGTATTATTAGATGGTAAAGGAAAAAACCTTCTACTCTAAAACATTATACCCAGTGAAAATATCCCTCAACCATGAAGAAGAAATAAAGACTTTCCCAGACAAACAAAAGCTGAAGGATTTTATCAACACCAGACCTGTCCTACAAGAAATGGTAAAGGTGATATTTCAGTGAGAAAGAAAAATACATTGATGAGCAATAAGAAATCATCTGAAGGTACAAATATCACGGGTAATAGCAAGTACACAAAAAATTACTGACTATTATAACACTGTAACTGTGGTGTGTAAACTACTTTTAAGTAAGAATAAATGATGAACCAATCAAAAATAATAAGTACAACAACTTTTCAAGTTATAGACAGTACAATAAGATATAAACAGAAACAATAAAAAGTTAAGAAGCAGAGGGATAAAGTTATGGTGTAGAGTCTTCATTAGTTTTCTTTTTGCTTGTTTATGCAAATGATGGTAAGTTGTTACTAGCTTAAAATAATGGGTTATAAGATAGTATGTGCAAGCATCATGGTAACCTCAAATCAAAAAATATACAATGGATAAGAAATAAATAAAAAACAAGAAATTAAAATATACTACCGGAGAAAATCAACTTCTAATCTTAAATCAAATATATACAAATTATTTTATACTTATCTGGCAATTTAAAATTTTACCTAATTCTAACATTTTATACTGCATAAATGCAGTCCACCAGCACTTTATTATATAATTTATAAAAGGAAGACACGAATGAAAGAAAAAAAAATAGATGACCAAAACACAACCAGTAAACAAATAACAAAATGGCAGGAGTTAGTTCCTACTTATCAATAATAACATTGAATGAAAATGGACTAAACTATCCAATGAAAAAACACAGAGTGGCTGAATGATTTTCAACAAAAGCAAGACCCATAAAGACACAAATAGACTGAAAATGAGGGGATGGACAAAGATATTCCATGCTGATGGAAACCAAAAAAGAGTAGGAGTAACTATGCTTATACCAGGAAAAAAAATTAGATTTTAACACAAAATCTAAAAGAAAAGACAAAGAAGCTCACTATATGAGGATAAAGAGGTCAATTCAGTAAGAGGCTACGCCATACAAAAGAGTGAGATCCAGATATTTGCAACAGCATGGTTGGAACTGGAGGTCATTATAGTAAGTGAAATAAGCCAGGTGCAGAAAGAAAAACATCATATGTTCTCATTTATTCATGGTATCTAAAAGTAAAAACAATTGAACTAACGGAGCTAGAGAGTAGAAGGATGGTTATCAGAGTCTAGGAAGGGTAGTGAGGGATGGGGGGTGGCAAGTGGGGAAAGTTAGTGCAAACAAAAATTAGAAAGAATGAATAAATCTACCATTTGATAGCACAACATGTTAACTATAGTCAATAATAATTTAATTGTACATTTTCAAATAACTAAAAGAATATAATTAGATTGTTTGTAACACAAAGGTAAATGTTTGAGGGTATGGATGCCTCATTTTACATGACATGATTATTATGCATTGCATGCCTATACCAAAACATCCTATGTAAACCACAAATATATACATCTAGTATATATCCACAAAAATTAAAATAAAGATTTTATGATATCCATAAATATAAAAATAACAAAGTACTGCATAGTATTAACAATATTTCAGTCAGATTAAAGAATTAGATGTCCAAAGTTGCACAATAAAAGTCTTTCATGGAAATCTATATTACATTTAAAATATAAAGAAGAAGAATAGCTTACTTCCCAAGACTGCAAAATTACAAGTTACAATGTGAATATCTATAAATGTTATTTAAATATGCTTAGCCATTACTCTGGAAAATAAATTATAAGCAATGCCAATACACTAGTTATTCATAGGGCCAATAGGTTTTAATCCACATAGCAAATGAAGCAATAATTTCTGCAATAATTTAATATACTTAAAACCTTTAGTAAACAAATAATGTGAACAGAAAGAAGAGCAAATTGAATTGGCCAAATATTCAAATAGTATGAATATACTAAATCTCTCTAATAGGGCTACACAAATTAAATAAAAGTGAATTATCAATGTATATCTCTCAGACTGTCAAAAATTTTAAATGGATATGCAACTTGTTTGGGATGTGAGTGAATATCATGCATCACTGGTTAAAGATTCAAGTGTCAAATTCTTGTTAAGATGATCATAAAATATCTATTAAAATTAAATATTATTATACTATCACATATAACAGTTCCACTCTTGAGCAGCTATACCATAGGAATAAAGTGCCAATTCCTAAGGGCATATATACAGAGGATGTTTATTGCAATATTATTTCAAGATGACAAGAACAAAAACCAAATAAGCACTGATAAGCACTGGTTGACTATATTTTGATATATCCAAAACATTAATAACTACATATTTATATAGAAGAATGAATTGAGCTTACAGATGGATTAGTAATATATCAAAATTTGTCATTTCATGAGTAAAAAAATGCATAAAACATGCTTATGTTATTCCCTGTCTGACTCATATTTAGAAACCAAAAATGTGCACATATGTATGTATACATATATATGGTTACATCTATATATGGCATAATATTAAAGAAAAATATATAGAACGGAGGATATATAATAGACAGTTATGGCATGAGGCATAAAAACAACATAGATGATGTTATCCCATGTAAGTAACATTATATATGTGCATGTGTATATTTTTATGGATAAATAAATGTCTGACAGTATTGCTGCCAAAATATTCAGGTTGCCATTCCATGATGTTTACCTATCATTCTATAATTTCTATAATATGTTCAAAATCTGGATTTTGATCAAACAACTGGCTTCCATATCTCTTAGTCTAAGCTGCTTAAACATTTTTATTTTGTTCAATTCAGAAAATTTAAACAAAAATCCTGTCAGCCTCCTAAATAATGGCCTTTAATCTATAATTGAAAGAAATATCAATGTATCACGTATATAATCAGTAAGGTAGATGTTATACTAGGAAATCAAGAATAGGATTTATGATTTTCTCTATGCGGAAGTTCAAGCTACATTGGAGAGGTAGTGAGCTGCAGTAATGCTGGTAAATAAGATGAAGATATACACATTTTTGTAATTAGCTTGAATTTTTTCATATGGTCAGGAAATTCTTGAATAAGGGATCTGAAATTTGCACTGTAACAGATGCAAGACAAGTCACTTGATCTGAAAGACATGAGATCATAAATTACCAATTAGCTCAATTAGCTTCACAAATATATGCACAATTAGAATCAAATGTTACTCCTTATAAATACTTTTAAGTTTGTCAATATTTATAAACATTGTGACTATTTTCTCTATTCATTAAAAACATTTCTGTAAAAATATGATTTTATAAAATTCTATGACCAAAAAATATTCCCCAATTTTATCAAGCAATTCTTTGTTTTTGAAAATTCAGATGTTTCAAATTATTGAAAATTATTCTATAATTAAAAATCTTATAGCCAAATCTTTGTGAATATCCATCAGTGTAGGAAAAATATAATAAAAATACAGGCAGGGGTAGATGAGAGGAGCTTTGGACCAAGCTTGGGCAGGAAGCTGTGCATGATAGTAGAGGAACCTCTTTAATCAGTTTGAAAACACTTAATACAATAGTCTCAAAAAGGGGGGAAGAAAAGAGGGTTTATCAGATATAATGTGGATAGAAAAACAAAAGCAGGAAGTAGTAAATATAAATCTGCTGTCTTTATGGCTATGTTTAAGTTGACCTTAATTAGTTCAAAAATAGTAACTTATTTAACTTTTTTTATTTCTAGAACACAAAATATCACTTGGTGCATACCAAAGACTTCAATATTTGAGAATATTGTGAACCAATCATTGTGAAGATTTTTGAAGATATTTTTAATAGTTTTTTTATTTGTTTTGTTTTATTTTGTGTGACTTTTTCTAGACACAAAGAACACAAGCCTGTTTTGCCAACTAAGCAAGAAACATAAATGTTAAACTGCTTTATTTGTAGCCATGTTGACCTAATATCTTGACAGAGTTTTGGATGATGACCACAGAGTCAAAAATTTATATACATTAACCTTGTATGCATTTAAAATACCTGACTTAATCCTAGGTCAAATGTGTAATCATTTTATTTTTAAAGCTATGATTTTTAGGAGATTTGCATTTGAATTAATCAAAGAGAGATGTAGGAGTGGTGTTTATTACAAACACAGTTTTTTTGGGGGGCCATACTTTAGACCCACTGAATAAATATTCTAGATTAGAACATTAAAATACACATGCTCCTAGATATTAGTCAGTTCATAAATATAGCCTGCCCTGTATTAGGTAATGAGGGAAAAGGCAGTGGATCTAATGTGTGCCCTAAATAAAAATATTAAAATTAAAATGGAATGATTTAAATTAAAAATAAAATAACCAATTATTATCAAACAAGGCACTCCTGAAGGTAGTGGTTACCTTGTAGTCTCTGAGTTTGGGAGACTTGTTTATATACTTTAATGTCCCAAACTCATCTTATTCTTTCATTTTACAGTGTGAGGGCATTGCTTTATATTGAACTGAAAAGTATGAATGGTCACTGTATATCAGAATAAGTTTTTACAAAACAAGAGCTTATTTTTCATTACTCATTCAGATAAACATTATTTTAAAAATAAATGTAAAAAATAACTTTAGTATTTGAAATGTTTACATTCGTATATAGGGTTAACTTTTAGCAAATTAGCTTTGCAAACCATGGATTATATTTAATAATGCTTCCTCATACAAATAAAATGACATCAACCAACGATTTTGTTCATTTTCTTGGTTTTGCTGGGAGTTGAGGAAGCATTCCAGTATTCATTTGACAGCAGATTACTACCATTAAGTAAAAGAATGTTGGTGAAAATATAATTAGTAACCCAGGTCTTCCTAGGCATTATCAATGATCTTATCTATACACAATTTTAACTTTGTGCTTCGGTACCAATTGAAGGATGAGAATTACTGAAATATTTCTTGATGACCCATCGCACCTTAAAGATCATAATTTTCAGCGTTAGCCTTGAACACAGATGAAGGAATCGGTGTAAATTCTTGTGACTTTAAGACCTTTCCTAGATAGTGATATTAAGTAAATATCCAATGCTGACATTTTGGCTATATTCATTTGTTACTTTCTTTAAATATTTTAAACAGAAAGAATAATAGCAATAAAACAATTATAAAGATTAAATGGAAGTATAGTTAAGCAGTTTAAATATATAATCCTTTATAAACTAATGAATCTGATAATTTCAAAATAGCTACATTCTGTCCTTTATTATAGTAAAGATCTAAGTGCCCGGTGACCATATTTGGTTTTTGTCTCCTATCAAGTTTGCAGATGTCAGAAATTATGTTTGTTTTTTCACTTACCTGATCCAAGAATGCCTTTTCAGATAAACGAGACCAAAAGAAAATCTATTGTCCACAGTGGAAGCATATGTCATTTCTAAACAGCAACAGATACAAGCAAAAACAGAGCAAAATAGCTAGGTTGGAGAAATACATTCGGAAGAGGAGGATATATATTTCAGATAAGCATGATGTCATGATGTAAATGGTTTTTAAATGGCCTGTAACTTTAGCATGGTGGCATGCAATATTTTTAGGTAGGAGATAAAGAATAAATTTGAAGTCCAAGAAATTCTAAAATCTCATCCCACACAGTCTAATCTGACATTTTTCTATAGCCATTCTGGGACTTGTAGTTTTGCAAAATAATTTTTATCCTTGTGACAAACTACTAGAACTTTTCACTTACAACATTCATTAACTGCAAATAAAGAGAAGTAACTTGCAAATACAAAATTCAAAAGAGAAAAGAATGACATATATAATAAGCAAAGAAAGCCATAAATATAAAAATTAATGATAGTATTCTATGGGAATGCTACAAATAACTCTATGAATGATTTTTTGGCAAAATGTAAGCCTCTAAAATTGATCAAAAATTGAAATAAATGTGAACAAGTCTACTACCACTGCAAAATTTAAAATTAGTATAAGTCATACGATGTACAAGACTTCAAGTCCAGGTGGATTCATAGTTAAAATTTCATATATTCAAAGAACTCCAATCTCATTTAAATTTTGCAGGTAATTAAAAAAGGTGGAAAAGTCCATATTTATTTTATAAAGCTAGCAAACTTGAAATAAAATGCAATTCTTAAAGTAAACAAAAATGAATCTATAGATAAAAATCTGTCAATAGTTTTCTATCCCACCCTACCTCAGTTGCTGGTTATCATGATCTGCAAGCCTACATAATTTTGATTTCAGCCATCCCTGTTATAAATATTCCCTCAGTTACCCCAACCAGTTTTCCTTGACTGTACCAGAGCCTACAAAACATTCATTGTACCCTTTGTTTGTATCCATCGTACCAACATTTCCCCCACCCTACCCTAACCTCTGGTAACCACTATTGTACTCCCCATTTCTATGAGTGTGACTTTTTAGATTCCATATGTAAGTGAAATCATGCATGTTTATATTCCTGTATCTGGCTTATTTCACTTACAGTAATAACCTCTAGGTCTATCCGTGTTGTCACAGATAACAGACTTTTCTTCTTTTTTTAAGGCTAAATAGTATATCATTTTGTATGTTTATAACACGTTTCCTTTTCCATCAACACTCAGGTTGATTCTGTATTTGGTTACTGGGAATCATGCAGCACAATTTCAGTTAGACAGGAGGAATACATTTTCGAGATCTATTGCATAGCATGGTGAACATAACTAATAATAATGTAGTTCATATTTTAAAATTGCTAAAAGAGAAGAATTTAAAAATTTTCACCACAGAAAATCAAAAGTATGTGAGGTAATAAATAATTAGCTTGATACAGTTATTTCACAATGTATACATATATTATTTGTCAATTAAAAATAAAAATTAAAAACAAAATAAAATTATTTTACCATTTTACCCTAATCCTCCAGAGCCTTCTCAATTTCCTCTTTTTGCCTCCTACCTGCAATAATTAAATGATACATCATATTATTCTCCCCTCTGCCTATATCTTTAACTGACTTGTACTTATCTTTTGGCAAACTACAACTCAGGTTTGATTTGTCAAAACAACAATATCAACAACAACAAAAATTCTAACTCTTCTGTGCCTGAACCCCTGCAATTGAAGTTATTGGAGAAAAAGTCATTGCCTTGCGGACTGGAGTCACTTTAAACTCCTGATCATGAACCTCAGGTGGATCTTTTATGACGCCCAACAATCATTGCTTTAGATTATTTATTATTTCTCTTGTCAAAATGATTATATTACAATTTTTTCTCATCTCCAATTTTCAAAACTACCACTGTATCCTCACTGTCAACTAATGACCATGAGCAAAAAAAAAGTTACACAAACATATCATCATGTTTGCCCACTTACTAGTGTCCTTAAGCACATATATTGCCTTCTTTCCCTTGTCCCTATCTAAGGCAGCCAACTGCTTATGTAGCAGATCCTACTTCATCCAGAGTTGTTAAAGATGACCAACTGAAGATTACCAGAGACACACCTAAAGTAAAATCTAGGTGTATTAGCTTCTTGTGACAAATTAGTATATACCAAGGCTCTAGGAAGTATCAGAACATAGGGAGCTGGGAGGCCTTTTTTATATGCTTTGGGTTTGTGCTGTGTGAATTGGAGTAGGCTTAAAGAAGTGGAATCTGTTCTGGATTGAGTGCTGTCAACAAATGGGGGCAATTCAACAACGTGCTATCTGAATAATTCTTATCTAGGATGCAGGAGAAATGAATCAGGACTAGCACTGTCATTGGGAAAGAAGCAAAACTCTTTGAAAGATGTTTATATTCTGCAATATTTGTTTGTGTTCAGTTGGCTGTTGTTAGCTGCCAGCTGCTAGGGTCATTTTTTATTATTATTTTAACTATATTGGAGCAGTGCTGCATCAACCCTTTTCTGTATCTCTTTATATCATCAATTTCTCCCTCCTAGGTCATTCCTTTAATCACATAGACTTGCCATTTTTTTCTTACATGATAACAAACAAAATAGTCATCTAAGCCTCATTTTTTAAAATTTTAGCCATTAGCCCCACTTCTGTATTTATCTTTATTGCTAAATTTATTGAAGGAAATATCTACATTTTCTGTGCCACTGTCTCTCCTCTTACTCTGTCTTAGATTCATGAAAATAAATTTTTCCCAAACACACTGTCAAATTTTCTCTTTCAATGACCTGTTAACTCTATTGATGGTCATATCCTATCATCAACTTCTGATGTGGCTATTCATTTACTATCCCTAAAAACAATTAATTTGACTTCTGAGACTCCGGCTCTCTGGTTTTCCCCCTACTTTTAAAAGTATGTGCTTCTTAGTTTTCATTGTTGATACCTGCATTTTTCCTTGACTTCCAGCTTTTGGAGTACAAGACTTGTCTTTTGATATTGTTTTTCTGTCTACACTTGCTTTAAAAATCTCAGTTTGTTAAATAACTTTAAGTAGAAACTGTATGCTGACTAATTTCATGTTTACATTGCCAGTATGATCCTCTCCCCTGAATTTCAGAATTTCTAATCAACTTTATTCAACATCTTCTCTGCACTCCAACCTGGGCAATGTGTGTGAGTCTGTCTCTTAAAAAAAAATTCCAATTTCACTTCTTTAGTTTTTTTGAAATATTCAATAAATGACTGTTAATTGTAGTTGTCCTATTTTGCTGCCTTATACTACATGTCATACTTTCTATCTACCTGTATTTTTGTACCCATTAACTAACCACTCCCTTTTTATTTTCCCTCCCCACTACACTTCCCACCCTCTAGTACCAGTAATCATCATTCTACCATCCCCATGAGTTCATTTTTTTTTAGCTTCCACATATTAGTAAGAACATGTAATATTTGTCTTTCTATACCTGGCTTATATTACATAACATAATGCTTTCTAGTTCCTTTCATGTTGTTGCAAATAACAGGATTTCATTCTTTTTTATGGTAGAATAATATTCCATTGTGTATATGTACTACATTTTTTAAATCATATATTTAATTGATGAACACTTAAGTTGATTTCATAGCTTGGCTATTGTCAATAGTGCTACAATAAACAGAGGAGTACAGATATCTCTTCAATATACTGATTTCCTTTCTTTTGGATACACACCTGGCTTGGTGAATCATATGGAAGATCTATTTTCAGTTTCTTTAGAAACCATGCTGTTCTTCATAGTGGATGTTCTAAATTACCTTCCCAAAAACACTGTACAAGGGATCCCCTTTCTCCACATCATCACCAACATTTGCTATTTTCTGTCTTTTGGATAAAAGCCATTTTAACTGGGGTGAGATGATATATCGTTGTAGTGTTTATTTGCTTTTCTCTGATGATTAGTGACGCTGAGCATTTTTGCATATGCTTCTTGACCATTTCTATGTCTTCTTTTAAGAAATGTCTATTTAGAACTTCTGCTAATTTTTAACTCAGATTATTTAATTTTTTCCTATTGAGTTGTTCAAGATCCTTATCTGTTTTGGCTATTAATCCCTTGTCAGATGGGTAGTTTGCAAACACTTTCTCCCATTCTATTGGTTTCTCTTCACTTTGATTGTTGGTTTGTTAGTTGTTTGCTGTAAGGTAGCTTTTTAGCTTAATGTGAAATTAAAAAGCAAAAAAATAGGCATTGAAATAAAGGGAAAAACATCAAATATTAGGTGTTACCAGATAATCTTCCCTGCCCTTTGAAATTTCCATCTTAACAATAATATTTTTTAATAAATTAAAAGATGAATTAATAAGTGGATCAAAAAGATAAATAATATGGACTAGCAGATGTAGGAAAGCTTATGAAACATTGCCAAACTAGTAGACAAAAATATAGACTCAGCACGATGACAGAGCAAAATATTTAGACACTCATACTTCATAAAGTTTTCACCAGTACTGTAATAAAGAAAATTTGGCATTTATTATTACCAATCCCCCTCAGGCACATTGTTTTGCTAAATGTTTACACATACCCACATTTAAATATATATTCATATATAATATATAATTAGTATTATATGTATTGTTTCTATTATTACGTAATTTTATTCCATACAGTACATTAAGTTATTTCACTGAGATGAATCTGGTTTTGCAATCCAAAATTCTGAATTAGAAAATATAAAACAACTTAAAACTTTGTTAAGAGGCATAACCTGACCGTATGCATCAAATAACCTCTGTAGTCACTTCCCTCTTGCCATGCTCAGATAGGTTTTTAAAATCACATACATAAATCCTTGTATATCATGAACTCAGTATATTTCTCATTATTAAAATTATATTATATGTGTTTCCACTCACATGGATTTGTAAAGGAAACTGGATCCTCTTTCATTTTAAAAAGTATTATTTTGGAGAAGCACTTGTTTTAATAAAGTTTAATTCACAAAAATTTCACATATAGTTAATGACAACCTCATTGTTTTTATAACTCAATAAGACATAAGATGATTGCACTCTGAATGAATTAGTTTAATATATTATTGTTTAATGAACCTGATACTGAAATAATTAGCAAGTTGTACTTGCATTTAATCATCAAAGCATAGCATCTTTAAGTCTTGCTGTTTAGGTAGGTGATTCATTGCAAAACACATATATTATAACAGTAAGTTTCATGCTGAAATAAAACTTTTCATAATACTCATGAGAATACTTGGCTAATCCACTTTTGCCTGTTGTGCTAATAACTAATTTGCCTAAAAATAGATCAGGATATTAAGGGTCACATTTAAATCCTCACAAGCAAGTAATTTAAAGTTGAAGGGTATCCTACTATTTCTTTTTCCTATTCTATACTTCTCATATATTACAATTGGTTCAGGCTGAAATTTGTTGACATTATAAATGTTATCCACTTGTTGACAAAGCTTCAGTGACTATCCATTGTGTGTTCATTTGAATGAACCTGACAACCTAACATTCACTGCTATACACGGCTACGATTTGGCTTTGCACTCTTATTTCCAATATTAGATAATGTCATGTACTTAGTATTCATTAAATATACCCTATTCATTTCAGCTTTTTATCTTTGTACATGAAATAACTTAACAGAATGATTACCCCTATCTTTGAACCTTTTCCTAACTATCCTTGAAGCTTCGTCTAAAATAGAATTTCTTTCAGAAAGTGCTTTTTTGCCTTTTGCCTCAATTTCACCTAGTGGTAACCTCTCCTTTTAATTCTCATATAATTTGTCTTTAGGTTAAAGCATCTTTTATATTACACTCTTCATTCTAGAAATTGCTGAAGTCTAAATTGACACCAACTAGCCTGTAAGTTTCAGCAAACTTATCATGTTTTTCCTATGTTTACATCTCTAATAAGTACTAGTGTGGTGCTCTGCATCTACTCAAAAGTCATTAATAAATGTTTATCAAGATTCATAGAAACTTATAACACAAAAGTCAATAATAAATGTTTATCAAGACTCATAGAAACATAATTTATGTTACTAACAAATATATGGGCATGAAAAAATAAATGAATATTTAGTAGGAGTTCTGAGTTTCTTAGTGTGAAAAAATTATCATTAAAAATTTTTCCAACTAGCCAAGCATGGTGGCACATGCCTGTAATCCCAGCTACTCAGGAGGCTTAGGCAGGAGAATTGCTTGAACCCGGAAGGCAGAGGTTGCAATGAGCTGAGATGGCGTCATTGCACTCCAGCCTGGGTGACAGAGTGAGAATCTGTCTCGGGGGAAAAAAAAAAGTTTTCTATCAGTAAATTTTGTATAATATTTTATTGTGAAGAAAAAACATATATATTAAGACATAAATTGGTGGATAGTGTATATTGTATGATATACATTATACATTTAAAAAAGTCCACCACATAGATAATTTTCTGTGAATTCAGTTCAACAGTTGTAACCAGTTTTGAAGTTATTACTGTGTCAAAGGTAAACTAAGGAATAATACAGGCCAGCCAAAATGCACTCAGGTTGTAATTATTTCTCCAGTGACAAAGGTAACAGAGAAGATAATTCAAATAAATTTAAAATCACTACCAAATTACACACATTTGAAATGTTGATAGCTAGTATCAATATATAGATGACATATTACATATTATAAGGGTAAGAAAAAGAAATGTATTGACTATCTTGCCAGAAACTGGAATAGTCTAATTTTTTTTTCTTTTTTAATCCTCAAAAATTCTATGCAGGAATAATTTCACTCCTTTGACACATGTGAAAACATAAATTATCCATAGTCCTAGAACTAGGGAGTGTCAGAGCCAGGATGAGTTAACCTGACAAAATCATGCCAAACCTCTTTTGTTGTTTTAACATGCCAGGTATATACCACATTTGGCTTTTTACATTTAAGTCCTCAGAATGACCATGCCTGGTCACAGAGACCTTCTCTGGCTATAGTGGTTAATATAACCCTTAACTTCCATCCCTGGTTAATCTCTATTTTATGACCATGGGTCCTTTCACAGTACTTATCACCATCAGTATTTTGCTTATTTGTTTAGTTATTTGTTGTCTGTATCGCCCAATGAGAAAAATGACTTTTTCTTGATCCCTACTATATCCTCAAAGCCTAGATAAGTGGTTCTCAGTGAGGAGGTGACTCTTGATCAGCAGCATTAGCACCACCTTGAAAATGCCAATTCCTGGGTACCAAACAAGGCCTACTAAATTAGAACTCGGGGGAAGTAATTTAGCTATTTATATGTAGTGTACCAAGCCCTCCAAGTGATTCTAATGCATCATAAAACTTAAAAACTGCTGGGTTAGAATGAAGCATTTAATAAATATGTCATGGATGATAAAATTTAAGTAACACAATTAAACAAAAATTTAAACTGCCTATAACATAATATAAATGAAAATGAACTATGAAAATAATGTTAAAATAATCAAAACAAAATCATTAATTGACATGATATAACCATAGGTTTATTTGTTTTGCTTATCTGTTTCTCTCTTTTAGTCACTGGGAATTCTAAGAAAAACATTGTACCCTTCCTTACAAGTAATTAATCCCAACTTGACCAGACAAAATCAGTTAAACTTTTAATTTCTGACTCAATAGGTTTTCCCTGAGGAAATATGAAAAGATATGGGCTGCAGCAGAGAGAGAGAGAGAGAGAGAGAGAGAGAGAGAGAGAGAGAGAGAGAGAGAGAGAGAAATAAATAAATAAAATTTAAAAAACCTGCCCAATCTCTGCTGTAAGTCCTTTCCACAGCCTGGCATTTGAAAGTCCACCTTCAGTGAAAAGATAGAAGAATTGGAAAGGAATATCTGCACAGGCATTCTTGAAGCCTGAATTCTGCATGAAATTAATTAAGTATCCAGATTCAATAGAGATTTACATGATTTATGTGGATCTCCCTTGAAGAAGCAGGTTTCTATTATAATGAAATTAGTTGAATTTCAAATTCATCAAGCAGGTCTATTACAGGATCATAGGATCAGCTGATTGGTTTCATTCTCAGGAAAGTAGCAGCATGAAGTTAATTTTATAAATAAGAAAAACTATGAAATGCTTCAGTTCTGACACACGAAGCCTTTGCACTTCAGTATTTCAACAAATATGTCTATATTAAATAAGATATCATGTAATAATGTTTCTCTTAAATCAATGCTATAATGGACTTCACACATCACAAATATAGTATGGAATTTTAGGTCTAAATTTAGTGTAAGACTTGAAAATAAAACAGTTTAAATAAGAATCAATGTACCAGGATTTGAACCTATATTTGTCCATTTCTCAGTAAAAGGTAGGCACTATAAATTGTAAGTAAAAGAATAACATGATGAAAGAAAATTTAGAATGACTACTTTCACAGCGGTTTGCACAATACTGGGAGGCGGGAATGCATGGTATGTAAGAGGTTATTCTCTGGAGGAAGCATACCAATGTACACATATTGATTCTGCGATGTGTTAGCTATGACATTTTAGAAAGTTACCTAGACTTTATATAAGTTTTCTCTCATTAAATGGGAATAAAATAAGTACAGATCTTTAGGTTTCTCTGGAGGCTTATGGTGATAATAATTATGAAACAATCCATGTAAAGAACTTAGAAGACACATAGTAAACCATAATAATTACTATTATATAAGTAATTATATAACTATTATACAAGCAATAATAATAATAATTATGATTACCCTTAATATTAGACTAAAATATAACATTTAACAAGCAAGAAAGTAATATAACTAGAAGCACTTTCCAAGTTATATATCTTGCCTTCTAATCCTGTACCTTTTCAGTCTATTCAGCTGGGTATATAATCTCTCATAGTAATTAAACCAAACTCCTATTCTTGACCTCCTAATGGCTTTGAATTAAAGATCAATTGCAATATGGGCAAGCTAATCACAGCAAAATAACTATGAAAAATTACTTCTTCCATACTACAAAGGTGTTTTAGAGCCATTTATTTATGGTAAAGCAAGTGCAACAGTTTTTGAAGTAAAAATGCTAATTTATGCCTGTTAATTAGTTCCATTATAGTAATAATTTCACAATGTACATGTATATCTTTTTGTTTTTGATTTTGTTTTTATTTTTGTTTTTATTTTGAGAGGTAGTGTCACTCTTGTCGCCCAGGCTGGAGTGCAATGGCGCGATCTTGGCTCACTGCAACCTCCGCCTCTCGGCTTCAAGTGATTCTCCTGCCTCTGCCTCACGAGTAGCTGGGATTACGGGTGCCCCCCAGCATCCCTGGCTAATTTTTGTATTTTTAGTAGTGACGGGGTTTCACCATGTTGGCCAGGCTGGTCTCAAACTCCTGACCTCAGGTGATCTGCTTGCCTCGGCCTCTCAAAGTGCTGGGATTACAGGCGTGAGCCACCGAGCCTGGCCATAATTTATATGTATATCAAAACACCATATTGTATACCTTAAATATACGTAATTCTTATTTTTCAAGTATATCTCAATAAAGTAGGGGAAAATAAATTAAAAGAACCCTAGATCAACTAGAAAAGGAAAACATCTTTAGTACAAATGTCACTCACCCCACGTAATTTAAGAATTCTTATTCAGTGATTCTCAACAAAATATAACCAAAAGAAGGAATATTTGTCTGTATAAAATGTTTATTTTCAAACACAGATTACTTAAAAACATATTTTATCTAAATTTTATTTGCATGTTCATTTCATGGTATAAGATGAATTCTCAAAGGAAATTTCAACTTATAGCATAATCTCTAAAGTAAATGCACTTTTTTACTTGAGAAAGAAGTTAAGAAGTGATTATATCGGAAAAAGAAACCGTCTTCTACTCCCATTAATAAGAATATTCACTGTAGTCCAATGAAGTGGGAGTTGCTCTGAATTGGTAACTCATTTACTAAATTATTCTTTGCAAAGTTTTGTCCATAATAATTAAGCCAAATTCAAATATCTTTTAAAGTAAGAGAAACTAGAAAAAGACAAGCAAACCGACCTGAAAGCCAGCAAAAGAAAAGAAATAACCAAAATGAGAGCTGAAATGAATGAAATTGAGATGAGAAAAAGGATACAAAAGCCCAAGAAAATGAAAGATGGTTTTTTGAAAGAATAAATAAGATTGATAGATCACTAGCTAGACTAATAAATTAAAAATGAGACAAGCTACAAATAAGCATAATCAGAAATGACAAAGAGAACATTACTATTGATCTCACAGACATAAAAAAAAAAAACAGAGACATTATGAATATCACTATGCACACAAACTAGAAAACCCAGAGGAAATGGAAAAATTCCTAGAGACATACAACCTCCCAAGTTTGAACCAGGAAGAAAGTGAAACCCTGAACAGACCAATAATGAGTGTGAAAATTTAATCACTAATAAAAAGCCTACCAACCAGAAGCAGCCCTACACCAGATGGATTCATAGCCTAATTCTACCAGACATATGAAGATCTAGTACCAATCCTACTGAAACTATTCCCAAAAAAGAGGAGGGGCTCCTCTCTAACTCACTATATGAGACCAGCATCATCCTAATACCCAAACCTACCAGAGACACAACAAAAAAGAAAACTTCAGGCCAATATCTCTGATGAACATAAGTGCAAAAAATTCTCAAAAAAATACTGGCAGACCAAATCCAGTGGCACGAAGCTAATCTATTATGATCGAGTAGGTTGTTTATCTGGGATGCAAGGTTGGTTCAACATATACAAATTAATAAATGTGATTCTTTTACAGGGTTTTTGTAGTTTTGGGTTTTACATTTAAGCCTTTAATCCATCTTGAGTTAGTTTTTGTATACGGTATAAGGAAGGGGTCCAGTTTCTTTTCTTTTCTTTTTTTTTTTTGCGTACAACTAGCCATTTCTCCCAATAGCATTTATTAAATCGAGAATCCTTTCCTCATTGCTTATTTTCATCAGGTTTGTCAAAGATCAGTTGCAGATGTGAGATCATATTTCTGAGTTTTCTATTCTGTTCCATTTATCTATGTGTCTGTTTTCTTACCAGTAGCATGCTGTTTTGGTTACTGTACTTGTACCATACTAGACTACTTGTTGTAGTATAGTTTGAAGTCAAGTAGTGTGATGTGTGATGCCTCTAGCCTTTTCTTTTTTCTTTGCTTAGAATTTTCTTGGCTATTCAAGCTCTTTTTTTGGTTTCGGATGAATTTTAAAATAGTCAAGACATAGGCATGGGCAAAGATTTCATGATGAAAGTGCCAAAAGCAATTGCAACAAAAGCAAAAAATGACAAATGGGATCTATTATAACTAAAGAGCTTCTGCACAGCAAGAGAAACTATTGTCAGAGCCAACAGACAACCAGACAGCCAAAGACAACCTACAAAATGGAAGAAAAATTTTGCAGTCTATCCATATGACGAAGGTCTACAATTCAGAGTCTACAAGGAACTTAAACAAATTTACAAGAAAAGACCAAACAATTCCATTAAAAAGTGGGCAAGGGACATGAACAGTCACTTCACCAAAGAAGACATCTATGGTGCCAACAAACATGAAAAAAACTCAACATCACTGGTCATTAGAGAAATATAAATCAAAACTACAATGAGATACCATCTCACACCAGTCAGAATGGTTATTATTAAAAAGCCAAGAAAAACAGATGCTGGCAAGGCCGTGGAGAAATAGGAACACCTTTACGCTGTTGGCGGGAATGTAAACTAGTTCGACCATTGTGGAAGACAGTGTGGTGATTCTTCAAAGACCTAGAACCAGAAATATCATTTGACCCAGCAAGTCTATTACTGGGTGTGTACTCAAAGGAATATAAATCATTCTTTTATAAAGATATATGCACGCATATGATCATTGAAGCACTATTCACAATAGCAAAGGCACGGAATTAACCCAAATGCTCATGAATGATAGACTAAGGAAAATGTGGTACGTGGTACATATACACCATGGAACACTATGCAACCATAAAAAGGAACAAGGTCATGTCCTTTGCAGGGACATAGGTGGAGTTGGAAGCCATTATCCTCTGCAAACTAATGCAGGAACAGAAAACCAAACACCACATATTCTCACTTATGTGTGGGAGCTGAACAGTGTGAACACATAGGCACACAGGGAGTAAAACAACACACACTGTGGCTTTTCAAGGGAAGGGGGAGTCAAAACATCAGCAAAAATAGCTAATGCATACTGGGCTTAATACCGATGTGATGGGTGCAGCAAACCACCATGGCACACATTTACCTACATAAGAAACCTGCACATCCTACACATGTACACTAGAATTTAAAATAAAATAAAATAAATTTTTTTTAAATGTGATTCATCACATAAACAGAATTATGAACAAAAACCACATGATTCTTTCAACAGATGAAGGGAAGACTTTCAATAAAATTCAGCAACTCTTCATGATGAAAAACCTCGAAGAACTAGGTATTGAAGGAACATACCTTAAAATAATAAGAGCTATCTATGACAAACACACAGCCAACATTATACTGAACAAGCAAAAGCTGGAAACATTCCCACTGAGAACCAGAACAAGGCAAGGATGCTCACTCTCACCATTCTTATTCAACACAATATGGGAAGTCCCAGCCAGAGCAGTCAAGCTAGAGAAAGAAATGAAAGCATCCAAATAAGAAGAGAGAAAGTCAAATAATCTCTCTTCAAAGATGATATGATTTTTACCTAGAAAACCCCATAGTCTCTACCCAAAAGCTCTTACAGCTGTTAAACAACTTTTGCAAAGTTTCAGGATAAAAAAAAATGAATGTACAAAAATCAGTAGCATTTCCATACATGAACAATATTCATGCTGACAGCCAAATCAAGAATGCGATCCCATTCACAAGCTAACGCCCCTGCCAACACATACGAACACACACACACACACACACACACACACACAAATACCTGCTAATACAGCTAATCAGGGAGGTAAAAAAAAATCTCTTCAACAAGAATTACAAAATATTGCTCAAAGCAATCAGAGATGACATATATAAATGGAAAAACAGTCCATTTTCACGGATTAAAAAGAACTAATATTGTTAAAATGGCCACACTACCCAAAGCAATGTACAAATTCAATGTTATTCTCACCAAACTATCAATGACATTTTTCACAGAATTAGAAGAAATATTCTAAAATTCATATGGAACCAAAAGAGAACCCAAATAGTCAAAACAATCCAAAGCAAAAAGAACAAAGCCAGAGCATCACACTACCTAACTTCAAACGGTACCACAAGGCTACATTAAACAAAAGAGCATGGTACTGATACAAAAACAGACACATTGACCAATGGGACAGATTAGAGAACCAGGAAATAAAGCTATGATCCTGCAATCATTTTATCTTCAATAAAGCTGACAAAAACATGCCACAGGGAAGGGACTCACTATTTAATGAATTTTACTGGGATAACTGGTTAGCCATATGCAGAAGACTTAAACTGGACCCCTTCCTTTCACCATGTACAAAAATCAACTCAAGATACATTAAAGACTTAAATGTAAAAACTAAAACTTTAAAAACTCTAGAAGAAAACCTAGTAAATACCATTCTATACATAGGACCTTGCAAAAATTTCATGATAAAGACACCAAAAGAAGTGACAACAAAACAAAAAAAATTGACAAACAGGACCTAATTAAACTAAAGAGCTTCTGCACAGCAAAAGACACTGTCAACAGAGTAAACAGACAATTTACAGAATGGGACAAAATGTTTGCAAACTATGCATCCAACAAAGCCTAATATGTGGCCGTTTATAAAGAACTTAAGCAAATTTACAAGAAAAAAAGCAAAGTGGGCAAAGGAACTAAACAGACACTTTTCAAAAGAAGACATACATGCGACCAAGAAATATGAAAAAAAAGGCTTAACATCACTGATCATTAGAGAAATGCAAATAAAAACTATGATGAGACACCATCTCACACCGTCGGAATGGCCATTATTAAAAAGTTAAAAAAAAAATCCCAGATTCTGGCAAAGCTGCAGAGAAAAGGGAACACATAAACTGCTAGAGGGAATGTGAACTAGTTCAGTCACTGTGGAAAGCAGATTGGAGATTTTTAAAGAACTTAAGAGAACTACCATTCGACCCAGCAGTCCCATTGCTGGATATACTCCCAAGGAATATAAATTGTTCTACCACAAAGACAGATGCACGTGTATGTTCACTGCAGCACTTTCAAAATAGAAAAGACACAAAATCAAACTAAACGCCTATCAATGGTTGACTGATCAATGGTTGACTGGATAAAGAAAATGCGTTACATATACACCATGGAATACTGCATAGCCATAAAAAAGTGATACCATGCCCTTGGCAGCAATATGGATGCAGCTAGAAGCAATTATTCTTTTTTTCTTTCTTTCTTTTCTTTCCTTTCTTTCTTTATCTTTTTCTTTTCTTTTTTTTTTTTTTCTGAGACAGAATCTCTCTGTGTTGCCCATGCTGGAGTGCACTGATGCAATCTCACTTCACTGCAACCTCTGCCTCCCAGGTTCAAGCAATTCTCCTGCCTCAGCCTCTTGAGTAGCTGGGATTACAGGCACGCACCACCATGCCCGACTAATTTTTGTATTTTTAGTAGAGACAGCGTTTCACCATGTTGGTCAGGCTGGTCTAGAACTCCTGACCTTGTGATCCGCCCGCCTCGGCCTCCTAAAATGCTAGGATTACAGGCATGAGCCACTGCGCCTGGCCTAGAGGCCATTTTTCTGAGCAAATTAATGCAACAAGAGAAAACCAAATGTCACAGTTTCTCACTTATAGGTGGGTGCTAAACATTGAGTACACATGGACACAAAGAAGGGAACAGTAGACACCAGGACCTACATGAATGTGGAGAGTGATAGGAGAGTGGAGATTGAAAAACTACCTCTTGGGTACCATGCTCATCATCTCGGTGACAAAATAATCTGTACACCAAAGCCCTGTGACATGCAATTTACCATATAACAAACCTGCACATGTACCCTTGAAGTTGCAAGAAAAAGGGAAAAAAGAATTCATATATTTTTACATTACAACTATTATATATAACTACAAGATTCTAAAAATGAACCATGTTTTATTCAAGTTTTTCTATGTAGCAAAACATTTTACAACTAAAGTAGATAACTCTAAGAAATGGAATGAAAATAACAGAACACGTTCTAAAGAATTACGGAAAAAAATATTAAAACACCATCAGTCATTACTGAGACAAAATTGAAAATTTACAGAGATTAATATTAAACTTAAATGAGTAAAATGCATATGTATGTGTTTGTGTGTAAAACCTATTTTACAATTATGAAAATGAGATGATTTAGTTTGACAAATGAAACATTAACACAGAGATTATTGAATAGTTTTGAGAACAACAAGCATTGTAGTCTAGACTATGATGAACTACTTCAGATCCACTGATGATATATGGCAAAAAAAAAACCACTTAATTGTAGAATATAGAAATGTAGTTATGTATGAAAATTTTCTTGTAAAACTGGAACCAGGTCACAAATAAGTTTTCTGTCAATCTTAAAAATAGGAGAGGAACTTACCTACTTTTATCATTGAAACACTAATAAAGGCAAGAGTTTGTTAAGTCTGAAATATTTTCTGTTTTATCATACAAGTTGTAAAACTTCTAAATATGTTAATGTGATACAAAATGAGGGCTTGCTTGCATTTGTTTATAATTCATTGTGTTGCTGTATTAACAACATAGCCTTATTTTACCTTCCTGGAGGTAGGCATGGGGAGGCATGAGATAAAGTACAAAATTGACATTATAAAAATGGATAGTGGTGGCCAGGTGCAGTGGCTCACACCTGTAATCCCAGCACTTGGGGAAGCCGAGGTGGGCGGATCATGAGGTCAAGAGATCGAGACCACCCTGGCCAACGTGGTGAAACCCCGTCACTACTAAAAATACAAAAATTAGCCGGGCATGGTGGCAGGCGCCTGTAGTCCCAGCTACTCAGGAGGTTGAGGCAGGAGAATCGCTTGAACCCAGGAGGCAGAGTTGCAGTGAGCCAAGATCTCGCCATTGCACTCCAGCCTGGGCAACAGAGGGAGACTCTGTCTTAAAAAAAAAAAAAAGATAGTGGTAAGAAAGCTGCTAAAAACTTTTGATTAAAACATCCTTCCCAAAAAAAATTATAATGTTTGTCTAATGGTTTGTATTAGGGGAAAACAATCTTCGTGACATATAAAGAGTTGTTGAACTAAGTCTTTATACGTTTTATTTGTGAGCAAAAAAGGATAGATCACTGGTTTCTTGAGTCTAAACATAATTGATGTTATGTTATGACAGTGATTTATCATTCATTTAGGATATCCCAATGAAATATTTGTTTCATCCTTTGCAAAGGAATAATAAAAATGCTCACTTTTCCATGTTAATAATAGTGAGAAACCAAGAGCATCTATGTATCTGATTTTGAAAGGATTTGCTGTCCTCATAGATCTGCACTATTTTGGAAGGCTCACACTTTTTGATGTTCGGGTGCTCTACCCCACCGCACAGCAAGCATCTTGTACATGTCTGTATCTCTAACAATGTGAGTAACATCCACACCCCAAAGGCACATTCTCCATTTAAGTCAGAGTAACAAGCTCTGAAGAAATTTGAGATAATATTTTATTGTTAGGAGCAGCATCACAACTTTTTCTCAGTTTAATGGGAAATACATACTTAAAATGCTCTTATAAAGAACACTGTTATCATTGTCTAATATTTATTCCCACCAATCTCTTTTTTTCTTCTCTAAGGATGAAATTTCTGCATGCGCATCCACACAGTGACCAAGTTTTATATTTTCTACATGCTCAGCCAAGAGGATTTGACTACCAGAATTAGTGAGACCTCAGGCCAATTTAAGGATAGCACAGAGATGCTGATTTTATTTCTTTCCAAAATCCTTTATTGTCAGTTTGGGTACACGGAATATTACATGATGCCAGACCTTGCTAGATTTTTGGAAGCTGATATCTGTCACAAAGTGTATTCATTTTTTACTAAATAAATTTGAATAACTTGCTTTCAACTTTAATACTAATGAAAGTAAAATATAACTCACTTGCCATAGATTTATATTTTGAAATAAGTTGTCAACAAAATCCACCTGCTTATCTTAAATAGGTTAGAATTGGAAGCAAAATATTTTGCAAAATCAGTATTTCTCCACAGGAATGACAAAAATGGGCACAGACACTTCTATTTGCCTGAGATTAATGTGTTGAGGAAAAAAGATACTGTCTCAAACTGGTCCAATGTCAATAGGACACCTAATACAACATCCATTGGCCATGGCAAACTCATGTGCAATTTAGAAAAGTTTTAATATGTTGAGGGAGTAGCAGGCATGAGCCTAAAAAAGATACCGATATGGCTAGAATTGTACAGCATAAAGAGAACAAGCAATAGGTTATATGATAAAAGACAAGGAGACAGATAGAGTTCTAATAAATGGAGAATTCAAATTAAAGCTCTAGCATTCATAGCCAACTAGAATTCTGAAGAGAACAACAAAGAGCAAACATTGTAAAGTGAAAAACAAAAAACAGAGATTGCCATGTAATCCAGATGTTAATTGAGGCCACCAGATGATATGAATCTTAATTATTTTAATTTACCTGTCTTGATCTAGTAAAGTTCAAGTATCTTCCTGGAAAAAATATATGTAAATATTTAATTCCAAAGAAGCGTGAATTATTCATGGTATTTTCAAAAAATAACAGTAGGTATGGCAACTATGAAGTACTTGAACAGAAGCTCTTTTGGTGGAGATTGCTGCATCTATCTCTGCATTCAGCGTCTATACCACACACACGCACATCTGTGTACAAACATCTATGTAATATATACACACACGACTTGACCACAACCACCACTCTCACCCAAAGGCGGACTAAATGCATTGTTTTAAGTCATCCATAGAAAGGATGCTACCTACTTAAGTTAAATAAATCTCTCCAATAAGTGATTAAAAGTGGGCTTAAGTTCCAAACAATAAGAAAGCTACAAAAACAAAATCCAAATAAAAATATCATACTTTAAAACTAATATTGCTTTCAAAAATAATCTCTCTTTTTGGATATGATTGAAAACATAAAAATAAAACTTCGCTGCTGGGTACTATGATCACTATCTGAGTGGCAAGATCAACAGAAGCCCAAACCTCAGCATCACACAATCTACCCTTGCAATAAGCCCACACATGTGCCTCCTGAATCTAAAATAAAAATTGAAAGGATGAGTTCATGTCCTTTGTAGGGACATGGATGAAGCTGGAAACCATCATTCTCAGCAAACTATAGCAAGGACGAAAAACCAAACACTGTATGTTCTCACTCATAGGTGGGAATTGAACAATGAGAACACTTGGACACAGGAAGGGGAACATCACACTCCGGGGCCTGTCATGGGGTCGGGGGAGGGGGGAGGGATAGCATTAGGAGATATACCTAATGTTAAATGACAAGTTAATGGGTGCAGCTCACCAACATGGCACATGTGTACATATGTGACAAACCTGCACGTTGTGCACATGTACCCTAGAACTTAAAGTATAATTTAAAAAAAATTTAAAAAAAGAAAAGAAAAAATAGAAAAGTAAAGTCATTTTAGCCAACATAAAAAAAAAAAAACAACAAGAATAAATGAGTGAAAACAACTGATATACAGAATTGGCCAGTATCTAACCACATCCAAAATATTTGTGGTACAAAGAGATAATGTTTTTGTAGCTTATGAACATTTATTTTACACCTACTTGTTTTCAGAACCCATGCCTGGGGACACAGTGATGATCAAGTTTATAGGTTTCACGTTCTCATTAATCCTATGGTCTGGTGGGAAATAATCACCGAAAAGTATGCTTGTAAGGAAAAGAGATTGTGCAAGTAAAAACAAACAAATTTTGGGAACGTATGTTTATACAATATAAGAAATAAATTTAAAATTTTTAGAACGAAAAGAAGAATAGTTCTTATACGTCTAAAGAATGATTTATTTTTACACCAATGAGGCACCCAACTGAATTTTAAATGATTACTTGATTGAAGTCACTCTATATACAACTCCTCACAAACTCATATATTCATTAAAGTGAGCTACATCTGGAAGGATTATGAAACCATAATCTTCTAAAACCATTTCAGTTCTGTATGAAGAAAAATAATTTTTAATAAGAGCATAATAAACTGTTAAGAAGTGAAACTGTATAAAACATAAATTATATCTTATTTCTTTGATTTGAGTCTACCTACTTTGGTTTTCAAGGAAGAGCTGATGTAAATGGGAAAGTCCGTTCCACAAATCTTAGCTCAAATGAGGGTAGCTTTCTTTTATCCAGTAATGCTGAGAAATTATCATGAGAAAAAAGTTCAAGTACTTACAGTGGAACAGGGATAATAGTGAAAAGCTTCTGTGAATAAAGTCTATTTCTTTTCAAGAAGCATACAGAAAAGAACAGAAAAATAAAGCAGTAGCAGAAGGGAAGTCTTAGCTCAGTTTCCAGATCTTGCTATGAAAGAATAAGTTTGACAAAAGAGCAAGTTACATGTAAAATGCATTTTACATATCCCACCTATTCTCTAATCTATAAAATGACAGAGTAGTTGTAAAGATAGTGTTATAAAGAAAAGTTTAAAATTGTAAAGGTATTTAGAAAATAAGGGACATAAAACAATGGTTATTTATTGAGCACTTAATGAAATTAACAACATCCATCTTCTGTTTGCATCCTTTCTAACAGAAACCTGACTATATTAGGATATTTACACTCCTCCACTCCTTGCCTTCGACCATTTGCTCCCAAGGAGACTGGTTCTATTCCTAACCTCATGAGATATGTCTGAGTGATCTGATGTGTTCATGACTATCTCCCCTGCCAGTAACTGGTATAGCTAGGCATGGGGGGATAAAATGCTGGTAAATAAGATGTTATTATAATTTTAGGAAAAGCTTCTTCACTCCTGAAAAAAAAAAAAAACGCTGGAAATGATTGCTCCTGGGAAGTGCTGATTCACTAGAAAATTCCTGCTATTTGTTAGTAATATTGCAAACACAAGGGGATAAGTCTTTTGATGGAACTTCTATTGCATTTGCCAAAATGGACAAATGGAAGGAACTTAGGACCTTAATGACATAATTGGTTGTACCATCTTCAGTTGCATAAATACATTTTCTATTTGTTTAAGCTAGTCTGAAACAGAAAGAAAATTTTAACAACTTGAAACCACAAACATCTAAAGTAATACATTATATTAGCATAAAATATACATAATGCATATGAAAATTAGCCTATATTCATGTATAATAAACACATTTTATGGTCTTCATTTAAAGAGAACACGCACACTCATAATTCTGGGATCAGCATTAGCTTTCATCCTTAAAATATATGTTAAGTCAATTCAATTTGTGATAAAGAAGAGCATTTTAAAAAATAAAAAAATCCCCTTTTAGAAATTATTTATTCTCACTTATAAAAAAGTATAATTCTTATTTTTTTCTTTTTTCTCAAATTCAACAATAAACTTTTTTCATTAAATGCAATCTTTTTGAATAAACAGAGCATCCAGGAATTCTTATGGAGAACATTACTGGATCTAAAATGCACAATACGTGGTTTAGTCTATAACTAGAAGAGCAACCACTGAGTTTAATGTGGAGGGAATAAATTGCACTAGGGCTAACCTAAAGTCATGGAAGCAGCAAGCCTAATGAAACAGTTTGGAAAGAAATAGTTAAAATGTGCTTTACCATTGCTTTAAATCCATTTTATAAAATTCTCTAGAGTGACTGTTAACTGTTCCTTCTTTTTCACTGCATTAACTGACACTCAGTTTTCCTTTTTGACCCTGTAGTCAAAGCTACTCATTCTCCAGCAGTTGATGGTTTTCAGGATCAGAATACAGTGTCAGTGTCTTCTTCACTTCCCAATGTCACTTTTAGATCATAAATTCTTTACCTTTTGGGAAACCTCTGCTTTGAGACTCCCACTTCTAGCTAAGATGAAATAGCTTGCAGCAAGCTGACACTCCCTCCAAAAACAGCTAGAAATGCTAAGTATGATTAAAAACTAATAAATGAATTTCTGAATATATGAGAGAGACTTTGAGGCTGCCAGAACTCACAGGGAAAGAATCTTGAAGAGGGGGAAACCATGAAGAGCTTAGTTAACAACCTGTAGCCATTTGTTTTTCCTCATAGCATTCAAAATTCCAGGCATGAGGCAAGAAACTGAAGATCTGGCAATGAGCCTAGAAAAAAAGGATTCTACTAAGAGGCAGAAAAAACAGAACCTTGGCAGTGTCATGGGGATAAGGAGACAAAAATTAGAGACTTGAAGTGTCAGGATCATGACGGAAAAGGAGAAGAGGAGGACAACTAAGCCCAAGGCTTATTTTCCCTTCAAGATTTCTGCTGAGATCTAAGCTGTATGATGCACAAAGCTAAGAAGCCAAACAGAAGGCCTTAAGCGAAAGTGTTGGCAGTCTTGTGGTACTTGGGGAATAGCAATAATTCATAAGTTTTTGGTAGATATTCTTTATGAAATTGGAAAAATTCGCCTACACCCCTAGTTTTCTGACAGTTTTTATAATGAATGAATGGGTGTTGAGTTTTGTCCATTGCTACCTTTGCATAAATTTATATAATCAAGTATAATTATATGATTTTTCTTTCTTTGCCTGTTCATATGGTTCTACTTTTGAATACTGAACCAGCCTTGCATCTCTGGGATAAACCTTACTTTGTCATGATACATAATTTTCCTTCCTTCCTTCCTTCCTTCTTTCCTTCCTTCCTTCCTTCCTTCCTTCCTTCCTTCCTTCATTCCTTCATTCCTCCTTCCCTTCCTTCCTTCCTCTTTCTCTCTCTTTCTTTTTCATCTTTTTTTTTGATAGAGTCTTACTCTCATTACCCAGGCTGGAGTGCAGTGTCACCATCACAGTTTGCTACAGCCTCCACTTACTGTGCTCAGGTGATCCTCCCACCTTAGCCTCCCCTATTACTAAATTCAATTTGTTAATATTTTCTTAAGGGTTTACATTTGTACTTATTAGAAATATTAGTCTATATTTTGAGTTTTTTAAAATTGTCTTTGTCTGGTTTTGGTATCAGGATAATACTAGCTGTTAATAATGTGAGGAATTGTTCCTTTATCTTGAGTTTTCTAGACAAGATTGTGGAGATTTTGGCATTAATTCTTCTCTAAATGTTTCATAGACTCATCCAGTGAAACCCTCTGGACCTGGAGACATTTTTTTAGGAGCTTTTTATTATGACTTCAATTGTCTTAATAGTTACTGCTATACAAATTTTTTTTTCATGTTGGGTGAGTTTCTTGGTGGTTTGTGCTTTGGATAAACTAGTCCATTTCATCGAGGTTGACCAATTATGTGTGCTTTGAATATTCTCTTTTTCACTTTTTCATGTCTGCAGGGCCTATGCTGATACTCTACGTTTCATTCCTGATATTGATAATTTGTCTCTTTTATTTTTTCTTTATCAGTTTTGTTAGAGGTTTTGATATTTAAAATACTGATGTTTCACTCATTTTCTATTGTTTTCCTGTTTTCAATTTTATTCAATAGATTTCTGCTGTATTCTTAGCATTTAAAAACTAAAAAAGTGCCAACATATGATTACAACACAATACACAATGTCGTAAGTACTGTAAGTACTGTAAAAATGAAAGTATTATCAAAGTACAGGTATAGAATATCATCTGAGTATGGGCTCTGGAGCCAGGCTGCCTAGGTTTAGCGTTCTAGTATTGTCACTGTTAGCTAGCAGACTAAACAAATTAATGAACTTTCCTATGACACTGTTTTCTTGTCATTAAAAGTGAGACAGCAATTGTAACTACCTCGTAGAATGTTGGCGATTAAATGAGGTTTTAAGCACATAAAACAGTAACTGCCCACCATAAATGTCAGATACTAACAGCGTTAAATTACTGTGTTTATTATTGTTATCATTAATGTTTTAAATAATTGAGAGTTTACTTTGGGGATGAGTAAATTATGGTTTCTAAGAAGTTTAGGAATTTGATGATTTTCTAAAAGTTTGGTAAGAGTTTTCCGATCACAAAAGGAAGCAGAAAAGAATGAATGAATGAATGAATTGTAGTACATATATATATATGTAAATATATATACATATAGATAGATAGATGTCACATGTATGTATACCTTTATGTATCTATATATCTATTTGTCTCTAGGTATATGTAGGCATCCATTTATCAATCTATAATATGTCACAGGGTACAAAACGCTATACAATGTGAAGTGTTCCAATCATACCTGCTGTATTAGGGCCCTCTAGAGGGACAGAGCTAATTATATATATATATGTTTATTAAGTATTAATTCACATGATCACAAGGTCCCACAATGGGCCATCTGCCAGCTGAGGAAAAATGAGAGCCAGTCTGAGTCCCAAAACTGAAGAATTTGGAGTGTGATGTTTGAGGGTAGGAAGCATCCAGCTCCAGAGAAAGATGTAGGCTGGGAGGCTAGGCCAGTCTAGCCTTTTCCCATTTTTCTGCCTGCTTTATATTTGCTGGCAGCTGATTAGATGACTCCCACCCAGATTAAGAGTGGGTCTGCCTTTCCTAGCCCACTGACTCAAATGTTAATCTCCTTTGATAACACCCTCACAGACACACTCAGGATCAATACTTTGCATGCTTCAATCCAATCAAGTTGGCACTCAGTATTAACCATCACAAGTTCACCCCTTGTCAACTTGAACACATATACATCTCCTGAGATCATACATAATCTTCAAATAAAGACAATAATAAGCTCATAATTATGCCTAAGATAATACAACTATCTTTCGTACAACCAAAAATGCACCAATTCCCAACTCAAATGCCATTACATAAAGTTAACAATACTTACATGCTGATATGAAGTCAATAAATCTTATGTCTCATTATAAAGGAAAAAGGAAATAAAATGAAGATATTGTCTTAGTATAAGTGTATAAGTGTTCAAATATGTTTTTAACAAAAGAAGAAGGAAACAATCATGACAATTACAGTCCTCGTTTCTGCAACTGTCACATAGTCATAGCTGGTATTGGTTACCTTCTTCCACTACCCATTCTGTATTTCTTTTGCCTTTAGCAAGCACCTCAGCAAGTCATGATTTTCGTCCTTGTGGAGTGACCCAAACCTTCATTCCTGAAGGGTCTGGGCCATTTGTAGTGCTGCCTGGAATGGGCTATTTTAGTTTCCCATCGACCTTAATTCCTGGGCATGGTAATATTAAGAGATGTCCTATCGAATCTCCTGTGTTCCATGCATCCTCTTCCTTACCTCCATTGAGGACTAGTAGACTGATTTCATCTCATAGTCTGGATCAGTTGTCCCAGCCAACACTGTAACTCCTGTCTTAGCCTGTTGACTTAAAGATAGGAGAAGCCCAAAGTGTAACCAGGTGGCAATCTTAAATTCCAGTTTAACGGAATTGTTGTTCCTCCTGGTGGCAGTGTTCCTCCCTCTGGAACTAAGACCGCTAGTCCAGCAGAACGTAATGTCACAGGAACAGAAGCAAAAATATTGCCAGTGGATCACTAGGGGGTGATGATGAGTGGTGCCACTTCCACTTGCCATTGATTCCTGGACCCATAAGTCTTGGATATGAGAGAAACAGTACCATATATTGGACGCTAATTTTGAGCATACACTGCCTTCTGGAGAACTTTGCCCCAGCCCTGAAAAATATTGTTACCTAATTGGGGTCGTAATTGTGACTTCCAAAGGCCATTCTACCATTCTATCAATCCAGCTGCTTCAGGATAATGGGGAACATGGTAAGACCAGTGAATTCCATGAGCATGATCCCACTGCTGCACTTATTTAGCTGCAAAGTGAATGCCTTAGTCAGAGGCAATGCTGTATGGAATACCATGACAGTGGATATAAGGCACTCCATGAGTCCACAGATGGTAGTTTTGGCAGAAGCATTGCATGCAGGATAGACAAACACATATCTGGAGTAAGCGTCTATTCCACTGAGGGCAAATCTCTGCCCTTTCCATGATGGAAGAGGTCCAATATAATAAACCTGCCACTAGGTAGCTGGCTGATCACCCTGAAGAATGGTGTCATATTGAGGGCTTAGTGTTGGTCTCTGCTGCTGGCAAATTGGGCACTCAGCAGTGGCTGTAGCCAGGTCAGCCTTGGTGAGTGGAAGTCCGTGTTGCTAAGCTCATGCAAAACCTCCACCCTGGACACCACGGCCACTTTGTTCATAGGCCCACTGGGCAATGACAGGGGTGGCTAAGGAAAGAGGCTGAGTGGTGTCCACAGAACGAGTCATCCTATCCACTTGATTATAAAAGCTAGAAGTTCCCAGAATTTTAGTCAGATTTATTTCCTTTCCTCTGGCATGCTGTTGTCTCACCAATCAGTCCAATGTGTTTGCTACTTGTTGCTGGCTGGATCCAATCAATACAATGTCATCAATGTAATGGACCAGTGTGATATTTTGCAGAAGCAAAAAGTGATCAAGTTCTCTCTGAATAAGATTTTGACACAAAGCTGAAGAGTTGATGTACGCCTGAGGTAGGATAGTAAAGGTATATTGCTGGCCTTGCCAGCTGAAGACACATTGCTTCTGGTGGGCTGTATGGAGAGGGATGGAGAAACAGGCATTTGCCAAGTCATTGACTGTATACCAGGTACCAGGAGATGTGTTAATTTGCTCAAGCAATGAAACTACATCTGGTACTGAAGCTGCAATTGGAGTCACCACTTGGTTAAGCTTATGATAATCCACTGTCATTCTCCAAGATCCACCTGTCTTCTGCACAGCCCATATGGGAGAGTTGAAGGGTGGTGTGGTGGGAATCACCAGACTAGCATCTTTCAAGTCTTTGATGGTGGCACTAATCTCCGCAATCCCTCTGGGATGCAATATTGTTTTTGATTTACAATTTTTCTAGGTAGAGGCAGCTATAATGGCTTCCATTTGGCTTTTCCCACCATAGCAGCCCTCACCCTACCAGTCAGGGAGCCAATATGGGGTTTCTGCCAGCTTCTAAGTATGTCTATGCCAATTATGCATTCTGGCACTGGATGAGTCCAGGGACCCACTCTTAGTTGGACCTGAGCTATAACTTCAGTAATTACATGACCTCCATAAGCCCCTACTGTAACTGGAGGACCACAGTGATGTTTTGGGTCCCCAGGAATCAACGTCAGCTCAGAGCCAGTGTCCAGTAGTCCCTAAGTATCTGATCATTTCCTTTTCCCCAATGCACAGTTACCCTAGTAAAAGGATAGAGTTGTCCTTGGGGAGAAAGATTAACACGAGGCAAGGCTCTGCTTGCACCTTTCATTGCAGGTCACCCACTTGCACAATAAGCACCTGTGTCTCTTTTTCCACAATTTCAGCTCTTTCTTTACAGGAGATAAGACTCTCGCTCAGGTCAATTTTAGCAGATTTGGGGTTCAATACCTGCTTCTGAAGCCGGGAGTTAGAATCCCCGAGTTAATCATTTTCTTTTATCACTTTGTCCACTGAACTTAGGAGCAACCAACCAGCTTCATTATGTTCCTTGGTTCTCCACATATGGTCAGAGGTATTATGCATAGAGTCACTAAACTCCTTGCCTCTCACAAGCAGTGAGTCAGGAGTGTCAAATGTGTTTATTATGCATAACTCTCTAAACAGTCCACATCAAGGAATATCAGTGTTTTCCATACTATTAGAAGTAGAGTCCTTAGCATTTTTGGGTCTAATCATATTAAGCAGACAACTCCAGAAACCCCAAAACCAATGAAAGAACTCCATCCTTAATATTCTGTTCCTCTAGAACCACTCCTGGTACCAAAATCTGTATTAGTCAGGGTTCCGTAGAGGGACAGAACTAGTAGGATGTATATATATCGTACTAGTTTATTTTATATATGGATATATATTATATATATGGATATATATTATATATGGATATATATATCCATATATATATATGGATATATATATATATCCATATAATATATATGGATATATATAATATATATAGATATATATAATATATGGATATATAATATATGATATATAATATATGGATATATAATATATGATATATAATATATATAGATATATATAATATATATGGATATATATAATATATATAGATATATATAATATATATGGATATATATAATATATATAGATATATATAATATGTATGGATATATATAATATATATAGATATATATAATATGTATGGATATATATAATATATATAGATATATAATATGTATGGATATATATAATATATAGATATATAACATATATGGATATATATAATATATAGATATATAATATATATGGATATATATAATATATAGATATATATAATATATAGATATATAATATATAGGATATATATAATATATATGGATATATATAATATATAGATATATATATTATATATGGATATATATAATATATATGGATATATATAATATATATATGTGTATAGTTATACAGGAAACATAAGTTTCAACTCATGTTCGCACTGTAGATAAAAAGCAATGTAAAGTAAACTATAGACCTAAAGATGAAGTCAACAATATAAGTCCCTTAAGAAAGAAGATGTGTAACTTTTGATAAGCCAAGATTTTTATCAACAGGTCACCAAAAACATTAACCATAAAAAAATAGGTTAAGTTGAACTTAATCAAATTAGAATAAAGTTTTTATTTGAAGGGCACTCAGGATAAAAAAAATCTTCAGTATATATTTTATTTCTCTTATGCTCATATACTATAGTATATATTTTATATCCATTATATATTTCATATTAATTTTATAGTTTATATTAATTTCATATTTCATATTCATTCATATATTATTAAATTTCATATAGTGAAATATATATATCTCAAATCATTTTAATTCTAATATATACAGCAATATTACAACCCAATAAGAAAAAGACTCATGACTCAATTAAAAATACAACAAAGGTTTGGCCATATACTTAAAAGAGAATATAAAAACAGCTGTTACACATATAAAAATTATTAACTTTATTATTGTTTAGGCAAATGCCAATTAAAATTGTAATTAGATTTCTCTGCACAATCACTAGATTTCCTAAAATTTAAAGGACTGATGATAGAAAGTAGGCAAGGATATCGAGCTACCTGGACTTATAGATTTTTTAAAAATTGATAATTACTTATACAATTAAATATGCACTTACCATATGACTTAGCAATTCCACTTACAGGAGAAATTAATATCAAAGACAAATTAAAATATCTGTCCAGAAAATGTCTTGGAAAATAATTTTTCTAGTAAACATATTAATTTATAGGAGCGCAAATTGAAAGAACCCAAATACACACCAACAGGTGAATGGATGACGAAGTCATGGTATAATCATTCAGTGAATTGTAATATACATATTTAATTAAACTATTGATATATGCTGCTGCACTGTGGTACTTCAAAACCAGTATACTGAGTGAAAGAATCCAGACATAAAACAGTATATATTATATAATAAATTTATATGGAATTCTAGAACAGGCAAACCAACCACTGGATATAAAAAGCATGTCATTGGTTTCCTGATATCAGAGATGGGAGATGGGCTGATTGAGAATAGGGATAAGTAAATTTTTGAGTGAAATGCAAGTACGTATCTTCTTTCGGTTAGAAGTTAAATAGATGTTTACATTAATGAACTTGTAACTTTATAATGGGCACTTTTTATTATAAATACTTGATATTTTAATAAATTAAAAAATAAAAATATAATTTCACTATTCACAGGTCAGGCTGTTACTCCTTTTTGTATTTTTAAGTAATTTTTTAATCTACATAAGTGCTTCTGAAATTATGCCCATGCTCTGTGTATTTTTTCTTTAACTTGGAGTTCAGAAATCTCAGGTGGATATGCCAAAATGAGAATTATTGATCAATTTTTCTGTGTTATATTTAATGTGTTAATTTGGTCTTTTTGTAGCACACAGTGATTTTCGTCTTAAATTACTTTACTTTCTGTTCTCTATCTTTAGTATTTTTTTCTTTCAAGAACTCATAACAGGAATTAGAAGAATGTATGTAGGAATTTTAGGCTCTGTATTTCATATTTATAAATAGTTATTTCATATTCCCATCTCTGTTTTTTATTCTGCATCCTCAAATAATTTCTTAATTTAATCTTTAATTAGAATATTCAGACCATTTGTAAAAAAGTGTTACTGTCTTAATTTCAACAAGTATATTTCAGTTTTCAAAAGCTGTTATAATTTTTCTTCTGAGATTTTCCATTTCTTGGGTATGATAGTTTCTCAAAAGTTTCTGAAAATATTAATTACTAATTATAATTACTTTAAAGCTTTTTTCCTGTTTTCTGCTTTATGATTTTATCACAGGGGTGGGGGGAGGGGGGAGGGATAGCATTAAGAGATATACCTAATGTTAAATGAGTTGATGGGTGCAGCACACCAACATGGCACATGTATACATATGTAACTAACCTGCACGTTGTGCACATGTACCCTAAAACTTAAAGTATAATAAAAAAAATTTACATTAAAAAAAAAGAGTTCAATGATTAATCTATTAGTAGTGTGCCCTTTCTTTCTAGCTGTCTGCATTGTATCTTATGCTTTGCAATCTTTGACTAATCAGATTTAGAATTTAAACAATATGGGAAAATGGAGAACACAGTACTTCCTTAGCTCACCTGGGAATGTCTAGGAATGTTTTGATCGCAGAGTCCCTGGCTTCGTAGTTTGGGCCCGGAAAGGAAGAGCAGGGGCCTACAGCCTGGGTGTTTTTTATTTTTTTTAATTTTTATTATTTATGTATTTTTTGGAGATGGAGTCTTGCTCTGTCGCCCAGGCTGGAGTGCAGTGGCACGATCTCGGCTCACTGCAAGCTCTGCCTCCTGGGTTCATGTCATTCTCCTGCCTCAGCCTCCTAAGTAGCTGGGACTACAGTCGACTGCCACCACGCCCGGGTATTTTTTTTTGTATTTTTAGTAGAGACAGGGTTTCACCGTGTTAGCCAGGATGGTCTCGATCTGCTGACTTGGTGATCCGCCCGCCTCAGCCTCCCAAAGTGCTGGGATTACAGGCGTGAGCCACCGCGCTTGGCCCGGGTGTTTTTCTTTAAGGTGTTTGAACAGCTAATTTTCTGCAAGAAGATTCTCTTTCCTGGTTAGTGGCATTGATTCTGCTTCCCATTCCTGTGATTAATTTCTTTTGATTTTTACATTTATTCAGCATATTCAAATATATTTTTGGAAGGAGCATTCAATATATTTAATTGCTCATCTTTAACCAGAAATACTACTTAGTAACCATACTTATATTAATAATCTAAGCTTGATATTTTTACCTCAATAAATATTCTTTTCTGTATCATTTGAATAGCTGTATGTTGTTATTTTTTGTCAATGTATTACCAAGGATTCTGCATTGGGATGAATTCTCCAACCGAGGAGATCAGCAAGGCTGGAGAGAAACAAGGCCAGAGCTCTGGAGCAGCAATCTCAGTTCCTGTGATAGTGAGCAAAGAATTGCAAACTAACGCCAAAATGCAAACTCAAAGCACAGTTTACTGAAGTACAGTCATACACCCTCAGAGGGAGAGTGGGCTGGTTCCTGTGACATGAAATCAGTCCCTCTTTATGGAGCTTAGGGTGCATTCATCCGGTTTGTGGGGAGGAGTTAAGGCTTGGGCTGTATTTGAGTGACAGGATGATGTCATTTGCTTGCCAGTTTTTGGCTATATAACTGAAGTTAAACCACATATATTCTTACCCACAATCCATTAAGAAAAGCCCATTTTGGTAGGGGGAGGGCAAAAACACAGGTAAATTTTATTATAATGACTGCATAATTAGGATGAGGTTACCTGGGATTGCAGCCTAGATGGTCTGGATATTCACCACTTTAAGAGATTATCTGTGGCCTAGTATATTTTTTCCAGGATGTGCTAACCACAGACGTTACCACAGACTCCATCCTTAGGGTCAAGTTAGGGCAGTGTGCAGGCTGAATTTAAGTGGGCTAGAGCCTGTCTTAGTGACAGCCCTTCTGCTCTTTTCTTTCACCCCTGCCTGGCTGCTAATGCCTAACTAACAAATGTATCAGCCATAGTAACTTCACTAATACCTTTTCATATTTTCTAAAGCCAAATTCTTGATGTGAAATGCAAATTACACAATGTTAATATGCAAACCTGCTACTCTAAGAAAATTTTAGAATCTATTTTTAACCATATATATATATATATATATATATATATATATATATATATATATATATATTTACTTTACATTGTCTGTATTCAGACTTCGGAAATGCAGACAACTTGGTTACAGATTGTATACACAATTCTCTTTCTATTGGCAAAATACTTGACATGAAACAGGCATTAATCTAAAAATAATCAAAATTCTTAAAACACATATGGACGATAAAAGAAAAAAATTGAACGCCAATTCCTTAATGCACCTGCTTTAGTTTCACTTCACATGATGCTGGATAATTTTCACCACAATTGTTTTGCTCAAAACTGATAATAATAACAATAGACTTCTGGGGACATTAGAATAATGCTTGCTTGGGAAAACATATTTAAAGGAGACACTCTAAAAAAGTCTATTTTAAAACTGAGATGAACAAGGACTATAATGGAAATGAGAAATAAAAGAAGTTGTATTGATTAATGAAACAGAGTTAAACATTGACATACTTTCATACAAAAGTCCTCAAAAGCTTATTACCCCACATATTTATAGTCAGCTGATCTTTGATAAAACAGTGAAGGAAATGAATGGGGAAAAATAGTATTTTAAACAAATGGTGTTAGAACAACTGGACTTTCACATGCAAAAATAAGTAAATCTAGACAGATTTATACCCTTCAAAAAAATAACTCAAAATGGATTACAGATCTAAATGTAAAATATGAAACTATAAGCGTTTGTTAGATAATATGGGAGAAAATTAGATGACCTTCTGTTTGGCAATGACTTTTTAGATATGACATCAAAGGCATGATTCTTTAAAGAAAGAATTAATAAGGTAGAATTCATGAACATTAAACATTTTGGCTCTGCAAAAGATACTGTTCAAGGAATGAAAAAAATAAATTGCAGACTGGGAGCAAATATTTTCAAAAGACATATCTGGGAAAGAAGTGTGATTCAAAATATACAAAGAACTCTTAAAATTCAATAATGAAAAACAACCCAATTAAAAAATTAGTCAAAGATCTTAACAGGCACTTCACCAAAGAAGACATACAGATGCAAATATGCATATGAAAAAGCTCCACATCATGTTATTAGGACTAAGTAAATTAAAACAATGAGATACCTACAAAATACTGTTAAAATAAACAAAATCCAGAACACTGACAATACCAAATGCTGATTAGGACGTGGAACAATAGGAGCTCTCATTCATTGCTTGTAGGAATGTGAAATGGTACAATCACTTTGGAAGACAGTTAGCAGTTTCTTACAAAACTAAACATGCCGTTAACTAAACTGTTCAGCAATCTCATTCCTTGCTATTTACCCATAGCAGTTGAAATAATGTCTACACAAAAACCTTCCCAAAGATGTTTACAGCATGTTTATTCATAATTACCAAAACATGGGAGCAACCGAAATGTTTTTCAGTAGGTGAATGGATAAATAAATGGTCAGACATCCAGACAGTGTATTATTCAGTGCTAAGAAGAAATAAGCTATTATGCCACACACACACACACACACACACACACACACACACACAAATGGGGAAATCTTAATGCGTATTACTAAATGAAAGAAGCCAATCTGAAAAGACTACTTATTGGCGAAAGCAAAACTATAGAGACAGGAAAAAAAATTGATTTCCAGGAGTTAGGGAGGAGAAAAGAATAAGCAGCAGGAGCATGGAGGAGTTTTAGGGCAGTAAAAATATGCTGTATGATACTATCTTGGTGGATATACGTGATTACACATTTGTCTAAAGCCATAGGAATGTACAAACCTAGAGTGAAACCTGATGTAAATTGTAGACTCTGCTTGATGAATGTATCACTGGTGGGGGATGTTGATAATGGGGGAGGCTAAACATGTGGGGAGGAGGGGCACGGAGTACATAGGAAATCACTGTACTTTTCTCTAATTTTGCAGTCAACCTAAAACTGTTCTAAAAAATTAATTTTTTTAAGTTTATTACTTATGACTTTCATGAGGAAGTTTGATAATTTTTTCTAGGTTTTTATGTATCACAATATACAAAGTCTGGGACTGGCTGGGTGTGGGCGGCTTACACCTCTAATCCCAGCACTTTGGGAGGCCGCGGCAGGCGGATCATGAGGTCAAGAGATCGAGACCATCCTGGCCAACATGGTGAAACCCAATTTCTACTAAAAATACAAAAAATAGCCAGGCATAGTGGTGCGTGCCTGTAGACCCAACTACTTGGGAGGCTGAGACAGGAGAATCACTTGAACCCAGGAGGCGGAGGTTGCAATGAGCCAAGATCACGCCACTGTACTCCAGCCTGGTGACAGAGCGAGACTCCATCTCAAATAATAATAATAAAAATAAAATAAAATAAACAAAGTCTGGGACCTGACATTTTTTCTTGCCAGTTTCCTTCTTTTTAAAATTTCTGTTATTTACAGTTAGTCTTGTAATTTAAATGTAATACTATAGTTATTTAAAAATTCAAAATAATTATGTTCCAATATCAATCCTTTAAAGCTAAACAAGATCTTTGATTCAGAAATAATAACTTGAAATTTAAGTGTTTGCAATATTATTTGAAAAAAATAGAAATAATTTTACACGAAAATATCTCTGGCATGTATATTAAGAACTAAAACACTTTGTGGACCTAAGAACTGATTGATGTTCAAATTAATCAACATTAGTGCCACCTAAAGAACTTCAAAGCCTCCATCCAAAGGGAAGGCTGAAAAAGTTACATTGGTCCTTGTTTTACCCTCAGGCCTTGTCTTTTTTTCTCATTACTCAATCAAAGTGTGATTTTATCTAGTCTCATGACTTTTCAACCGTCACCTCTTTACTGATGACTTTCATCTCAAAGTCCCTAGCTAGAAGCTTTGGGCCTATGTTTTCCATTGCACAATTTGACAGCAACATACTCTGTTCAAATTGTACTTCATATCCAACAAACTTGTCTGTTTCCAAGTGCTCCCTATATCAACTGTGCATTATTTTAATCATCTCATCTGGATTATAAAGTGCAATTTAAGTTATATGTAGCTTTTCCAATTTCATCAAATTCAACTATCAAAAGCATCTGTTTCCTTGCACAAGAGTTCCCATACCCACACTTTTTCATTTCTGTGGCTGTTGCCCTGATCTAGACCTGTATCATATCACAACTGGAAGATATTGCAATATCTTCTTAGTTGACCTTCTTTCTTTCTTCCCTCACTCTCTCTTTCCCTCCCTCCCTCCCTTCCTCCCTTCCTTCCCTTCCCCTTCCTTCCTTCCCTTCCCCTTCCTTCCTTCCCTTCCCCTTCCTTCCTTCCTTCTTTTTTCTTCCTTTTTATCTTTCTTTTACCTCTAGTTTATCACAACTAATCAGAGATGTTTGTTTAAATGTAATTATTATGATATTTATATACCTTTGAAAACTGTGATTTCTTCCAGATTAATGGCCATTATAATATATATAATGACAGTTATAATAGTCTTGCTTCATAAAATAAAGTGGACTTGATGCTGCATGACTTCTTGGTGAAGCCCTTAACTGGCCTGTATTTTTACACTTTTAGATATTCGAAAGCCAATTGTTATATAAAAAGAGTAAAAAGCCATGCTTTGAGAAGTCCAGTACACATGAAGAGGCCCAGGCAGAGAAAGCCATGAAAAAAAGAGATCATCAAGTCTCCATACGCGTGTGTGAAGAAGCCATCTTGGAAGTCAATCCCCATCCTAGATTTTTTTCTGGTATTGCAATGTCCTTGCATGTTAAAGATAAAGTTAAAAAAAGCAAACTGGGCCAGGCATGGTGGCTCATGCCTGTAATCCCAGCAGTTTGGGAGGCCGAGGTGGGTGGGTCACCCAAGGTCAGGAGTTCAAAACCAGCTTGGCCAATATGGTAAAGCCCTGTCTCTACTAAAAGTACAAAAATTAGCTGGGCATGGTGGTGCATGCCTGTAATCCCAGCTACTTGGGAGGCTGAGGCAGGAGAATCACTTGAACTCGGAAGGCAGAAGTTGCAGTGAGCTGAGATCAGCCACTGAACTCCAGCCTGGGCAACAGCCAGACTCTATCAAAAAAAAAAAAAAAAAAAAAAAAAAAAAAACTGACTAAAAACTCAACAAAGTTAGGGGGTGAGAAAGTATAGTATTGTTGTGTACAATTGAAGTTAAGTTGTTATGAAATCAGCATAAATGTTTACAAATACAAGATATTTTATGCAAATGCTGAGGTAACTGCAAAGAAAAATATAGAATAGAGAAACAAAATATAAAGAGAAAACAGTCAAAACAAATCCCTACAAAAATCATCAAGTAACAAAGGAAAACAACAAGAGAGGATCAAATCACCCACAAAACAGAAATAGTAAACACAATGGCAATAGTAACTTCTCACACATTAGCAATTACTTTAAGTGTAAATGAATTAAATTCCCCATATAAAGCAATAGAGTAGCTGAGTGGATAAACCAAGATCTGGTATCTATCTACAGGATATTCACTTTAGAATTAAGGACACTAATAGGCTAAAAGTGAAGGAGTATAAAAGTGAAGGACTATAAAAAGATATTTCATGCAAATTTTAACAAAAAGAAATCAGAGATGGTTATGCTTAAATCAGAAAAAATAGAATTTAAGTAAAATTGTTTTTATGGCCAAAGAAGTTTATTGTATAAATGATAAAAGGGTCAATTAAATAGAAACATATAACAAGTATCAATATATACATATCTAACATGAGAACACCGAAATATGTAAAGCAAACACTGGCAGATCCAAAGGGAGAAATTGCTATTATACAATAATAGTAGGAGACTTTAATACTCCTCTTATAATAATAGATACAAAACTCACAAGATAATTAATTTTAAAAAATAGCTGACTTTAACAATACTATCAACTAAATTGACCTAGCCAACATATACAGAACTTTCACCCAATAGCAGAAGAGCATACATTTTCAAATGTACAGCATTCTCCAAGACAGACCACAAGTTAGATTACAAAACAAGTCTTAGCAAATTTTAAAAGATGGATATCATTCTAAGAATCTTTTCCAACCCAATGGAATTAAATTAGAAATCAATAACAAAAAAATAAGAAAATTCACAAATACATGAAAATTTGCAACACACTTTTGGATTAAACACACCATTGGATTAAAGGGGAAATTAAAGGAAAATTTTTAAATACCTAAAGACAAAAGAAAATGAAAACACAATACCAAAACAAACAAAATGTTGCAAAAACAGTACTAAAAGAGAAGTTGTAGTAGTAATTGCCTACATTAAAAAAAGAAAAATATATAAAATAAACCACCTAACTTAATACTACAAATACATCATAAAAATAATATTAAAAATTAAAAATCAACTAAACTGAGAGTTGGTTTTATTTAGAAGATAAAGAAACCCTTGCTAGACTAAGTAAGAAAAAAGAGAAGCTACAAGCACACAAAATCATAAATGAAAAAGGGGACATTACAACAGATGCCTCAGAAATAAAAAGGATCATACGAGACTATCTTATGATCAAACATAGGTGAATAATTGGATAACCTAGAAGAAGTGGATGACATCTTAGAAACATACAAACTGATTCAAAAAGGAATAGAAAGTCCTAACATAGGAATAACAAATGAGAAGATTGAATTCATAATTTTAAAAACCTCTCAACAAAGAAAAAAGCTTGGGAAGCTTAGGACCAAATGGTTTCATAAGTGAATTCTCCCAAACATTCAATGAATAATTAATACTAATTTTTCTTAAAATATTCCAAAAAATAGAAGAGGTAACACTTCTAAATTCGTGTCAAGAGGCTACCATCACCTGATACCAAACCAGATAAATATATCACAAGAAAAGAAAACTGTTCATTAATGTTACTCATGAACATAGATGCAAAAATTATCAGTAAAATACTAACAAACTGAATTCAACAGCACATTAAATAGATTTCATATCATGACCAAACAGAATTTATCGCTGGGATGCAAAGATGGTTCAACTTATGCAAATCAATTAATGTGAAATATTACATCAGCAGAATGAAATGTAACTATGATCAACTATAAAGATATAGAAAATATATTTTACAAAACTAAATATACATTCATGTAAAATGCTCAATGATATAGGTAGAATAGGAAATTATTTCAACACAATAAAGACCATATAGAAAAAGGTAGGAAGCTAACTTCATAATCAATGGGAGGAAACTGAAAGCTTTCCTTTTAAGATTTATTACAAGGCAAGGATGCCCATTCATACCAATTTTATTCAGCACAGTACTGGAAGTCCTAGCCAGAGCAATTAGACTAGAAAAAAAAAAAGCATCCAAATCAGAAAAAAAGAAGCAAAATTATCTGTCTTTGTAGATAACATAATCATATATGTACGAAACCCTAAGGGCCACCAGAAAATATGTATAACTAATAAGTGAATTCAGTAAAGTTACAGAATACAAAATCAACAAAAAATCATTGCTGTTCCTATACACAAAGAACTATCCAAAAAGAAAATTAAGAAACAATCCCATTCACAAGAGTAATAACAGCAAAAACCAAAATACTTAAGAATAAACTTAATCAAAAGAGTGAAAGACTCGTACATTGGATATTATAAATCATTAATGGAGGAAATTAAAGGAGACAAAGATAAATGGAAAGAAATTTATGAATTGCAAGAATTAATATTGTTTCAAAGTCTATATTACCAAAGTCATCTATACATTCAATGCAATTTCTATCAAAATCCCAAAAGTATTTTTGTAGTAATAGAAAGAAAAGCCCTAAAATTCGTATAGAGCCAGGAAAGAACTGGATAGCCAATTCAGTCTTGAGAAAGGAGAAAAATCCTGGAGGCATCACACTTTCTGATTTCAAAATATATTACAATGTTACAGTAATCAAAACAGTATGATATTGGCATAAAAGCAGACATGTGGACTGATATAACAGAATACAGAGCCCAGATATAAACCCACACATATATGATCAACTAATCTTTGAAAAGGTATCAAGATTATACAGTGAAGAAGAGAGAGTCTTCAGTACAGGATGTTGGGAAAACTGGATGTCAACAAGCAAAAGAATAAAATGGAACTCTTATTTTACACCATATACCAAAAAAACAAAACTTGAAAGAAATAAAGGAATGAAAGAATTAAACATAAAACTTCAAACAGTAAAATTACAAGAAAAAAACGTAGGGGAAAATCTTCCTGACATTGTTCTGGACAAAGATGTTTTGGATATAATACCAAAAGCACAGGTAACAAAAGAGAAAATAGACACATGAGGTTTCATCAAGCAAAAAATCTAAACAGCAAAGGAAATAAAGTGAAAACGCAACCTATGCACCTATGCAATGAGAGAAAATATTTGCAAACCATATAACTGAGAATGGGTTATAGCATAAACGTATGAAAAACTACAACTCAATAGCAACAAACTAATAATAACCCATCTACCCTTTACTATTTTTCTCTATATATTAATATACAGTAAAACAGATATGATAATATTTGTAGAAATTTATTTCATATGTAATCTTTCAATTCTTATAAAATGAGATAAGCATTTTATTTTGTTTGCTAGTAGAATTTTAGTCTACATTTAAATCTGTGAAACTATTACCATATGCCTGTTTGGTTAGTCATTCTATCATGTTCTAGATTTTAAAAATCTACACCACAAATTAATCTTCACAGTAATTCATAAAGTGCGTGTTGTTAGTGCTATTCTATTTTGTTTTGTGTAATTACAGAACTGTCTTACTGCCTATGTCAGTTGCCCAAGATTCCAAAGTAATGAAAGGCATAAATAGAATTAACACATCTTATTCCAATTGTGCTATGTTTTTCTTTTCTCCTCCCAGATAGCAGACAGGCTAATTAATAAATACGGATTTGCTTTTTTCAACATATTTTGTTATAAGTTACAGGAACAGAGTAGGTGTGATAGTTAATACTGAGTGTTAACTTGATTGGATTGTAGGATGCAAAGTATTGATCCTGGGTGTGTCTGTGAGGGTGTTACCAAAGGAGATTAACATTTGAGTCAGTGGGCTGGGAAAGGCAGACCCACTCTTAATCTGGGTGGGCATCATCTAATCAGCTGCCAGCGAATATAAAGCATGCAGAAAAATGGGAAAAGCCTAGACAGGCCTAGCCTCCCAGCTTACATCTTTCTCTGGAGCTGGATGCTTCCTGCCCTCCAACACCGGACTTGTAGCCCTACCTTTGTAGGGCTACCTTTGTAGGGCTATCCTACCTTTGTAGCCCTAGTCATGACCTAGCATGTAATCCCATCCATTTGAAATATTATTTTGATAGCCTCTTTGTTTTTCTTCCTTCCTTTCCTTAGTAATTCACCTCTAAACTATGTGTAGCAATAATTTAGGCCCTGTTTCATGTTCATCTTATCTTTTTTTTCATGAATCCATTTGCTTTAAGGTCGCAAAGTATTCTTTGGTTTGACTTTTCTACTCAAAAATTTGAATAAAATATTATTGAAAACACAAAACTTCAAAATACATGGGAAGATGCAAAAGCAATACTCAGAAAAAATGTATGTATTTATTATATATGTATATAATATAATATATGTTTATATTTATATTATATTTATATTACTATAATATACATATATTATTTATATAATATGTATATGTATATATACATATATGTATATATAATATGTATAATATATTATAATATAATATACATATATTATATTTATATAATATATGTAATTATAATAATTACATATAATTATAATATATGTAATTATTATAATTACATATATTATAATAATTACATATATTTATATGTAATTATAATATATGTAATTATAATATAAATTATATTAAATGTATGTATTTATTATATATCTTCAATATTCCAATAGTTACATAGACCACCAATACTCATTGTGAGTGAGGACTACACAGTAGTGTCAATACTAAGAGAAAAGAATCAGTGGAGAATTTGGGAAGAGGCTTACCATAAGTTGGGTTTTTAGGAAATCAGTATTATTACAAAATGTCAATATTGCTCCTAAAAACTTTCCACATTGAATTACTGAATTCCCTTGGTACCTTTGTCAAAAGTCATTTGAGAATATATGTGTAGACCTACTTCTGAACTTCTTTTTTCTGTTCCATTTGTGATGTATATTTATGTTTATAGTATATCCAAACTGTATTGATTACTATAGCCTTACAGAGAGTCTTGAAGTCACGTTGTGTAAGCCTCTTTGTTCATTTCTAAATTTTTCCAGTTAAGTTTTAGAATCAACTTGTCAATTTCCATAAAAAATTTTATCTATGGACCAATTTTAAGAAAATTAACATCTTAGCAGCATGTAGTGTTACAAGTCATGAACATTATATATCTCAATATATCAGTATATTCTTTATTTTCTCTAAACTATGTTTTATATTCTTCTTTAAACAAGTCTGGTTCATATTGTACTAAATTTATTCCTCAGTATTTCTTGTGTTTTGACGCTATCATAAATAATGTTTTTAAGTTTTATCATTAAATTGCTCATTTCCAGTGTGACAATAGTGTATATAAATATAAGTATATGGGATATAATGCATTAGTATGCAGGAATAGAATTGAATTTTGTATGACACTGTATCCTGCAACCTTGAAAAAACTGCTTATTATTTGTAGCTACTTTTAATAGATTCATTAGGATTTTCTATGCTTATGATCATGTTCACAAATAATTTTACTTTTTAAAAAAATATAGGTTCATTTTATTTTATTTTATTGCCTTATTGAAATGGCTAGTATTTCAATTACAGGGTTGAATAAAAATGGAAAGAAAACTAATATTTGCCTTTTTTTTTTTTTAACACGGAGTCTCGCCCTGTTGCCCAGGCTGGTGTGCAATGGTAAAATCTTGGCTTGCAGCAACCTCTGCCTCCCAGATTCAAGTGATTCTCCTTCCTCAGCCTCCCGAGTATCAGGGATTACAGGTGTGTGACACCACACCCGGCTAGTTTTTTGTATCTTTAGTAGAAACCGGGTTTCACCATTTTGGCCAAGCTGGTCTTGAACTCCTGACCTCATGCTCCACCTGCCTTGGCCTCCCAAAGTGCTGGGATTACAGGGGTGAACCACCACACCTGGCCATCATTCAATTTTTTACCATTATTTAGTTAATGATAGGCTGTTGTATATGTCCTTTATCAGATTCTATTTTCAATTAGCAGAAATATTTTAATCATAAAAAATGTTGACAAGCTTTTTTATATATATGGAGATTGTTATGTAATTTTTCTCCATTATTCTGTTACTATTATAATTTATTGATATAGTCATGTTCAAAAAGAATTTTTTGACTGTGAAAAGTTTATATTGAAGTTCCTTCTTTCATTTCTAATGTTAATTTTAAACTTTTCTTGTTTTCTTGATTAATCTAGCTAGACTATGATGAATTTTATTTCACTTTTAAAAGAAACAGCTTTGACTTTCATTAATTGTCTGTACTGTACATTTCTGCTTTAACTTCTGCTTTTATCATTTTACTTCACTTTAATTTATTTTGAGTTCAATTTCAGTCTATATTTTCTTATTTGTTCAGGTAAAAGTTTAAATAACTTAAATGTGTTTCTCTTGGCTGATGTAAGTGTTTAATGATACATACATTTTTTCAGAGTATTGCTTTTGCATCTTCCCATGGATTTTGAAGTTTTGTGTTTTCAATAATATTTTATTCAAATTTTTGAGTAGAAAAGTCAAACCAAAGAATACTTTGCGACCTTAAAGCAAATGGATTCATGAAAAAAAAGATAAGATGAACATGAAACAGGGCCTAAATTATTGCTACACATAGTTTAGAGGTGAATTACTAAGGAAAGGAAGGAAGAAAAACAAAGAGGCTATCAAAACAATATTTCAAATGGATGGGATTACATGCTAGGTCATGACTAGGGCTACAAAGTTAGGAAAAAATATTGACTATGAAGTCCTTTGTAAAGCAAACCAGAATTGTGTTCTGGCTTGTTTTATACCTCCAAAATTTATTTTTATTTACTAAGATTGTTACCATTAATGTTTGCTCAGCATTCATTCTTATATGTCATAGCTTGTTTTGTCCTTACTATACATTCTTCTTTGAGTATATCCTCTAGAAGTTTTTCAAATATTTTTATTTGTCTGGAAATATATTATATCCTATAGAACAAGTTTTCTTAATGTAGGAGCTGAAGACATTGGGCATCCCTGAGACTGTTTTTTGTCAGCTATCTCACTATTTTCTCAAATTTTAATGCCTTTCCTACTGTGTTGTCATTTGTACTGATAATGCAACAGCAACAGTTGGGAAAACTGCAGGTACTGTGGCATAAATCAAGACATTGGCACTAAAATATTCCAGTAGGCACTGCATTCTTCATCTTCATATACTGCAAAAATTATAAAATGAGAGTGTTACTTGAAAAGATCCTTGACAGGCCAGGCACAGTGATGGCTCACACCTGTAATCCCAGCACTTTGGGAGGCTGAGGTATGCAGATCACTTGAGCCCAGGCGTTCGAGACCAGCCTGGGCAACATAGTGGGACCCTGTCTCTACAAAAAATACCAAAATTAGCTGGGTAAGTTATCTGTAGTCTCACCTGTTTGGATGAGGTGGGAGCATCACCTGAGCCCAGGAGACTGAGGCTATTATGAGCTGTGATCACACCACCACACTCCAGCCTGGGTGACAGAGTGAGACCCTGTCTCAAAACAAATAAATAAATTAATAAATTATTATTAAAAATGTTTAAAAAGTCCTTGACAAGGCATTAACTTATGGGTCCCAGCTTTCTCAGTTCAGAGATCTTCTTCATTCTTTTTCATAGCTGCATAGTAACCCATTGTGTGGATGTATCATAATTTATTAAAACAGTATCCAATATATGGGGACTTATTTACAGTTTTTTGAAATTCAAAAAAATGCTACAATGAATAACTTTGATCACATTTATTTTCATATTGTTGAAGATGTATCAGCATAGTAGATTCCTAGAAGTGGAATTGCTTATATCAGAAGTAAGTTCATCTAAGGATTTCTCAGCTATTGCCAAATTCCCCTTCAGAAAAGTTGTACCATTTTGAATTCCCCGAAGCAATGTGTGAAATAGCTTATTTTCTCAATAAAAGTATTGTCATATTTTAAAATATTCACTATTTTGTAGGTAAGAAAAAATATTTCAATGGTTTTCTTTTAATATGTATTTCTCTAATAATGACTGAGTTTGAAAATATTTTCATGTTATTGGTCATGTATGTACTTTTATTGAGTTGTATTTTCATGTACTTTACTTATTTTCTTCTATGCTTTTGATCATTTGCTCCTCAGTTTTAAGAGAATTTATATATATATTTATATACTAATGATATTAGCTTTTTTATTGATTTTTCAGTAATGATATTAGCCTTTGAGTCTCTGAATTTCAAGTTCTTCTTATCTTTTTATTTGCATGATATTTCTTCTCAGCTTATCAGATGTGTTCTGCCTTTGTTTGTGTGGTGATTTGTTTGTTTTGTCACACATTTAAAAAAATTACGTCTTAAGATTTATCAATTTTTCTCACAATCTTTGAATTTGGGTCACCGTTAAATAGACATTCACCCATGTTTTCTTCTGATACCTGTACAAATAAATGTTTAAACACTTACATATCTAATGAATTTGGAATTTATTCTTATGTATGGTGAAAGACACAGATCTAATTTAATCTTTTTCCAAATGGCTATCCAGTTACCCCAAAACTATTTACCTCAAAGTATTTAATAATATATATTTGTCTCTGTTTTTAAGTTGAGTTTTGAGTTTTTGAGTTGTTAACCTTATCATCTGCAAAATTTTTATTTGTATTGAAATTTATATTTTTCTGTTTCATTATACTGATATATTTACTTATCCCTTCAGAGCCAGTAGCATTACTGTTATTTTTAAATTTCATAAATATATGCATATACACATATACATACATACATGTATGTAACATGTATTCCATTTAAAAGCGGTTTTTGAAAGCCAAAGCAACTAACCAATCAACAAAAGCCAGAGGGCAATCACGATCTTAAACTTAGATAAAACAACATTAAGAATATGTAAAGAATGGACTTCTTACAATAGCCATTGTTTTTCAAATGCCGTTTTTTCTAATCTGAAAAGGTGGCATTTGTTCATTCATTTTCAGTCAGTACTTTCTCTTATTTACGTGATATCATTATTTAGAGCAATAACAGCTGGTCTTACTGTGCTCACCTGTACTAAAATTCTGAACCTATGGCAATTTGAGCTGCAAGATTTATCCTTTGGATTGAAGTGCAATACACATAAATAGACCTTTTGGAGAATAATAGAGCATAAAACACTCACTTCGTTAGCTTCAGCTGGACTAATTTACGTTTTTGCCATCCAACATTAGGGATTAAGGCCACATCTATACATGTACACTAGAGTGAAGGAATTAAGCAAACATCTGAATAATTCGAAGAGAAAGGGAATTTTGCCTTAATTTTCTATTAAAGTTAGCACTTGCAAACATAAATTTGTAGAGTATGTTTGTGCAGTGGTAAATTTTATATGTTAAATCTTTAATACTGCTTTATAGATTTCATTTTTTGTTGAAATGGTTGCTTGTGTTCATACTGATTGAAATAAACTGAATTTACAAAAATATATTTAGGAAAAATATTCAAAATGACTAATTTACAACATACATTAAAAATATTCTGTCTTTTTTAAGCACTTATATCAGCTCAGGGTAGCGAATTGAAATTTCAAAATTACACCTTTCGGAACATACAACCCAGATTGGTGAGAGAAAAGCTACAAACACACATATGAAAATTAATTCTTATAAAGTAGTAACTAAATATTTTATATTGAAGACATAGTAAGTGACCAATAAGTTATTTTGAAGAAATTTATGAATTTATAAGCTAAATATAATTTATGTTTTAGCTTATAGTCATGTTATATAAATTCAGAGATTAGTATAGGTTGGAAGTAGTCAGGCTTTAGAAGCTCAAAATTGAAATAGATTTATAAGAACATAAAGACAATGTTTATCTCATTTATTACATTTGGAATATAATAACAATTCCTTTAAAAGGCATCACTGACCTTTTGGAAATACAATATGCTCATATGTTTTCTTTAAATACAATATATTTTACCTTGCTCAAATTGCATTTGTGTGTGACTAAATTTTTCTTGATGTTTTCATTATAGTTAGGTACACTATTCCATCACTTTCATTTTATTGTAATCGAAGATATGTATTACATTATCATGCATTATGTTTAGAAGAACAGATACAAGGAAAATATATTTTACTGAGTCTGAGAAGCTTAACTGTGTAATAAAGCAACATTTGTTTATAATGAACTAATGTTAGCTTAACTGGCAGTCCTCTAAAGGTAATAGCTAGAAAAAAAATCATAGCTGAAATTGGCACTTTTGCCAGCTATTAGAGAAACTGAAATAGTTGTCAAGAATGTCACACTTGACACTGCTGAACCAAAAGGAAAAATTGAATATTTGCAGCACCACACTTCTGCCTGATTAAAGACAAATTCTGCATTAGTAAGAGATGTAAATAAATGGGTTAATATTTTGTATTAGTTATCTAGGGCTACATAAATAATCACTCCCAAAATTAGGTGCTTCAAATAATACTCTTTTCTCATTATGTAGTTTCCCTGGGACAAGAATTCCAGACAACTTATCTGGGTGGTTCTCCCACAGGTTTTTTTGTGAGGTTGTAGTGAAGATATCAGTGCAGACTACAGTCATATGAAGGTTTGAATGGACTAGAGGAATCACTTCCAAGATGGCTCACTACACAATGGCTCGTGAGTTGATGCTGGCTGTTGTCAATGGACATTAGTTACTGCCATATGGATCTATCTTTCAGCCAGTTGGATGTTTTCACAATACTACAACTGGCTTTCTCTAGAGATGGGGATCCATGAGAGAGCAGGACAGAAGCCACAGTAGCTATTTTAATGTTACCTCAGAAAACATACTTTATTTCTTCAATATTCCAATAGTTACATAGACCACCAATACTCATTGTGAGTGAGGACTACACAGTAGTGTCAATACTAAGAGAAAAGAATCAGTGGAGAATTTGGGAAGTGGCTTACCATAGGTTGGGTTTTTAGGAAATCAGTATTATTATAAAATGTCAATATTGCTCATAAAAAAGTAAAAAATGAAAAAACAAAGCAATAATTATTCTTTTTATCATTCCTTTCATTAAAAGTAGATAATAGCCAACAAATGCTTATTAATATGGTAAGGTTGAGCATCCTCCATCTGAAAATTTGAAATTTTAAATACGCCCAAATCTGAAACTTCTTGAGCTTCACCATGACAATGCAAGTCGAAAATCCCACACCTGACCTCATGTGACAGGAGGCAGTCAAAGACAAATAAAAAATACAGATTATTAGGCATTGCCAAAAGAAAAAAGACCCTGCCAGTCCCCTTCAACTGCAATATATCTGTTCCATACATGCTAGATTTTCCCACACTAGCACACCCATAAAGTTTAATAAAATAGCATATATGCAAGCCAGGTGCACCAATAGTAGGCTCCCCATATATGGGATTGAGTCCTATGTGCGTTACCCACTGTGAATTTTTGTGGTTTTTTTTTCACAATTTCCACTTTGTGATATAAAGACATTGTTGAAAATTTCAAAAAGGCCTGCAGATACACCTATGAGTAAGAGTGGTAAGAATAAAAAAAGGAAGCATTTATGTTTATAGCATGGAAAGTCAAGCTCTTGGAGAAACTGGACAGCAGTGTAAGTATGAAACATATTACAGAAGAGTATGGTGTTGGAATGACCACCATATATGACCCGAAAAACAGAAGGACGAATTGCTGAAGTTTTCTGTTGAACGTGAAAGACATTAATAAAACATTAAAAAAAATACTGCATAAAGCTAAAAATGAAGATCTCAATCTTGTATTGAAAGAATGGATCCATCAGCATCGCTGTGAACACATGCCACTTAATGGTATGCTGACCATGAAAGAAGCAAATATCTATCATGACGAATTGAAAATTGAAGGGAACTATGAATATTCAACAGGCTGATCACAGAAATTTAAGAAAAGACACAACATTAAAGTTTTAAAGATTTGAGGTGATAAAGCATCTGCTGCATCTGTGGTGATAATAAAGCAACAGAGAAATTCATTGACCAGTTTGCAAAGGTCACTGCTGATAAAAATCTGATGCCGGAACAAGTCTATAATGCATTATTGCACCAGAAAGACAGTGACTACAGGAACTAAGGCTGCCAAAGACAGAATAACTGTGCTGGGGTGTGCTTTTGCCAAAGGCACACAACAAGGAAAACCGTACACCCCAGTACTTGCTGTTTTCAAGGAGTAAATTTCTTACCAGTCCATAAGTATCCTAACAAAGGCATGGATCATCAGGGACATGCCTTCTGATTGGTTACACAAACATTTTATACCAGCAGCTTGTGCTCCCTGCAGGAAAGTGGGACTGGATGACAACTGCAGGATTTTATTATTCGTTGGCAACTGTTCTGATAATCCTCCAGCTGAAACTGTCATCAAAAATAACACTTATGGCATGCACTTTTCCCCAAATGTGACTTCATTAATTCAGCCATGTAGCCAGAGTATCCTTAGATCAATGAAGAATAAATATAAAAGTGCTTTCTTGAACAGTATGCTGACAGCAGTAAACAGAGGTAAAAATATGGAGGGTTTTCAAAAGGAATTTACCATGAAGGATGCCATTATATGTTGCTGTCAATGCTTGGTACACGATGGCTAAAGACATAGTTGTGTATACCTGGTACAACCTCTGTGACTATGTTTGGTGATAATGATAAACAAGATGGTGACTTTGAAGGATTCCATATGTCAAGTGAGAAAAAAGTGATGAGTGACCTCCTTTCCTAAGTTGAGATATATATATATATATGTGATAGTAGTAAGAGTGATGATGAAGATTATGTTAACAGTGTAGAAAAAGTGCTCATAAATGACACGGTGATACTGTGTGATGGGCTTATGGAAGGATAAGAGCACCGTGCATTTATAACACAACAAGAAATGATGTCAGTTTATAAAATCAAAGAGAGACTTTTAAGACTAAAACCACTGTGAATGAGACGGATGACTCTGGTGGAAACATTTGAAAAAGTCATCCAGAAGAATGCCTCCTCAACCCTAGAGGAACACTTCCTGGTCCCTCAAGTGATTCTGATGTTTCTCCTGATCTAAAACAATAGAATCAAGTAACCTCTTATTCAAAACATAGTGTCTGAGGTGGAGACTGAAAGCCTGCCATTGTTTGTTGTTGCTGTTATTTTTTCACTGTATTAATGGTATGTTATATTTTTTACTATTAAGTAGTTAAGTGTGAATAAGTATAAATGATGCCTTATTAGTAGCATATGAATCAAGAGTCAGAAAAAATGGCAATGCCACACAGCCACAGATTGTCCATATAGGTGGCTGAGACATGACAATTTTGCTTTTGGATAGTTCAGTGTATACAAACTTTGTTTCCTGCAATAAATATTTGAAATATTTCATAAAATCACCTTGAGGCTATGCATATAAGGTATACATGAAACATAAATGAATTTTGGGTTTAGATCTGAGTCTCATTCCCAATATATCTCATTGTGTATATGCAAATATTCAAAAATTCTAATAATCTGAAATATGAAACACTTCCGGCTCAAAGCATTTTAGATAAGGAATATTCAACCTGTATGTGTTTTGAAACATTAAGATGGCAAAAGAGACTAAAAAATAATTTCTAATGTCCCTATAATTAATTATATGTTTAGGAGTCTGCTAATTATATAACCTTTTACAACTCCAGGAATAAAAATGTCCACTTAAGTCCAGGCATATTGCCTCTGTATAATAGCTGTCCTACTCAACTGGAACTTCTATGACGACAAGTTCTTTGTCATTTACCACTACAATGCTGACAGTACCTATGTATTACTCTGCACAAAAAGCAACAGTAAATGTTTGCTAAATTATATTATTAACATTCAGAGAAAAATCTTCTGAGAAAACATACGTTAATTTTCATGCTGCTCTTGCTAAGATACATTGGTATTCAATAGTGTGCATATACAGATGAACAACCCAGAAATATCTCAATATCTAAGTTTTGTTGTTTCAACTCTGATTTGGAGGTAGGTAAATTATATCCTGAGCGAATTACGGAGTTGGCAAAATATTCTTCATTGCACTTATCTCCAAATTTTGGTTCATTTTTCCTTTTGTGTTAATCTCGCCCTTTGGATGGGTTTAGAATTCATCTACAGTGAAGAATTGTTTTGGCTCAGAGTTTTCCTAATATCAAGCTCTGTGTCTTTCATCAAAGTCTGAAAGGATCTGACAGATCTATTTTGTGGGCCTTTTGCATTCTCAGGGGACTCTTTTTTCTTCCCCAGGGGTGATTTTTTTCTTCAGATATCTAGAGTTCCCTTTTCTTTAGCTACCTCTTTTGAGCGCAGAGAAACACTGTAACCGTATCTGTCATGTTCACTTGTTAATTGATGGATTTCTCTTTGAAATAAAATACTTGCTGCCAATGTATTATCTAAACCAGACAGTGCACTTCAAATGTTTCCTCTCTGAGTGGTAAGTCTGACAGAATCCTTTTAAGCATTCCTGCAGCCAAGGAAAGTACTAAAAGGGGTTATTTCAAGGTGTTTTCAAGCCAAAAGGCAAGCACCAGGAAGTAGCTAAGCTAGGGTTTCAGAAAGATTGGCCATATAGTTACAGCAACTGAATGGCCCAAGTTCCAACATCTTTAAATTCTAGGATATTCCCTACCCTGGTCTACCTTACACAGTTATGTCTGGAAAATATCCTTCATGGAGGATATCTTTTCACGACTTTTTTTTTTTTCTTTTTATCAAGACAGAGTCTCGCTCTGTCGCCCAGGCTGGAGTGCAGTGGTGTGATCTCTGCTCACCACAAGCTCTGCCTCCGAGGTTCACGCCATTCTCCTGCCTCAGCCTCCGGAGTAGCTGGGACTACAGGCGCCTGCCACCACGCCTGGCTAATTTTTTGTATTTTTAGTAGAGACGGGGTTTCATTGTGTTAACCAGGATGGTCTGGATCTCCTGACCTCGTGATCCGCCCACCTCGGCCTCCCAAAGTGCTGGGATTACAGGCGTGAGCCACCGTGCCCAGCCTCCTTTCATGACTTTTATGCCCTTGTGTTTTTCCTGTTCCAGTGGCACCATGACCTCTTCATTTTGGTCAAAAAATATTTTTTAATGATAATGCGATTTAATATTATTCTACCTCTTTTCTGTTGTGCTTATACGTATCTTCTTGCTTTCTTTATTCTACTTCTGGTAATGGGGCTGTGACAATAAAATACATTGTCATTATGTGATATATCTTCTTTATTAATAGATGCAACTGTATCATATAAATTATGAAGTTAAATAGTAACTATATAATCTCTACTAATTAATCAGAAACAGTTATTTAGGCTTGGTGATTTTTTTGGTTATAAAAATAGCAGACATGATAGAATTAAAAATTAGTATGTTTCATAATAACATAATACAAAGACATTAGAAGATTGTACAATTTTATAGTTGGGTTTAGATAGAAATAATCTAAGGTGCAGGAATTAGACCCAGATAATATAAGTGACTTGCCCAAATGTTCATAGCTGAATGTTGGCAACACTAGGGTTTGAAACAGGACAAATCACCGCTCATCAAAGGTATCTAATATTTCATGTTGAGAGGGCTGAGCAAGAGATCCTGAATGGAGTATTTAGGTAGGTAGAGAGAAGGGCCAGGAAAGGGAAAATTAAAGTGGATGATGAGCTGGTGAGTCAGAAACAGAGAGGCTAGCCTTAAGCTACTACATTAAGAGGCTTAAATGTATCAGTCAAGCAACACAAAAAGTGTTATGTTTTGCGTCAAACTCTGGGCTAAGTTCCTGTCTTTTCAGAGTTTGCAGTCTAACAGAAATACAGAGAAGCCAGCAACGAAATCAGTCACAATACTGACTTACAATATAATACCATAAATAATGTTAAAATAAAAATGAAAGAAAATAGTTCTAACATAAATTATTTTAAAATCTCTTCTAAAGACCAAAGTGATTTATAGTGCTATAAAACTAAATCATCAGAGCATGGAAATCAAGGCATTCAAAGAAGCGAAAACACCATCAAATGCCTTCAGAATAATTCTGTCATGTTTCAGCCCTACCCAATAAAATAATCATTGTCTATTTTCTCAATATAAGTGGCAAACTTACATTCAATTTTACAGACATTTTACATCTTAAAATATATCACCTATAGTAGCATTTTGTTATAACTGGTAAGAAATCTAACTTCACCACCACTAAACATTGGTGCCTGCTAATTTAGCTCTATCAGAGTGTGCTGAAGAAACACTGGATAGCCCTTAGCACCATTCCAGAGTTATATTTCCAATTAATATTATCAGGGCATGATACCTACTAATAATCTGTTTGGAGGTTTTTCTGCCCTCGGGCAGTTCCCCAGGGTAGGGCAGAATAAGAATTTCACATCTGCATGCTGTTTCTTTACTCAGGAATTAAGGCAAGTGCTATAAACTGAATTGAATGTTTGTGTCCCCCTAAAATTCATATGCTGTAATAAAATCTCAGATGTGAAGATAATCGAGATGAGGTCTTTGGGAGGTGATTACATCAAGAGGGCAGAGCTCTCAGTAATGGGAAGAATATTCTCATAAAAGAGATCCATGAGAACTCTCTTGCCCCTTCTGCTCTGTGATGTGACTGTAAGAAGATGTCTGTGTATGAACCAAGAACTGAGCCCTCTTCAGACACCAAAACTTCCAGCACTTTGATTCTGGATTTACCAGCTTCCAAAGTTGTAATAAATAAGTTTCTGCTGTTTGTAAGTTACCCAGTCTATGGTATTCTATTTTAGCAACCCCAAAGTACTAAGACAGAAATTGATACTGAGATGTGGGGTACTTCTGTAACAAATACCTACAAATGTGGAAGTGGCTTTGAACCTGGGTAATGGGTAGAGAGGTGAAAAGTTTTGAAATTGATGCTAGAAAAAGTCTATATTACTAAGAATAAATCATTAAGGATGATTGTGGTGGAAGCCTGGAAAGAAAAGAGGAACGTGTAGAGAAAGCCTTAATCTTCTTAGAGAATACCTAAGTAATCATGAGCTGAACACAGAGTGTAAACAATATTCTTATGAGGTCTCATGAAAATGAAAAAAAAAAAACTGTTATTGAAAACTGGAGGAAAGGTGAGACTTATTATAAAGTGACAAAGAACTTAGCTGAATTGTGCTTGTGTCCTAGTGTTTTGTGGAAGGTAGAATTTGCGAGTGATTAAATCAGATATTTGGCTGAGGACATTTCTAAGTGAAATATGGAAGGAGTGGCCTGGTTTCTCCTGACAGCTATAGTAAAATATGAGAGGAGAGAAACAAATTAAACATGGAATTGTTCATCAAGAGGGAATCACAGCTTGAAGATTTGGAAAATTCTCAGCCTGCCTGTGTTGAAGGAAATGAGAAAGCCTGCTTCATGGGAGAACACTAAGGATGTGGGCAAGGCACCTCCAAAAAGAAGATCATCAAGCATTTCAACAGAAGGTAGGAGCTATTGTTCAAGACAATGGATAATGGCAATTCAGAGATCTTCAGAGCTGCTACTCCTATTATGGGCCCAGAGTGCAAACACTGGGGTCAGAGCAGTTTTAAACAGGGGTTGGAGGGATGCAGGGGGAGAGAGGCATGTCACCAGCACATGTAGAACTTTGGTACACTCTGCTTTGACAGTATCTCAAATTATGAGCTCTGTTCCCCTCACTCCAGCATTATATTCCCCAGCTGCCTTGGGAGTGGTTCAGATGGAGCCCAATGTGCCATGGACTGCACCCAGAACAGCAGGAGGCTGTGGCTATCTTCATCTCCATTTCAAAGGATAGGGCCTCCTGGAAGAGCCACAGGCTTAGCATCCCATCCCTGGAGAGCAGCTGGGCCCAAAAAGGGATTCATCATAGGTGCAGGATCTAGGCCCAGGGCCTTGGAGGCCTGTATTAGTCTATTCTCACATTGTTATAAAGAAATAACTGAGACTGGGCAATTTATAAAGAAAAGAGGTTTAATTGGCTCATGGTTCTGCAGGCTATACAGGAAGCATGCTGCTGGCATCTACTGGGCTTCTGTGGAGGCCTCAGGAAAATTACAATCATGGTGGAAGGTGAAGCAGGAGCAGGCAAATCACGTGGCCAGAGCAGGAATAAGAAATGAGGTGCTACACACTTTTAAATGATCAGATCTTGTGAGAACTCACGCACTATCGTGAGGACAGTATGTGGAATGGTGGTAAACCTTTCATGAGAAATCTACACTCATGATCCAATCACCTCTTACCTGGCCCCACCTCCAACAATGGAGATGACAGTTCAACACGCAATTTGGGCCAGGACACACATCAGAACTATGTCAGAGTCCAAGCCCTAGCCAGCAAAGCTGAGGGAGCAGGGTTGCTGCTTCAGCAAGTTCAGAAGTTGAAACTTTTGCCCCAGTCATCCTGGAAGGCAGACCACTGAGTCAAAGAGGATTATTCTTAAAATGCTATAAACTGAAGATTTTTGTCCCCCAGATTTATATGTTGAAACCCAATCCCCAATATAATAATATTTAAAGATGAGGCCTTTGGGAGTTGATTAAGTCATGAGAGTGGAAGCCTCACAAATGGATTTAGTGCTCCTATTAAAAAATGACTCAAGGGAATTTCCTTGCATTCCACCAAGTGAGGTTTCATCAAGAAAACTGCTGTCTATGAACTGGGAAACAGGACTCCATCAGATAGTTTATCTTCTGGCACCTTGGTCTTGGACCCCCTAACCTCCACAAATGTGATAAATAAACTTCTGTTGTTTATAAGCCATCTAGTTTATGGTATTCTCTAACAGCAGCCAAAATGAACGGACACTGACCAAAGGGAAGGACTCTCTCCTAAAAAGTAGAAAAATAGGCCAGGTACCGTGGCTCAGGCCTATAATCCCAGCACTTTGGGAGGCCAACGTGGGTGGATCATGAGGTCAGGAGTTTGAGACCAGCCTGGCCAACATGGTGAAACCCCATCTCTATTGAAGATACAAAAAATTAGCGTGCCTGTAATCCCAGCTACTCAGGAGGCTGAGGCAGGAGAATCGTTTGAACCCGGGAGTCAGAGGTTGAAGTGAGCTGAGATTGTGCCATTGCACTCCAGCCTGGGCAACAGGCGAGACTCCATCTCAAAAAAAAAAAAAAAAAGAAAAAGAAAAAAGAAGAAGAAAAGAAACATCATAAAGAATAGAGCAGTATGCTGTTCAACTTAACTTTCTATGGTGAGGAAAATGTTTAATCTGTATGCTACCCAACACAGTAGCCAGTAATTACATGTAGCTGCTGTACACCTAAAAAGAGGTTAGTGAGAATAAGAAACTAAATTTTACAGTTTTATTTAATTATAATCAACTTATATTTAAATAGATAACACGAGTCTTAGAGATCTTACACAGTAGTGCCGTTCTACAGTCATTAAATGCATAAAATTAGGACAGTGGTTTTCTAAATGTGGTCTGGAAACCCTTGAGGTTCTCTGAGAAAATTTAAAGGTGCCAAAGGTTAAAACAATGTTTATACTAGTACTAAGAGATTATTTGCTTTTTTACTTGCATGTTTGCACAGTGATATTTTTTCAGAGGTTACATGATATATAGTATGCAACAGGATGAATGCACCAATAGATCTGATATTCCCATATGTTTTCTCAAGCCAAACATTAGAAAGACTTTTTTAAATGCAAAATAATATCAGTTTCTATTTCTTTTTATAATATAGGTATATTTTTAAAACTATGTTAACATTCATTGATGTCACTTAAATTTTTTAAATATCCACTTTAATATCTTTTATTTATTTATTTATTTATTTTATTTATTTATTTTTTTGAGACAGAGTCTCGCTCTGTCACCCAGGCTGGAGTGCAATGGTGTGATCTTGGCTCACTGCAACTTCCGCCTCTCGGGTTCAAGTGATTCTCCTGCCTCAGCCTCCGGAGTAGCTGGGATTACAGGTGCGTGCCACCATGCCCGGCTAATTTTTGTATTTTTAGTAGGGACGGGGTTTCAGCATGTTGGCCAGGCTGGTCTTGAACTCCTGATCTCAGGTGATCCACCCGCCTCAGCCTCCCAAAGTGCTGGGATTACAGGCGTGAGCCACCACCCCCGGCCCATTTTAATTTCTAATATTGCAAATATCACTAGATGTAACTCACATCAACAAAAGCTCTCTGGCATCCTCAGTAACTTTCAAGATTGTAATGGCACCATGAAGCCCAACTTTTGAAAATCACTAGACTGGAAGGCCCAATAATTCTACTGCTAATTTTATTATAAAAGAATTCCTTGCATGGTTAACAAAGGTTTGCTATTTTTTTTTTGAGTTGAATGATTCCATGAGTATGATTCCATGAGTATTCCATGAGTATGATTCCATGAGTATTCCATGATTCCATGAGTATGATCCCATGAGTATTCCATGAGTATGAAGGGAATGATCCAAAACATGTAAAAATGTTTCTATAGCAATTAAATAATAATTGGCATGTTATCCTAGGTCATATTCCATTTGTTAAAAGAGCACTTGTCCTTTAATAGCCATGCTACTCTGGAGGATTTCAGGCACACAGGAAATGTAATAATTTTTTTAGCACCAGCAAGTTACTCAGCATCAGGATATCTTGTTTTAATAAACAAAGTTAATGTATGTCTACTTCAGAGGTTCACAGGAAGATGTGCCTCATCAGGAGATAGAACATCTTGGTATACAATATTGTGCACTGAATAGTTCCTGTACAATTAACATGATTTTCTGACCCTCTGCTACCATCATTGGCTAGAAAAACCATACTCTATTTATTAATGGCCTCCATTTCCTCCCCAAGGTTCCAAAGTTATTTTGCATGAAATGTTATTTTGCAGAATGTTGTCTCTGAATCAGCACCAATTGCCTTTGCTGCACATTTATGAAGCTCCAAATTATTCATTAAAAACCTCTTTAATAAATTAAATGTCCTACTTTTCCTAAAGAAGAATTATTTGTGTTTAACCATCTGCTACCTCCTAAAAGACTCAATTTTTGCTTTCCACTACCACCTAAAGCCTTAAGTACCCCTATTGAGCTCTAACTCAACAAGAGTTTATGATTATAAAACACACAGATCTTACTGATAACATTTTGTGGAAGAGTCTCTGGAAAACAACTTTACTGGCACCACAATGCCCTTAGACTTAGAAGAAAGGCCATTTTCCTGAGTCCTGTGGTATAGAAAGTCCTACTTCAGACTTTCTCTGGCCAATTTCCTACCTTTTGCCCACATAGGAAAAAAAAAAAAAAGTAGCAGGATCAGGGGTTGGATCTACACAAAGAACATACCACCCATTTCTAGACGATGCATACCTAAGGTCGATGAATTCTTTGCATAAATGATCCAACTTTGTTTCTAGTACCTGTTCTAGCCTCTTCCCTGCCTGAATCTTTTCTCCGAAAGACGTATGTGTACCCCTGGTCCCTAAGGATGGCTAAGGGATCAGGGGTTTACAGGGACTGCATGTAAAGCTTAAGTATTCAAGATGAAGCAGGCATATATATGTACAAAAGGCCTTCACTCTACAAGATGCAACTTGGTGTGGGAAGAAAAGGAGGTAAAATGTGGATCAAGACTATGTTCTGTTATGGAGAAAAGGGAAGTAAATTAAGATGAATACATAAGAGCAGGTGTTACTGCTATTTTATAAAAATGGTCAGGAAAGTTTTACAGTTAAAGAGATACTTGAGTACACATGAAGGAAGTGAGAGAAAAATTTGTGTGTATAATTGGAGTAAGAGCGTTCTAGGTCGAAATCGCAGCAAAGGGGAAGAGCAACTATTCTAACCACGTGCAAAGAAAAGTAAGGGCAGAAATATTGTTTACACAGGAAAGAATGAAATGGAGAGTCAAAAGAAATTCGGACAGAATGTTGTCATAAAGACAATTTATATTATGGTTTTGTCTTTTACCCTGAGCCATTGAAGGGGTTTATGAAGAAGGACAGATAACATGACAGATTTTTAAGTGATCATTGTGTATTCTATGTTGTGGGTAAAATTTGAGTTAATAGTAATTAGGATAGGCTAAGTTATGCTGCAGTGAAAACATCCTAAAAATTTCAGTTGATTACAACCATGAAGCTATCTCTCATTTGTTCTACATCTACATTGTTAGTCGGAAAGGAGATTGTATACATAATAGTTACTCAGGGGTCTAAACAAGTGAATTTGCTTCCATAAGCAGAGTACAAAGAAAATACTGTGACACACCACACATTGGCTCTTAAAGCTTCTGCCTCTCTGTGTGACACCATCAATTCTGCTCATATTGCACTGGTCCATGCAAAATCACATGACGCTGCTTGAATTCAACTTGTTAGAGAATTTTAATAGTAAAAAATGCCTAACAACAACTAGCTATTTTTGAACACCCCAACTGATCAATGTTCTTCCCTTATGGTCACAAATGTTGGGTTTACTTTCTTTTTTGATTGCAAAATTCCCTCTCCAAGAAGAAAAGCCAAAAGTCCTATACAATAAAATTAATATTAAGATTTAAAAGAACAAAATTTAATGATTATGTCTATAGAAGTCTAGATGTGGCACCTCTTGTTTTAGAGACTTAAGGGGAAAAAAAACACAATTTATATTATCATTCCCCTCCCCACTCCGCCACTCCCATTTGTCTGAAGAAAGTGAAATGGAAAGATTGGAATAAAAATTCTTATTTTGGAAGGGGAAGAATGCAGGGCTACCTAGAAGCCACTGAATCATAGAAATTTTGCACTCCCACTAAGCAGATATTATGAGGGTTTCTTCCTAAGAGTAGATCTCCAACCTGTAATTCTCAGGGGTCCCAGGCTCTGATCTCTCTTTTTAAATTGTCCTCACTGGATATTTCTGAAGAGGATATCAGAAAAGGTGTCCTCATTCAGACAGGAGTAGCTTTCTAAGCTTTCCTTACCTCTAGAAAGTTCAGGGCCCAAGAACTATTTTAAGTTTCTAATAATCAGTTTCAAAGGTTGATGGTTCTTTTAACACACAATGCTCTTAAAGCTACAGTCACCTATTTCCTATTTGTTTTCAGTCAGTTTCATGTGCCAATAATCTCACTCAAATTTTTTTTGGCACTATACTCCTCTCTCCCGACTTCTTTGCAGGTATAAACAACAGATATCCTGGGAAAAGCACACCCCCAGTATTTTTCTCTATGTCTACCTGTTCAACTGAAACGATTTGCTAGGTGAGAAACTAATCCATTCAGAGATTATTAAATGGATGTGATGGCCACGCCTTTGTTTTGACCCTTGCTGCTGCTAAACTACATTTCAATTAGTTTCTGCTTTTTCAAGGCCTTCACAGTTTTATTTTTACTAGATAGAGATGGAAATTAGTTATACATGGGAACTTCCAAGCTCCCACATTGTTTTACTTTCTTTTAGTCCTTTTCATTCTTTGTTGCAAATTAATTAATTAATTTCTTCCCTTAAATATCATGTCAAAATACAGTCAAAAGTAAGAAACTCAATCTTCTAATGCTTTCTTATTCTTTCTTCTGAAGCTATAAATCCAGTAGTTACAACCTTTAATTTCCACATTGCTACATGTGAACATGAACCACCATCCTTCCAGCTGTCAATAATATCTCTTTGACACCTACCATCCATCACCATAACCAATGCCAGGTATTTTGTTGCTGCTGTCTTGTTCTTTGGTAACTCCTGAAACAATTCCTGTCTCAGGTAACATAGGCTAAACTAAGCTGTTTTTCAACCTGAAAGTCTCAGTGGTTTAAAGCTACATTTATTTTTTCTCTTATTCTTCAAATCTACCCAGTGTTCTCAAGGGAGTTAGGCTCCTAACAGAAATCTTAGTGAAGGGCTTATGGAAGCTCCATCTGTCACTCTGGTTCTTAAAGCTATAGCCCAGAAAGGATGCAGATCAATTCTTACACGTTTCACTGGCCAAACAAGTCACATGGCCATGTCTGAGGTTAAGTGAGTAGAGAAGCAGATTCCTCCTCTATGGCCAGTGCTAAAAGAAGTGATGTTAGCAAAAAGTCCTAACGAATACCATGATGAAAGAGGGTGAAGCAAGGGAGACCATATAAGAGTGTACTGGAATAACCCAGGAGTGAGATGGATGTGGAAGGGATTCAGGTAAGTTCTGGAGGTGGTATGAGGTTTTACAAGTCTGGATAAATTTTGAAAAAAAGGTCAAATAGATTTTGCTAATGAAATGGGAAATTATAAAGAAAAGTGAGTGAAGAATCAATCTAAAGTTCTGACCTGAACAAATATAACAGAGTTACCATTTACAGCTATGAACATGCAAGGGGAGCCATTTTTGAGATAATAGCAAAATTCAGTTGTATGCATGTTAATTTTAAGATGCATATGCTGCATTAAATTCTCCTTTGGGTTTCTGAAGAGAAGTTTTTTTTTTTTTTCTTATAATGTCTATCTGCTTACACCTACTCTTTAAATGTTAAGACTGAAACTATTCATGCTGCACAAGAGTAAGTACATCCTGGACTTCTGATGATGTGATGATCACTCTCATTCTGTTTTTTTTTTTTTCAGTATTCTTTTATCCACATATATTCAAATTTTGAGAGATTTATTATGCATTCCTATATTCAGTGACCCATGATACCTACCACACTACAAGCTAACGACATTAATTAAAAGCTTCTGCTCACCTTAGAAAAAGTGATCTTAGAGAAAACAATCATTCTACAGCACTCCTCAAAATTTTGGATTATTTTTACCCTATCAAGCACTATTTCCTTTTTAAGAAGATCATGTCTCACTTATAAAGATAGAAACGTACTCTTATTTTCTAACTACCCTTTTAAAAACTCAGGGGATCAGAAAACATCGAAATCAAATATTCCTTAAATGTCTCAGAAAACTGTATACAGTGCTTCCTGGCATTTCTCCCAAGGCTCTGTGAATGTGACAAAAGATTATTCTCAATAGGCAAAATAAGGGGCAGCATAAACAATAAATTTTAGTTGATCCAATATGGACCATCTATGCAATCACTTTTTGATTGTAGATACACTCTTGCAGAAAGGCCATTACTATGTAGTCTGCATAATCTCTTTGCAAAAATCCAATTTCAACAAACTTTTCTCCGGAATTTTGAAATTTGTTTGTAGTCAATATAAATAGCTATAACTTTGTACAAAAACATAGATCAAAAGCCACTCCAGTGGTTAGAAGTTGTGGTAACTTGATTACTGTCCAGTATCACTTGGCATTCATTTCTCATAAATCCTACTCAGATTTTTACTCAGCCTTCACTACCCTTATTAAAGTGCCAGAAACGTCTGGAACACAGCTCAAACTCAGTGTTAAGTCTCATTCTCAGGGGTTTTACCGGCACCGGTCTGGAGACTTTGCCAGTTTCCCGGCACTGTCACTCAGAGGACGTTCACATTTTTTACAACAATAAGAGGGGATGTCTTGGTTCTTGCTATTTCTGTGTATAACAGTGGAGAATAGCCGACACCAGTGGTACTTCCTGATTCTGCAGAGCTACACCTAACTCTTCCCTAATTTGAAGCTCAGTGTTCTGATTACCAATGTCTTCGCGGGGAGTACAATCATGTCAAATCAACTCCCAATGGCTAACTCTCCCCTATGGATGAAGACGCGAATGTGGGTCAGGGACCTCACTCTAACCACCCAATATTACTGTTTATTTTGTTTTGCTTAACTAATGTTGTTTTTCCTCAGGTTGCTTCTCTTCTGCTTAAATTTGCGTAAGATCAGGTCTTTTTTTTTTTTTTTTTTTTTTTTTTTGAGACGGAGTCTCGCTGTCGCCCAGGTTGGAGTGCAGTGGCGCGATCTCGGCTCACTGCAGGCTCCGCCTCCCGGGTTCACGCCATTCTCCTGCCTCAGCCTCCCGAGTAGCTGGGACTACAGGTGCCCGCCACCTCGCCCGGCTAATTTTTTGTATTTTTAGTAGAGATGGGGTTTCACCGTGTTAGCCAGTATGGTCTCGATCTCCTGACCTTGTGATCCGCCCACCTCGGCCTCCCAAAGTGCTGGGATTACAGGCGTGAGCCACCGCGCCCAGCCGATCAGGTCTTTTTGTGTGCTAAATTTGGCTACATTTTCCTTGGCCCTGAGCTGTTCATGTAAGCATAAGTTCGATCTTTGTCTTTCTGTCACTTACTTCCAGAACAGGCCATAATATTGGGGAAAAAAGTAAATCTAGTCTCCTAAAACTGCAAGTTCTTTTATCCTTTCTATGTTGGGTAGTGGAAAACTCATGCTTCCACAAAAATCTCTGCCCTTCAGAAAACTTGTTCGAAATTCAGCATCCAGTCAAGCACAGGTGCAAAAGCCTTCCCAGCTTTCACCTCATGTTTGACTTAAATGATCTATCTCTACATTATCCAGCTGTGCATCTCAATCTCTACGGCATTTTATTCTTTCATCTTTCCCTGAGGATGTTCAGTGTGGAGCCTAAATTTTTCCGTCCAGAGAACACATTTCAACCACCTGAAAAATGTCTGAGCTTTTTGTCATATCATAATCATCACTTAGAGATCTTTTCTTCTCTGGGAAAAAAAAAGAAACATTCATTTTACATTTTATGTTCCATAACAAGGTACAAATCACCATCCATGAACACTATTCCTTCAATATTCTCGCATGAAGCTCATTTCTCATATTATGAACTCTAAGATCCTGCACTGTCCTTGGAATATCCAGTTTTGACATTACATTCCCCAAGGGCATCCACTGAAGATGACCACCATATTCCACAGAAAAGGGATGTCCACCCCCAAATACCATTAACTAACAGTTTAGAAGTTTTCTTTAAATGGTATTAAGTTTTCTTTAAATGGCATTTCTTTAAATGGCAAGGTACACAATATGAACGTTTCAGCAACCAAAGACAGCAAACTCTTTCCTATGGCCCTAATTCTTTAAGAGTTTAGGATTATATGAATCTGAAAAATGGACACACATGCCAAAACATGAAATCCAAAGGATATTTTAATGATAATAATAATAATAGATAACAAATATGGTGCTACTATATGCCAGGACTGCTTCATTATTTTATATATATTAACTCAATCTTCACAGTATATTATGAGTTCAATACTATTATTTATCTAGGTTTGGCGTAGGAAATTGAGGCAAAGAGAGGTTGAGACTTCTGCCCAGTGTCATACATTTGGGAAGAGATAAGGACAGGGTTCCAAAAAGTCACATCCATTTTCATGGAGTTGCATTATAATTCATATAAAGTCCCCTTTTCCATCAAAGGACATCAGGAAATCTGTTTATTCCTGTCTCCTTTCTCCCATGTCATTCACCACTTAGCCTATTCCTAATTTCAGAATCTCTGTTTGCAGATAATTCATTTCTTTGAATTTTCTTTCTGTTTGACATTTGCTTGGTATTTTGATGGAGCTATAGTGTTTTGCTTCACTTGTCATTTCTCTCGTTTGCTTCACATTCATTTCTCTTGCTCTTATGTATAACTTATTTTCACTGTCTCACTAAAATCCAAGGCATGAAAAAGGGACAGATGTGGGTTGGAGAAACCCTGAACTGCCACAAAAATATATCAAATATGTGTGACTGTATTTAGGTGTATCAATTAATTTGTACAAGGTCACACTGAAAATAAATGGTGGAGTGAAGCTTTCACCTCAAGTGGCATGGTTTTCACATCTGTGCAAACTACCACTCATTCTCACACTATCATAATAATGATAATAATAATTCTATTATAATAGAATTTATCTTATATAGAGGTTATCATGTACATGATTTTTATAAAAATGACTGGCATATAGTATGTACAAAATAAATTTTAGCTACTATTATCAAAGATGATATTTTTTCTTTGGTTGGTTTTTTAAATAATATCATTATTAAACCTATTTTTCTGCATTTCCTTTGCTTGATTTTCAGCTGCCTTTTCTACTGTAGATTCATTATTGACAAGAAAATCTGTTTTCTCAAGGAAATTCCATCATGCCACCATTCAAGTTATTTAATTAACTTTGAACAGTTGCCCTGTAGCCCCAAGAATAATGCCCAAGCTCCTTAACATTTGGCTTCCTTTTACAACTCCAGGCACGCTTCTCAGTAACTCCCTCTCAATGCAGCAATATGGAGCCATTTCTCATCTTTTTTGTTCCCTACTATTATGTAAGAGTTGACTCCTACTTTCCTCCTTTAAACACAGCTCAGACGGTCTCACCTTCAGACCTGCCTCCAGTGTCACCAGTACTCAGTGAAAGAACTTTGCCATGAACACTCTGCAATGTATGAAGAGGGCTCTTTATATTTGTCCTGCAGCATGTATCACACTATATTCTAATAGTCTGCTAATTTGCTTGAGAATTCGACAGTCTTTTGTTCTTCTCTCAGGCCAAATGAAATATGTCTTTCTTATTTTGTACCAATAAAAAGCCTCATACATGATAATGACCCCTTGTGGAATAAATTGACTAAAATTTTGTAATAGAAAACATAAAATTGGGCTGCATGCAAGGAAAACAATGTCAATGTTGGATTTACAACTCATAATTTTTCTCAGTTGCAAAGACAGGCAGTCAATTATTGATATGAAACACTGAAATACAAGACAGGAGGCTGTTGCACCTCAGAACACAAATTCAAAACTATTGCCCTGTGGTAAGTGGTGACTGAGCAGAACAGACAGATTGCTTCTGTCTATAATAGTGGAGAATAGCCGACACCAGTGGTACTTCCTGATTCTGCAGAGCTACACCTAACTCTTCCCTAATTTGAAGCTCAGTGTTCTGATTACCAATGTCTTCGTGGGGACTACAGTCATGTCAAATCAACTCCCAGTGGCTAACTCTCCCCTATGGATGAAGATGCGAATGTGGGTCAGGGACCTCAGAACACAAATTCAAAACTATTGCCCTGTGGTAAGTGGTAACTGAGCAGAACAGACAGATTGCTTCCACGCAAGGTTCAGAGTAGAGCGACTTCTCCTGCAACCAAGTTTTAAGAGAGGTTTTCTATGATGAGAGAGCAACAGAAAGATAAAAGAGATGGACAAGGGGAGAGAAAATTAGATTAAAAAGGATCAGAAGGAGAAAGAGAAAAAGGATGGAAAGATGAAAGGAAGGAAGAATGCAGAGAGGGAGGGATGAAAGAGATGACAGAAGAAATCAAAGAGAAAATTTTGTAGGCACAGTGGGTGATAATGCAGGTATATGTTAGGATGGGGTACTGGGTCAACCTTAAAGAAATAATAACTAGGACTAGTACATCAGGAAAAAAGTGATTCTGCAGCAAATTATTATTTATTTTTTTTAATAAGGGGCTTTGAGGCTGAACAAAAGTCAACAGCAGAATGTTTCCCCCTCTAAAAGATAGAGCAAGTGATTCACTGAACCAACAAATATCTTTTAAGTAGCTTCTGTGTGTCATACAGGAAACAGTGAACAAGAAAGATATAATCTCTCCTTTAATCGTATTTATAGTTCAGCCAGGGAATGAGACATGAATTATTTATAATGTTCCAGGCATCGTGCTATGTTTTTTACATGCATTTTCTACATTTAATTCTTAAAATAACTGTAAAATACTGGCTATTTAAAGCTGGTACCATTTTAAAGATTAGAAAAATGAGGCTTATAGGCAGTAGTTCTCAACCTTTGCTGCCTGTTAGTATCACCCAGAGAGATCTGCACAAAGCCAGGACTTCAGGCCAAGAAGTTATGATTTATTTTTTTCTGGAACAAATATATTTGAATATTTAAAAACTCTTAGGTAATTCTAATATGCAGACAATTTTGAAAACATTTGGCTTAGACTAAATTTATAATGTATTCAAAGTTTCTATGCAAGTAAATGCTAAGCCTGGACTCAAGACCCAAATGTTTCCAATACCAAAGCTGGCACTCTTAATTCCCTTGCTATGTCCTTATGCTAACATCAAAAGACATCAAGAATGGAACAGTGAGGATTGTTCATTGAACACATGCCTTTTGTTGGTCTAAAGTTTCATGACAATTTGTAAAAAAAAAAGAATAGATATTGGGGGAATAGTATTGAAAGATGGACATGCTAGACATAAAGAAAATATTTAGCATAAAGATGAGATATTTTTGTGGTTTCTATAAGGAGGTAGAAAACAAGCTAAAGCTAACATTATTACATGGTAACCTGCCTCTGTTATGCCAAGGAAACTTTTGACAAAAGGGGCACATAAATGACATTCTAATCTATGTTCACTACCATGTATCCCCATCAAATGGGATAGTGTAATTGTATATATTTGAGGTCCTCTTTTATTCCTGGATATTAAGGAAAAACTTCCTGATGATAATTTCCCCAGCGGTATTCAAAAGCTCCATGATTGGAATATATTACAGCAGTCTAATGAGAACATCATAAAGATTCCAGGATGGATACTTAAAAAGCATAATTTTAGTGTCTTCACAAGTGTATAATTTTAAATATCAGGCATAATGCTATTTCTGCTATGTAAAATGACAAATTAAAGTTGAGATTAATGAGACTTTAGGGAAGCAAAACACCCAAAAAATGTAGTATACATTTTAAACAACGTCATTTCTCTTGATTCTTATTCTGTTTCATGCTTAGATTTGGTTAAAATTTTGGTTGTACCTCATTTTCTCATTATCCACAGCATCGACAAACCTTTAGTAACTAACGAACATTAGGGGGTCAAGTTAGTTAGCTGGAGGACTTATAAAAGGAGAATAAAACATACAAAATATTCAAAGTTTCCAGGAATGAAGATGTAAAGTACAGGGCTGAAATGGCAGTGATGCGTTAAAAGTCTTATGCAGAGAGGATGAACACATGGTGCCAGCCTCTTGCCATTTTCTTAGGAAACACATTACTTTACCCTCAGGATACATAGTTTTTATTATCAGGAAGAATTGAAAAAGGGCTTTAAATAGAGAAGAAAAGACAAAACAAAGGGTAGGAGTAAGGCATCGGGCTGAAACATTGAGAATTAATTAATTAATGTATTTTTTATTGTAACTGTACACATATATATTTTTAAATGTTATTTTTCCACAAGTTATTGGGGTACAGGTGGTATATGGTTACATGAATAAGTTATTTAGTGGTGATTTATGAGACACTAGTGCACTCATCACCCAAGCAGTATACACTGCACCGTATTTGTTGTCTTTTATCCTTTGTCCCTCTCCCATTCTTTCCCCAAAGTCCCCAAAGTCTATTGTATCATTCTTCTGTCTTTGCATCCTCATAACTTAGCTCCCACATATCAGTGAGAACATACGATGTTTGGTTTTCCATTCCTGAGTTACTTCACTTTGAATAATAGTCTCCAATAAGTCTAAGCAGCCAAGAGCTTTTTACTACAGAGGGTTGCAGTTTCCAGAACAATGGAAATCAAGCAAGTATCTACTAGAGGGAAGTCCAGCTTCACACGCATGCAATTTATGCAGTCTCACACAGGGCCACAAGCTTTGAAGGGCCACACTCGAGTAAGTGTATTTTTCTGCTGTTGGGATCTTGATATTCTTAATGTCTTTTATAACAAGAAGCCCTGTACTTCCAAATTGTATTATACCTCACAAATTATGTAGCCATGACCAGATTTTATTTTCTAGAGGAAAAGAATGGCCAAAAAGAAAAGATTCTCAACTTGGAGTCAAAAGGCTCTCAGGCTTGACTGTGAAGACTGGGTATCTAATCAGCTATTTCATGCCTTAGTTCTAAGTATAAATAGACATCTAAAAATGAGCAGCCATTTGAGAAAGCTTATTAAATGGAAGGAAGGGGAAAACCAAAGTCAAACACAAAAGGGAACTCAAAGTAAAAATAATACTGAAAAAAGGAAGACTCATTTATACTAAGAAACTGTAATGACTGATGGTTATTATGTCACATAAATAAAACAAAAACATTACACTGTAAAACGAATGTTCAGCAAATAAAAATAACTCTTGCAAATAAAGTATTATAACTGAAATTATAAGTTCTGGAAAGGCATTGAAAATAAACTCGAGAAAATCAGTTCGTTAAAATAGATTGATAGAACAATGGAAAATAGGAAGAAAGATGAACAAATTAGGGAATTATTCAGAAATGTTGACAGCCAACACATAGGATAACAAGTAGAGAAGGGAAAAATGCAGACAAGATAATTTCAAGGGTATAATACAAGACTTTTTTTTTTTTTTTGAGATGGAGTCTTGCTCTGTTGTCCAGGCTGGAGTGCAGTGGCACGATCTCTGCTCACTGCAAGCTCCACCTCCTGGGTTCAAGCCATTCTCCTGCCTCAGCCTCCCGTGTAGCTGGGACTACAGGTGCCCACCACCATGCCCAGCTAGTTTTTTTTTTTTTTGTATTTTTAGTAGAGGCGAGGTTTCACCATGTCAGCCAGGATGGTCTCGATCTCCTGACCTCGTGAAACGCCCGCCTGGATCTCCCAAGTGCTGGAATTACAAGCGTGAGCCACCGCGCCTGGCCCCAAGACAAATTTTTTACAACTGAAACAGGAAGGGGGACATCACACACCGGGGCCTGTTGTGGGGTGGGGGGAGGGGGGAGGGATAGCATTTGGAGATATACCTAATGTTAAATGACGAGTTACTGGGTGCAGCACACCAACATGGCACATGTATACATATGTAACTAACCTGCACAATGTGCACATGTACCCTAAAACTTAAAGTATAATAAAAAAAAGAAAATAATATATCAAAAAAAAAATGCAAAGACTTATGAGCCTAGGATAGAAAAAAAAAGTGCAACATCAAATATAAAGAGAAAATTCCAAAAGCTCTCAGAGAGAAAAACGTTCACAAATATTAAGACTGAGAATGAAATTGACGCCACACTTAGCAATAACAATAATGAAAACTGGAAGACATTCATTAATGCCTTCACGATTCTGAGAATAAGAGATTTTCAACTTTAAATTTTATAAACAAACTGCTGTATGGAATAACAATGTTTTTAGACAATATTTTTAAATTTTCCATATGCCATTTAATAGGAAGCATTGGGAGAATGTGATTTAACAAAACGAAGTCATTTTTGATAAAGGAAAAATACATGGGATTTTGCATAAGTTGCATGCCCGTGAAGTTGGTCCTGTCCTTAGTAGATATTTATTTGACCTCGACCACAGGAGAGGGACAAAACGAATACACAAGATGAGAGTTCTGGCCTAGAGAGTGAGATTTTCTTTGGGAGAATAAGAAAATCAAGGGGTATGGGACATACTAACAGGGGGAAAAAAAGTGAACTGATACAGTATTTGGAACATTGGAGCGTTTAAATATTATACTTCTAATATTTTAAAAATATGTTGGGCTTTTTTTACTATTATACTTTAAGTTCTAGGGTACATGTGCACAATGTGCAGGTTTGTTACATATGTATACATGTGCCATGTTAGTGTGCTGCACCCATTAACTCGTCATTTACATTAGGTATATCTCCTAATGCTATCCCTCCCCCCATGTTGGACTATTTGAATGAATAAAGCAGAATGTCCATAAAAATTAGGCAAATGCAGGACTGGTCAGTCATTAACTCTAAGAAAATAAAATGCTATGTAAAATAAAATATTTTAAAACAGAATCAGTGAAAATATATGTGTATATATATATATTCATCTTTATACATCTATATATGTATATGCCATTTGGTTAAGTAGTGAGTGATATCTATCAAATCTTACTAATTTCAACATTGACTATTGATTGAATCCAAGCTTGTAAGAATGGGAAAGTAAAAAATAAGGAAGTGGTATACTAATAAAAAAAGCTAAATTTTTAATCTAACATAAAGTTACCAGATAATACCTAAAACTAATAAATTGAGGTATATCAGTATATGCATATTTTGAAACAGGAAAATAATTGAGGCAGCTAAAATAATTGAACTTCTAATAAAAAAACCGCTGTGTTATTCTATGATATAGCATTTACATACTTTTTGTTAAACCATTTTCAATTAATTAACCTTCAAATTATTTGGCTAGATTTCTCTAATAAATTAAAATTATTTTAAATGATTTAAAATATAAACCACTTTAAAAAAATTTAGGAAGCAAATTGCTTCCTGAGTATCAAGGTAAGCCAAATTTTAGGGAATCAATTTATAGACATCTTTGCATTAAATAGTGAGGTCTTTCGAAACTGCATCATTAAAAGTCCTTCAGAGAGTTTAATAAACCCACAAACATATGAAAGGAAAACTCTAAGTAAAGACAAAGTAGTAACTAAATTGAATAGTCAATGATATTCATGACTGAAATAGAGTATGCAACACATACACGCTAGAGATACAGAATTTACATAGAGTTAGAATAACAACAAGAATAGCAACTAAAATTATATACATTTTACAGTTTTCAAAACAATAGCCAGATTTGTCATTTTACTATTTAAATGCAATAAAATCTGTAAAGAGAAAGATGAGCTGATAATATAGCAATAATTAAATAAATAACACTAAAGATAGCATTCCTCTTCTACTTGAACTACCCGGATGTTGCAGGTCAGAGGGCTTTTATAGGCTAAATTATTTGGATAATCTGTTTATATAAACCCACTCATTTATCAAGGATACAGATAGTCATTAACTCTTTTCCTACTTGAAAGAAAAATTAAATAGAATTAATTTGCAAGAAATGAAAGTCCTCTAATATTTTCTTATTCTCCTTCCTCTTAATTTTAATCACAAAATGATAACCTCCTCCACACCTGCCAACATATATGATACAATCTCCAGCCACTTAAACAATATTTTGAGGCATTACCCCCAAACCTGATACAGAACCACTTCACTCTCATTTGCAACATCTGGGAAAGTCTTAGCCATTTGATTTCTGTCATCTTCTATAGGCTCCATTTGCATACATTACATTGAATGAGACATTTCATGTTTCTCAAAGTGAACTTTAACCAAATAACTGGAGTGGAATACAATTCTTCATTCTTTTCAACTTCCCATTTTAGTTTCTGCCATAAAAAATCAGGTGGCCTGTAGTGCACTTTGCTGTGCTCCAGTCGAGGACATCAAGCTGTTCAACAACATGCAAATGAAATTCCCCTCAGGATTGTGTATTCCTGCACTCAGTTCAAGAAAGATGAAAATGAAGATTTAATGTAAAGCCTTGTCACTGCAATGTCAGAGAAATTCATATGTTTTTCTTCACAACACTCTGGATGTGTTTTGAAACCAGAATACATTTAATTTATAAGAACATTATCTAAAATTCTATCTACAAATTTGAAGGAGGAGAAATAGCCTGACTCTACTTAAAAATTGAAAAGGAATTCAACTTTTTTTGTTTTAAAATTTACCTATTAAATTATTCTTAGTTATTGAAAGCTCTCCTTATTAGCCATCCAGAATCAACAAAATAATTTAATATGTTTCAAGTTCTAGTGATAGAACTCACTTTCCACTTTCTCAGCACTTAAAACAATCTTTGATTTATGTGTTTTTATTATTCCAAAAGCTTTAGACAAGGGGTGGGTATTTTACTTCAAAAGCTTTGGTCAAGGAAAAGCCTGGAAGACAGAACACATCCCACCCATGCCCCACGATCCTTCTGACAACTCAAAGCAAGGGATGGGCAAGAACAGAAAGCACCATTCTTCGATGCCCTAAAGCAGGTGAAATGTAAAAAATGTCTCATTTTCTTCTAAAGGCCATTTAAGACCCACAGATGTCCCGGACAACGGTATCATGAGAATTGGCAAATTGTGTCTAGACAGATCTTCCTTGTGCATCTCCAAAAACAGTAGAGGCAAGTCAGAGAGGTTATGATCATGAAAAGACCTCACAAATATGACAAGAACCCACCATAGGAAAAGTAGCATAGATCACACATCTGCAGACACCAACAGCACAGTGTCTTGAAATGAGTTGTTCATATTTATTAACATCTAGAAGCATTGCTTAATGTTGATAGAAATGAGTATGGTTACGTTAACATAAATGTATAAGGCAAATACACACTCATACATCAAGCTTAATAAGAAAATATTATTTTTACTATTTTGCTTGTGCTAAAAACAAATACAGAGATGTAAACTTGATGATTCTACATATCATGGTAAAAGATTAGTGATGTCCAAAAATTGCTATGAAATTATTGATACATGGCCTGGCACAGTGGCTCACGCATGTAATCCCAGCACTTTGGGAGGCCCAAGCGGGCGGATCACAAGGTCAGGAGATCGAGACCATCCTAGCTAACACAGTGAAACCCCGTCTCTACTAAAAAATACAAAAAATTAGCCGGGCGTCGTGGCGGGCGCCTGTAGTCCCACCTACTCGGGAGACTGAGGCAGGAGAATGGCGTGAACCCGGGAGGCGGAGCTTGCAGTGAGCTGAGATGGTGCCATTGCACTCCAACCTGGGCGACAGAGCAAGACTCCGTCTCAAAAAAAAAAAAAAAAAAAAGAAAGAGAAATTATTGTTTCATGTATGAATTTAAACATATTCTTAAATTATAATTGAAAATATAACATGCAAAAAAAAACTCTCCCACCAGACACACACAAAATAAACATATAACACATGTGAATAGCACATATAGTGATTTAAGTTTAGACCACAATAATTACTACCAAGGAAAATACAAATTAAAATATATTTAAATAGAAAAATACACACACACACACACACACACACACACACGTTGATATGGTTTGGCTCTGTGTCCTCACTGAAATCTCACCTTGAATTGAAATAACGCTCATGTGTCAAGGACGGGACCAGGTGAAGATAATTGAATCATGGGGAAAGTTTCCACCATGCTGTTCTCATGATAGCAAGTGAGTTCTTAAGAGATCTCATGGTTTTAAATCTCTTCTGTTTAGTACTTTACTACATTCTAATATGATGCTACTCCATTCTAAAATACTGCTACTGCAGCTGTGCTATGCTGAGAATGAATTCTAAATTCTATTACTTACTATCTATATTACTGGAAGGAAAGATTTAATCTCACTTAATTTCTGATAAATGGAAATGCTGTAAGTTATACATAGTCTCCTTGAGAATTAAATTAAATGTAAATGATGAAAACATTTCTCATAAAGCCTCACATAAATGAGGTGATAAAAAATTCATTGAGTTTATGACTATTGCACCTTGCTATGAAATTGAAAGGTAAAATGAGAAGGTAACATTTAGAGGTGCAGCAATGGATGGGCAATAAAGATGCCATCAACAAGTAGTAGCCTTCACTATAATGTTTGTCATATTCTTGAAAGGCATGATCATTGCCTTCAATTAATTGCTTGAAAAATTAAGCAAAATGGATAGCCAATCTGTAGTATTTTAAAAACTATAAATAATTTAGAAATTTTGTGAAAAACCATCAGTTTTGGTTGGAATAATTAAAGCAGGCTTCACAAGGATGTGCTCCTCAAATGTATCTATCAACTTCAGAGCATTCTGTATGTTCTGAAGGTAAGTTCCATTATTAATCATAGAGACCTAGACTAAAATATCAAACTTTAAAGTACTTTTCAATACATATCATTTATATCTGAGTATATTTAAAATTGGCAGCTATTGAACGCTTTCTATGTGCCTATACATACGATGTTTCTCAACATTTTTAATGAATTATCTCATTTTATATTACTTCCTAAGTGACATAGAAACCAAAGCTGAGTACGGGCAGATGGTGTGAGTGTAGAGAAGCTAATCACCAGAGAAAAGGTTTCTTGAATTAATCAAGTTCTGTCAGAAAATGTGAAAACTGCCTCATTTTCTTCCAATTGCGAGATCATCTTTTGACCATACTAACTCTAAAGTGTGATCCTTTTGCTGAGATTTATGTTTAATTTGCCATTTGTCTACCTTCAAATATTTGTTATTATTCTTTTCCATGTCAGATATGATTAAATGTTGGGAGTGACATCGTATTAAAGAATATCAAATGCTATTAATACTTTCTCTTTTTAACACTTATTACTATTGATCTTTACCAAACTGAAATGTGTGAAAAATTTGAAAAACTCTAAAAGAACAAATAAATTCCCGAGTTTATATAAAATTTTAATCTTTTGAACTCTCAGGATCAATATAAAAATAAATTAGGTAAAAATGCTATTGTTATATTTTGCATAAACATTTTTAGGGGTTGGTGTACTATAAATCTTAATTGAGGAACATAATCAAAATAACACCTTCTATCAACTTCCAGCTTAAATGAATCCATCAATATAAAAAGAAAAATTTGTGAACTCTTAGAAATCACACTCTATACCCATTTCTGTGGTTTTAGGAGAAATAAGGAAGAAGTGAGAAGCACCTCCATGGTTCACCATCACCCGGTATTGAACACAAGCATGCCCTGGTATCTAGAGAGACTCCTTGCTTGTGAAACTGTGCAATCTCCATCTCTAGAGATGGGCTCTTCAATAGAGGTTATAGAAGAAGTTAAAATCTAGAAAAATCCTGCTTCTATGCCAAGTTATGTCCCTACTTGTCCTTAATATTCTGTAGCCATCAACTGGAGGAAAAGCTTGCCTTGGAGCATGCTATGCTAAAACAAAACAAAACAAAACAAACAAAAACCCACTAAACTAACTCCACAGTTATCTGTTATGGTCCTATTTAGAGATAGTTGACTTTAGAGACTCAGCATAGGAGAGCAATCAAACTTGAAGATAATCTGATTTCTGTCCCAGCAGGGGATGTCAACAAGGCTAATAAATCTAACCACCCCACGCCTCCACCACCATTGTTCTCTCTGGAAAAGCAGGAGAATGTAAGAAAGACACTTCTTTCTCATTCTATCCATTGCTGCTACATTCTTATCTATCCTATCTCACTCTCCTGTATATTTAAATAAATATGAAATAAAATGGCACACAATTCTGAGGTAATCTTTTATATATATAAATATAAGTATATATACACACATATATATAAGTATATATACATATATGTGTATATATATAAATATAAGTATATATACATACGTGTATATATACATATATACTTATATATACACACATATATATACTTCAGTAGAAGTCATATATGTTTAATAAGATTACTTGAACTATATGTGTATATATATATACATATATGTGTATAAACTGATTACTTGAAATTTCAGTTTGTAATTAAGAAAAACAAGGAACAAGCAAACAGACAGGAAAAATCAGCCTATTAGAAGAGATGTACCAAGCAAGCAATGAAAGCAAATGGATAAAGACAAATAATATAGGAAAAAGCAAAAAACACCGACAAACATGCTTGTATTTTTTCAGAAATATCTGACTGTACACACAGGCTGCTATGTCTGTACAGTTGACAACTGAATAATTTTGGAATATGGAAGATGCATAAAAGTAATTACATCATTAGTTTATACATGTATAATATATAATGCACACACATATATATAGACTAAAGTTGTTGAAAGTAAAAGAAATGAATACTAGAACAGACAGAGCTGAAAGGTAAACTAGCAATTGTGTAAACAATTTACAAACTATTTAAAGCATATAATAAAATAATGAAGCAGTCTATTAGGAAAAAATAAGAGACTTGGAGGAAAGAGGCAGAATATGTATATTAATAGCTGCATTTTCAGTAGAAGTCATAAAACTGTCTAGAAGAAATTCAAGAATAAAAATCTAAGAGTATGAAATTCCTCATAGTAGAAAGGACAAAAAATACTCTAATCATAGGGTGGAAACAGCTTACTAAGTACCAGCAGGATTAGAAATGGTGAAGGAACAAAAACAAAACAAAAAAGAAAAAGAAAGATTAAATACACAAATGATTATAGCCCTAAATTTCTTATCATACAAAACTATTAGCAATTATCGCTTGAGTAATTATCACTACGAGTCAGACACTATTGTATGTGTGTTATATACACATATAATTGATTTATTAGTTATCGCAACCAACCCTGTGTTAGAAACTGGAATATCCATTTTAGAGTAGAAGATAGCTAGAGTTAGTAAAGGTAAATAATGAGTCCAAACTTACATAGTTTTGAACCTAGTTCTGTCTGAATATAAAGGATGTTTTTTAATGGTAATGTGTATAGCCCTTCTAAATGTTTCACTTAAAAACCTAATAGAAACAATAAAAGCAATATTCAGAGAACAAGTCACAGGCCTAAATTATTTTTATTTTAATAAAAGAAGGCCTATATTTCAATTGTTAGTAGTTAAATAAGAGCTGACACTTGGAAACCAGAAGGCAGAAAAACAAATGAAAGTGAATTGATCAATAATGTTAAGTGTTTGCTTTTTACAATGACCAGTATAATATACAAAATTCAGGCCAGTCTTTTCATTAATATTGGTAAAAACATTCATGCAAAACATTGAAAATAAAAAATACCACCTCCTTACAAAAATGTGCAAATGTTTCTATTCATGTTATTCTTATCGTTACTAAAGAGAAAAGCTATTCTTACTATGCAGTGTCAAAATGTATAGGATATAAAAATATTAAAATCATTTTCTCTTCTCCATTTAAGCAATAACTACTCCCAGAATGTAGTGCAACAGACATATTTAAAGCACTCAACAGAATTCCTCAAGAAAAATAGAAAGGCTTGTTAGAAATGAGTAAGACCTATATGAAGGCTACCATTAAATTTACTAGAAGTAAACATTACTAGAGACAAGAGAGATCCTTTTATGATGATAAAGGGGGTCAATGCATCAGAAAAAATAACTTGAGTAAACATATATTCAAATTAGAATGGACCGAATTTGAATGCACCAAAATCTAACATAATTTAAAGGAAGCAGTAGACAATTTAACAATAGTTGGAGGCTTATATATCCCATTTTCACTGATGAATTACAGCACTAGGCGGATTATCAACAAGACAGAAAATATTTGAAACACTCACTAACCCAAGTATGAATCATCTAAGTAATATTTCACCTAACAACAGCAAAGTATGCATTTTTCTCAAGCACATATGGAATATTCTCTGGGATAGACTTTGCCAGACCATAAAACAAGTAAAAAATTTAAAAATAATTGACATATAAAATATGTTTTACATTCACAATTCAATTAAACTAGAAATCAAAAGCAGTAATTATGTGAAATTCACAAGTATGTGCAAAGTACACATTCTTAGTCAATGAACCAAAGAAAAAAAGCACTAGATAAAGTAGAAAATACTTTGAGATATATAAAAATGAAAACACTGAATAGAGAAATTTACAAAATGCATCCAAAGCAGTCCTTAGCAGGAAATATATGGCAAAGACATTTTGAATAAGATGTTGAAAGCATAGGTGTCCAAAGCAAAAATGGATAAATGGGATCATCAAACTAAAAATCTTTTGCATAGCAAAGGAAGCAGTCAACAAAGTAAAGAGACAATCCACGAAGTGGGAGAAAGTATTTGCAAACTACCTATCTGACAACAGATTAATGAGAAGAAAATATAAGAGCTCAAATAACTCAATAAGAAAAAAACGCAAAATCCAATTTAAAAATGGGCAAAACATATGAGCGGTCATTTCTCAAAAGAAGACATGCAAATGACTCACAGATATGTGAAAAAAATGTTCATCACTAATCGTCAGAAAAATGCAAAGCAAACCTACAATGATCTATCATCTCATTCCAGTTAAAATGGCTTTTATCCAAAAGGCAGTAACAAATACTGGCAAGGATGTGGAGAAAGGGGAGTCCTTAAACACTTTTGGTGGGAATGTAAATTAGTACAACCACTATGGAGAACAGTATGGAGATTCCTCAAAAAAAAAAAAAAAGAAAATAGAACTCACATATGATTCAGCAATCCTTTATATTTATTGTCAATTTACTTCTCATGAAGGTGCTAACACAACTAAATGGGGAAAGAATAGTCTTTTTAACAAATGTTTCTGGGACAACAGGATATTTACATTTTAAATGATAAAGTTGGACCTCTACTGCATACTACATTCAAAATTTAACAAAAAAGATGCAAAGACCTCAATATGAAATCTAAACATAAAAAAATACCTCTTAGAAAAAAAGCATACAAGTAAATCATCATGAGTTTGAACTAGGCAATGGTGTCTTAGATATGACACCAAAAGCACAAGTAAGAAAAGAAACATAAGATACGTTGGACTTCATCAAAATTATAGCTTTTTGTGCTATAAACGGTATCATCCAGAAAGTTAATTGAAATTCATAGAATAAAATATATATATATATATATTTATTTGCAAATTTATCTGACAAGGGACTTGTGTCCAGAATATATACATGTGTGTATATATATATATATACACACACACACATATATATTTTTATATGTTCCAACTTTATTTACAACTTAATAATAAAAGCACAAATAACCCAATTACAAAGTGGGCAATAGATTTTCATAGAAAAATTCCAAAGAAGATATGCAAATGGCCAATAACTACATGAAACTTTACTCAACATCATTATTCATTATGGTAGTGCAAATCAAAATCACAGTGAGATACCCTTTCACACAGTCAAATGGATTTGATGAATAAGACAGTGAATAACAAGCATTGGCAAGGATTTAGAAAAATGATATCCCTCAGACATTGCTGGTGGGAATGTAGAATTACGTAAACTCTTTGGAAAAAGTTCCATACTTCCTCATATTATTATTATGCAACATGCAGTTACCTATGACCAGGAATTCCACTGCTAGGTATATACTCAGGACAATTTTTTTTAAATGTCTGCATAAAATTTTATATGTGGAGGTTAATAGCAGTTTTATTTATAATTGTTAAAAAGTGAAAACAATTTGAATGACATCAACTGATGAATGAATAAATAAAATACAGTACTTCATAAAACATGATATTATTTGTTAATAAAAAGGAACGAAGTGCTGATATGTGATACAACATAGACAAACCTTGAAAATATTATACCAAATGAGTAAAGTCAGCCATAAAAGATCACATGGCATAATTCCATTTATATGAAATATGTAGAACTGGCAAATTTAAAAGAAAATAAATAGATGAGTGGTTACCTAATGTTAAAGTGGGAAGGATCCACTAGAACTGCAAATGGATGTTGGTTTCTTTTAGGGTGATGAAAATATTCTAAAGTTAGATTTTCGTAATAGTTTTACAATGCTATAAATTTACCTAAAAGCAAGAGTTTATTTTATGGTGAGATATATCTCAAATCTCTCTCTCTGTCTCTTTCTCTTTCTCTCTCTGCCCCACCCTTCCCCATTCACACAGAGCAATGCTTAGTACTTCAGGATAGCACTTAATAGTCCTTATAAGCTCTGGTTCTGAAATAACAAACTGGTTATGTTAAAATTTCCATTTTTTCTTCTTTTGATTGTGATACATAATCACAAAGTACTATGTCTCAGTGTTTTAACTCATTTAATAAGTAAAACAATAAAATGTATTTCATAGGGTTATTATGAAGAGTGAACAACTGCATATAAAATGCTTAGTATAGGACACAACACATGATAAGTACTCAATGTTACCTATTGTAATAATTGTTATTAATATTGTATTAAAATATGAACTTCATAGTTCTACACTATAAAAACTCCTTTCAAAATATTGTCAGTTTAACATACATGGTCATTGACATAAGAAATATTATTATCTTTCTGTCTCAGATTAAGAAATAAGAAATTTGTTTACAATCCTTCCCTCACTAATTCTTATTACAGAAAATGTAATGGACTCTATAAATGAAGTTATTTTTCTACTATAAGTTCAGGGAGATAGATTTCTTATTATATTTTACCATGGCAATCATGATATGCAAATTGGATCCTGGCATAAAAGATGGTGTGGGAATAAACGTGAATATAGTAAACTAGATAAAAAAAGAAAACAAGAAAGTCTAATTTTTAAAATTGTTGGAAATGAGTAAAGGAAGAAACTGAGGGGGTAGAAGAATATTCAACTGTTCTCAGTAATAACAGACTAATGTCGTGTTAATAAAAGAACATTAAAATGGTTTTGATTTTTAAAACGTAGATAGTTGCACCCTAAGTTTAAACATCAGGAAAATTAACCAAAATATCAATATGTGTTTTTTGTTTGTTTTAACTTGATATCTTAAAATTTCCAGATTTTTTTATGCCTCTTTTTTTGCAATGGAACATCCTTAGCCAAAGTCTCATTCAGCATACTTTGTAGTTTTAGAAAAATAACATTCAGCTTCATTAAACTACTCTTACAAATTAGTAACTTGAAAATAAAAGGAAGCCAGTCTTCATAATTGAAGGATGGTTTTATGTTCTAAATGGAGACTTTTTATTAAAAGCTAAAATGTGGCTATTCCTGATAAAAAAACATGGAAGACCTTATCAGATGTATATAGCTACATGTATTTGCCACATAATACTTTGACCAAATATTAATTCTTTTTACAATAACAAAGGTCAAAAAATCATGTCATTGAAATATAAAATGTTTTATATAAATTGAAGATGACTAACTTATGTGATTATATCATATTTTGCTACTAAAAATTATAGATTATTATGCATATAAATATATAGACACATATTAAAATATTCAAGTCTAATTTTACTAATGCATATTACAAAACAATTAAAGAATGAAATTAGTGCAACATATGTACTTCAGTATGCAGCTTGTTTTGTCTGCTTATGTGACACATGCCTATATTCCTTTTGGATAATTTCTCATAGTTCAGCTTTTATTATTTGAGCAAATCCTAGTAATGAAGAGTAAAATGTGTGGACAACTTTTAAGCTGCTAATAGCATGGCTTTAAATAAATCACTTAAGCTCTTTGATTTGTCTCAGTAAAGTAAGGAGAAAACAATAATACCTTTCTCTTTAAGTGAGACAATAAAGTGCTTGGTGCACTGCTTACCACATAATATGTGTTCAAAATTGTTATATCACCACCACCATCACTAGCATCCTCATCATCATCTTCACTGTAGTATCTTTGAAGGCAGACATTGTGTATCGTTAAATCCCCATAATTTTCTCAACGAGCATTATCAGTAATATTAAAATGAAGATATTTCTAGTTAGGTGCTGAGTAAAAATCAATGTTTTAATCTGCTTCAATTCCCATGGATTTTGTTCATTCTGAGCTCTGTATTTGACCTTTGGTGATTTACCATGCGGCTAGTTTAGAAGTGTGTTTAACATACCGATGATACAGTTTTATTGAAAAATCTTGTTACCAAAATAACTCAGTTAATTTGGGGAATTCCTCCTAACACAACACAACACAACAGAAATGTTAAACTTTTAAATTTGTTCTTAGTGTATTCGTTACTAGGGTTTCCGTAACAAAGTACCTCCAGAAGTGGCTTAAACAACAGAAATTTATTTTTTTCACAGTTCGGAAGACTAGAAGTCTGAGATCAAGAACTATTGGGTACTGAGAACTATTGTGTACCTGATTGATGTAATATTCTGTACAACAAACCCCCGTGGCACGTGTTTATCTGTGTAACAAACCTTCATATGTACTCCTAAACCTAAAATAAAAATTTTGAAAAGATATCAGCAGTGTTGGTTTCTTTCGAGGCCTCTATTCTAAGCTTGTAGATGGCTGTCTTCTACCTGTGTCCTCACATAACTTTCCTCCAGCACTGTTTGTGTCTTAATTTTCTCTTATAAGGACACTCATCATGTCGGACTAGGACCAACTCTAAGTACATCATTTTTTAACTTAATTACCGCTTGAAAGACTATCTCTCCCAATGTAGTCACATTCACAGATACTGGAGGTTAAGACTTCAACAAATGAATTTTGGGGAGACACAGTTCTGCCCATTAATAGTTACTTGACTTACTAAGAAACTTGTAGTTTAAATTTTCATAGTTGAATTACATTCTGTATTTTACGCCTTTTTATTATTTTCTGAGGCTTATTTTTTGCATCACTCTTTCATAGCAGCCACATGATTACATTCTTTCTTGCATTATAACTATTTTGAGACAAATCATGTACTTGTGAAATTCTTTTTCACGTAAATGGACTTAACTTTTTACTTTCTCTCCTTTCCCACACTGGAAAATACTTAAATTAATTCTAAGCCATCAGTTTTTCCTATAATAGCATCTATTACAATCCTCAAAAAATTAAATTAACAACATGACAAGCATCCTTGTATATCTTTACATTTTAAAATAATTGGCAAAGGTTTAAGTTTTCTGTCTATACAATTTTTATCTTATCATATATAATTTATGACCATAATCATTTGTATGTCAATAAGAAGCATAAATGCTTTATATATATAATATATATAAAGAGCAAGTTCAAAAAGAATATGTACTTTTCTATCACTATTTTTTTAAAAAGCCAAAAGCAATTAAAATTGCATTATAAATATATCAACATTAGACTAATTTGAATAACTATAGTGTATTAGATAAGTTATTTTTTAATTATAAGGAAGAAATGTCAGAGTATATTTAGTGATGGGCAGAGCTCATTAAGGTGAGGGTAAACATGAGGGCAATATGTCCAAGGTCTTAATTTTTTGAAGGTGTATATTTTAAATTATCAATATTATATATAAATGGGATTATAATACAGTCTTTGGATTTCGATTTGCTCAGCATTACTTGTAATATGGGAACCTTGACACTTTTGTGTCATTTTAATATTTTTTAATATGCCAGGCATCTCAAAAAGTAAAAATGGTCCAGAATTATTTTTATCATTGCAATGTGCTAGCATTGGGATTGCAGAGGTTGAGAAGCTGCAAGTTCAGCAAGGAAGTTCACTAAAAGATCCAAAACATCATCCTGGGTTCAACACTTTCAAGAATGGAATGTAAGCTGGCCATAAGAAGGATGCAAACAATACATTTATTTTAAAAAATGATTTCAGACAAACAATAGAAACCTTGTTATAGTGTGATTTTTACTCCTTATGAATACTATAAACTTTATACTACTTAAAAGTCTATGCTGAAAAAGTGATTTTTTCATATTTAAGAATCATTGTTCTAAAAAAGAAGAAACAATCAAAGAATTGCATACATTCCATGCATGGATAAGGATGTTAAGGCATATTCATTCGAACAGCATGTGGTATATGAGACCAACTAAAATTGCTATGTCATTTCTTTATATTTTTGGATTTGGTTACTGCTTCTTGTATTCCACACTCTCCCTCTCATCTCACTAGTTCTTTCCTTTCTAACCCTCAATTGTAAAGCTACATCCTATTCTTTAAGATTCAATGTGACACCACCATCTCCAGAAAATCTGCTACTAGCTGAAGGTAACATAAGGAATTAATAATATTATTATCTAAATAAATAAATAATAAACTTAACCATGCAGAGAGAAATGTGTGCTTCATAATTTGATAGAAAATTAAATGAGATATGCTCTCTACCGTCAAAATTTAGTTTGATTTAGTTAAGGATATAAGTAGCATTAACTTTATCCTACAAAAGTTATTACATCAGCCTTCCTTTAAAATGTATGTTCTATCTCCAAGTAACTTAAATGTGTCTTTTAAATAAAATTTTTAAATATGTAAAATAATAATTTAAGATATATAAAACACATGCATTTAGAAATTACTTTCAATAAAATTTCAGATTTCTATGACATATAAATCAAAGGAAACATAATTTGCTCCATATGCAATTGTTCAGGACTATTGAGCAACTGTCAAGCATATTTATTCAACAGATATTTATTATCACCTAGTATTTGTTCTATGCTATATACCATGTGAGAAGTTGAATAAGTATATTTTTATAGTAAAATAAAGGAGAACCAGAGCAAACAATAATTAATTCAAAATAAATTAGCCACTCTATATGTAGCACATGTTTTACTTATTGGTACTGTGGTGAAAAGCTTGTTATTCAACCAACCCCTCCTCAATTTTTCATCATGTGGATTGAAGAAACTTTGGCATCAAAACATTCACTATGATGGATTACATCATTAAGAAAGAATTTCTCTCTGCAATGGTCTATTGTAAATTCTGGGTCATTAAAAGTCTTTTATCATAATATTGAACATTTATAAAAAGAAGGATGAGGTGCAATTTAAAGGTTAAATAAGAACAGATATAATAATTATAGCAATAATAAGGATAATATCAATATCAATATTGACCAAGTGCTTCTTTAATGCAAAGAATGACCTAAAAAAATACACAAATTATCTCATTTAATTCACATAATAACCTAGCTTCCCATTTCATATTTAAAGACTATTTTATTATTTATTTATTTTTACACAGGCACACACATATGTGGATATAGAATAAAAACATATTTATTTTTGTCTTCCTGTTCACCATATCATAACTCTTTCTTTCCTTGTATATACTTGTAAAAGAAGAAACAACATTTTTAAGTAACTTAAATATCACAATTTCTAAGTAAATTATCTCTGGCTTACACTTAGACATTAATCACACAGGATGCATAGAGGAATAAAGTGACAAATTCAATCATACCATATATCTTATGGAAAATATTGAACTTTTAGAATTTTTGTTTGTTTGTTTTATTATTATTATACTTTAAGTTTTAGGGTACATGTGTGATAATAGCTGAAAAATAAAGATAATTGTTTTCAAAAAGGCACTAAGTTGATATTTTCAGTACTAGTAGTAGCACAACCTGGAAATAATAACAATACAACAATAACTTTGTTCTTGCAGACCTATTACAAAAGTATACCAAGGTATAGTTTATGGAAAGTGCTATAATTTGTTTAGTTACATTTTTTACATTTTCTTTAAAAGAGCAATTATTTCAGTACTAAATAAAAAAAGCACCATCTTCATTTAGAAGAGAAAAGAAAGCAAGTGTTTGTGGGAAAATGTGCTGTTTTTCTCCAAAAAAAATGTGAAATAAACTCCAAGCTTATTTTGCATTCTATTAATCAATATAGAAATGTTCAGAAATAATTCTTCATTCATTCAGTTTATTCAACAAATATTAATTAGATATCCAATGTCTGCCCAATCCATAGTAACAGCTGTAAATACTTTGGTGAGAAAAACAGACCTGTTCATATAAAGAGCCATTGGCTAGTGAAGATAAATAGGTATTTGTTATTCAAATAATACCAAAATAAATGTTAAGTTACAACTATGATAAGTGTGATGAGTGAGAGGTATGTGGCTCTATGGAGGGTGTAAGATAGAAGAATGTGGTTTGGTCTGGATAGTTAGGAATATTTTCCCTAGAGAAGTGATTTTTGAATTGAGATTTTCAGATTGTATTTTCTAGGCAAAAAAGGTTACGATTTTTCTCCAAGGAGGATATGAAGTGTGCAAAGGAAATGAAATGTTCTATGACACAAGAGAATTTAATTAGAAGGAACTGAAAGAAGGCTACCAGGTCTTAAGCAGGCAAACAAAATGGAAAATGACTAGATGAGCCAGAAGAATAGAGAAATAGCTGCATATTTAAGACCAAGTGGACCACATTAATGATTTAGGTTATTAAAAGCAACAGAAAATAATGGAAAAAACTTTATGAACTACCAAATATATTTTTGATTTGATAAAAAAATCCCTCTAAAAGAATCAAGATGTATGAAAATAGACCAGTTAGATGAGAAACTAGATGATGGAAATGAATATCAAGGGAAGTGGACAGAATCAAAATAATTTAGAAGGTCAAGTTGATATTTTCATGGTTTGGATATGCAATAAACGTGGTTGAATTGTCAGAGTTGACTCCTGTGCTTTTTGGCCACTGTACACGGGATGTTTTCAGGGTATATGATGAACACTTTAAAATGATAAAAGAGTAATTCATCAAGAAGGCAGAACAATTCCTAAAATGTGTACATCTAATTAAAGAGCTTTCAAATATATGGAGTCAGTATATAAAGTCTAAAGGAAAAAATAGAGAAAGCTACAAGGATATGACAGGTAGAAAAGCGAACACTGATTGAAAAAGTAAGCAAAACGTCAGTAAGAATACACAATTTAGTGATGAAAGATTGGAGAACATTTTTGGTTTTATGATGGTGGTAAAATTAGCATATGGCTTCTTTTAGTAATTTTGTGATGCCCTGGTTATCTAAAAGATTCCACCTTTTTTTTCTATGTTCTAATCTTATACTATTTTCCCACATTTAAGGTAGAATCCAGTTCTGAAAATTCTAAAATTACAAGATAACTCTAGTAATCCCAGAATACTGGAACACAAAGTTACCTAGCAGATAAGCCTCAAAACCAGGGTCACACAAATAATTCACAAAGGTTAAAAAGAAAGTTTTCGTTCATCATATTTATGTAACCCTATGGTGATCTCTCCAATGAGCTTATATTTTTCAAAATAACCAGAACAAAATGTGAAATTAGGGATGTTTAGGATGATGATGGTCTTCAAATTAAGCAATTGAAAAATACCACAGGCAACACAGAAAGGATAAACAAAGAGTAACTCCCCAGCCCACTAAAACATCAATTTAGATATAATTACTGATATTAGCACATGTAAAGAAAAATAAAAGGTACTATGAGAAAGGAGACTGAGCCTAATAAGAAATAGAAAATCTGGTGGTCCATGAAGTAGGATGAACAGGTCGAGTATGTCAAGAACCGGGCAGGCACAAGCGACACTGAATCTAAGAAACCCAAAGTGTGTGGTCAGGTCTCTTGAAAGACAGAAAGGATTAGTTAGATTTGACCCTGACTTAGAGAAATTTATCCCTCAATACTCTCAATTTAACTTTTTTAAATCAAAATCAACGCCCACATCCTGCTTACTTACTCAGTTTCCTGGGACCATAACACTGGGAAAGCAGATGTCATGCACACTAAAGCATCTCCTTGCTGAAAAGGATTATCTTCTTGTACGGTTAACAATTTGGTATTCTGTTTTAAGTACTGGTCTCACATAAATTATACTAATAGTGATGTTTCTTTGAATGACTACTCACATAAGAGTGGCTTAAATAACTTTGTGGAGTTACAGAAGTGAGTCTTAGACCCTAAACCTTAAAAAATTCAGCAAGAGATATTAACCCAAGAAATATCTCAGTAGTCAGGCCTTTTTAATGACATCCTGATGGTTTAACACATTCTTCCCTTAAAATTTCAATGGAGTAAATATCTAGGAATCAGTATAAATAACTAGTACTTATCTCAGGAGAAATTGTCAGGAATGCAAATATACAAACGGCTAAAATTAATCTAGATTTTTCAAAGGGATAAGGTGAGGGGAGAGAATATGAGGAGAGTGAAAGGGCACCAGAGAGAGGGAGAAATGCAGCACTTACTTTCTATTATCTTCCTCTCTGAGGAAAGTATTTCTCAGATTAAAATGTGTGAAAACATACTGAAAAGAACAAATGGAAGAGAACGTTTAAGTTTTCATAAGTGAGTTCAACTTTTAGGGGCTTAATGAATTATATATCTCAAAGTACTGAGAAAACTCTCAATATCTTTGGAGTGGTACTAATAATTTTTGAGAAAACATGCAAAACATGAAAAGAAAGGAGAAGTGTAGATTAAACTTCAATTAAAATAATAGGAAGTAGGGATGATAAGAAATACACTATGGTAAGAATGAAAATAAGTTGAGGAAATAGATGTTTTAAGTGTGTGTGCCTGTGAATTGGTATGGTTTGAATGTGGTGTCTCCTCCAAAACTAATGTTAAAACTTAATTCCCACTGTGGTGGTATTGAGAGGTGGGGATTTGGGGGAAGTAATTAAGCCATGAGGGCTACACCTTCATTAATAGAGTAATACCCTAATAAAAGAGTCTTCATTAACAGTTCACTCTCTCAGGCTTTTTTGTCCTTTCTGTCTTGTAAAAACACAATGACCCTGCCCCCCTAGAGTATGCAGCGACAAGGCATCATCATGGAAGCAGAGAGCAGCCCTCACCAGATACCAATACTGCTGGCATTGTGATCTTGGGCTTCCCAGCTTCCAGAACCATGAGAAATAAATATATGCTCTTCATAAATAACTCATTATTAAGTTTTTTGTTATGGCAGCACAAATGGACTAAGACGTGAATGTAACAAGAAAATTAGTGAATATAGCAAAAGCAAAAATGACATTGCCAAATGCATAAAAGCTACTTTTATTCTCTTGCATTGCTACTAAACTCAAATATCAGGAAAATTGGTATACTCAGAATATATAGATATCAGCATAATGCTCAACCAATTCTAACAACTCACACATTTGTTAACATTTAAAGCACACTAAATAGCTGTCTGGTTATAATTCAGATTACTGATTGCTCATTTTTTCATTCTAATGTCCAATTGCTCATTCTCTCATTCCCATATCCTTGACATTAGAGTAGAAAATTCATTGGTCTGGGCTTGCTTTGTTATTGGATGAATATGTCTTACTGCTGCTTTGTTATGGCACCACTACTTACTGCCTTTTTTCTACCCCAGGGAGAGCCAAAGGATCACAACTGGAACTCAAATATCCTACCATAGAGGATGGAAGTAGGTAAATAGCAGTTTAAAGATTTTCAGGACTCAGAAATGTATAGTGACTCTCTCAACATCTTCCCGTCACGTCGTAACCCATTTTCTACTAAGCCCTCTTTAGCAAAGAGTTACTTTAACAGTGTGGAGTGCGTGTAGGTAGGTGTAGTTTGGGGTGTGTTAGAGAGACACAGAGGGACAGTAGGGGGATCTGGAGGTGTGAAGGTGGTTCAGGAGACAAGGGCTTTTTTGAATTGCCTTATTTCCTTCTAAGCACAAGATTATAAGACAGAAGTCTCGATATTAGATCTTTCATAGCATTTAGTGTCCTAAAGCAAGATTTTTCAGTGCCTGCATTATGCAAGGCAGAATAAAATATTATTGCATAAAAACTAAAACATACTGACTACCTTATCTCAATATTTGTATGGCCTCATTCTCAATTTATATAAATGGAAGAAATACTCAATAGAAAGTACTTCATTATTTTCCCAAATCCAAATATTAAATAAGCACCAATAATTTTTTTTAAGTTTCTACATTTCTAATTCTATTTGTGCAATTAGGTAAATTGATGACTGCTTAACTGACCATACCTATATGTTGATGTGAAATCACTGCCCATGTCAATGATGGTAGAAAGTCCCAGAGCTTTATTTTCTTCTACTTCATTAGTAACTTGCATTAAAATATTCAAGGCACAATCAGAAAATGTGTTTAATATGAGTTTGGTAGTCATGATGACAAAATAACATTCCAAGAAACTGACAGACTCAAATGATGGGCCAAATTTAACAAGACGGATTTAATCAAAATAATTATAAGGTTACTCAAGGGATATCTTATGTCCAAAAACCTAATGGCACAAAAATGACTGGAAAAAAATGTGGCTCAGCAGTAAAAAGTATGGTAGAAAAGTATAAAGCAGCTTAAGAGTTTCAGTTAATATTCATTCAATGTTAGTTAGCAATGTTGTTAGTTGAACATAAAGGCAAATTTCTTACTTTAATATTTTTCTTTATTGATTAAAAATAAACATCTATAACCTGATAATTTCTTATAGTCTGTTATGATCAAGCCATATGTAGGTCATTGTTTTAGCTACAGAACCTGCCATTTTTAAGAATACTTAAGACAAAGGAAACCCATCCAGACAAAGATGAAAAATTAATAAGTTTATGAAGCTTGAAAAATGTTACAAATATTTGACAAATTCTGGATATTTATTTTAGAGGAAAGGCTTTATGTGGGAATGGTACTAATATTGAACAACTCTAAAAAGGACTAATGGGTAAAAGTTAAAAAGACAACTGATTTTAACTTCTTGTAAAAACATGATGAATAAATGTTTATATAATGCCTGTTAGGTGTCAGATGCTATGTAATTAAATCTCAAAAAGTTATGTTACTTTGCTTATATGGCAGAGACTGTAAGTACTCAATTTAGTTTTCAAACCCAGGCTTGACCAGATTTAAAGTCTTTGATAATTCCAATTAACCTTTTTATTATAGAAAACGTTTCTGTCACATGCACCTACTGGTGAAATGAGCCAGCTCAAAAGGCGACATATTTCCAAACCCTGGAAATGTTAAATCATGTAAAAAAAAGGCATTTTCTATTTATTCAATTCTACTAAAAATGTCTTTCCCCTAACTTATCACCTTTACACATGCAGTATTTCCTTAAAAAAGTGTTCTCAAAGCAACTCCATAAAACCATGGTTCCTTGGGGATTTTATGGAACTGTCACAGCTGAGCAAAGAGCTCCATGTAACCAAAACAAGTAATCTGAGTCAAGACCTTCTGTGTCCCCCTCAAAATCTCATCTTGAATTGTAGCTTCCATAATTCTCACCTGTCGTCCCAATGAGAAGTAATTGAATCATGGGGGCGGGTCTATCCTGTACTGTTCTCTTGATAGTGAATAAGTCTCATGAGAGCTGATGGTTTTATAAAGGGGAGTTCCCCTATGCAAGCTCTCATTTCTGCTGCCGTTTAAGATGTGCCTTTGCCTCTCCTTTGCCTTCCAACATGATTGTGAGGCCTCCCCAGCCATGTGGAACTGTGAGTCCATTAAATCTCTTTCCTTTATAAATTATCCAGTCTCCGGTATGTCTTTATTAGCAGGATCAACATGAACTAATACAACAAGTAAATGAGAATATAGACTAAGAAAATTCAAACAGATTAAACTCACAGACTTCAAAACCTTGGTAAGAGAAGTTCTCTATTCCTTGTAATATATATGCACATATTTCATATAAATATACGTATATGCATGTGTATTCACTAGGATTCATGATGCTTCCTAGTTTTAGAGTACAATAATCACTATATTTATAGATTGTCTAATATGCCCCAGGTATTGAAATTTTATTTATATCAACACATTTGATCCTCACAATTCCATGAGGCAGACTTTGCAGGTTAATTAACTGAGGTATAGAGACACTGAATTACTTGCCCAAGGGCACACAGATAGAAAGTGCTGAAACAGGATTTAAGTAAGTTCTACTGTTGAGTCCATGTTCTTAACATTTAAGGATACTGCATCTTACAATTATCTGTCACAGTAATCAAAATAACAAATAACTTAATAAAGGTGTTATTTTTTGAAATTTAGTTTAGTGTCAGCATGTGAAAAGCCTAAAATATAATCTTTAAAAATAATATATTTGGTATAATTGCCCAGAATATTGTTTTATTATTTTCAACCTTAAGCTTATTTTCCAAGGCATTTATTTTTTTACCCATATGATATGCAACAAATCCTCAGTGGATATAATTTTTGCTAACCTATCTGCTAAAAATCTAATTGGATAACTTACACTTGAAAAAATACAAAAGCCTGTAAAATATGTTTGACACTGCACTATTGATGAGAGAATTATCAATACAAGGTGTCTGCATGCAAAGACCATATTTAGTAGAAAAAAATGTAAAAATATTGCAAATCAATTTTACCTGTGCTATAATTAGATAAAGGTACAGAAATAGAAGAGAGTGGTGGGGGAGAGCATGTCAGGCACTACACTGACATACAGTCCAGTGAAACTTCAGCAATGTGTCAGCTGAGTAAAGTTTTGCAATATGAATATAGGCTTAGCAACTAGCCAAGACTTCGTGCACAATAGGAAGAAGAAAATATACTTACAAAATAGGAAGAAATGAAACAGCTGTAAACAGAGGAAACTTTATAGAGTTTGATATGGGAGTAAAGAATCACTGAGTATGGTGTGGCGCTAGAACCTGCAGAGACTTAAAGAGACTAGGCAGAACATAAGGAGCTTCTTGCATTCTGTTCTGTAGCCACTGAGGCTCTGCACAAGGTTCCAAACAGGAGAACGATATGTGGATCTCTCTGGTGGCAGAGGGGAGCATGAGCTGGAGGTGGGGACAAGGGAAAAGGTTCGAGGCATAAGAACAGTTGTGAGTCTATGTTACTATAGTTTGCAGGAGAGATTTGGATGGCTTGAACTTAAATAATCATAAGAAAGATTGAGAGAATGGGAGTTGAGAAGATTAAAGAGGTCAGCAAGATCTGGCTTCTGGTATAGGTATCTGGAGGGATTGTTGATCAACTGAACAAAATCCTAAACACAGGCAAAATAATTGCTTTGATGGGAGAAGAAAAAAACAAGAGACAAACTCAGGACTGGGGTTTGAGCTGCTTTGTGTCATTCATTTGAGATTTGAAACTATGAGTCTGGCACTCAGGACACAGGTAAAACTATTAATAGTATTTTTGAGCTTGTGATTGATAATTTAAAACTGTACATCTTATAATCACCCAAGTAAAGCAAGTGAGTAAGAAGAATGCTGAAAGCCTTCCAACCAGTATAAATTCATACCCCAATGCAAAGTAGGCAATATCATTATGAGACACTTGCACAGCATGGTTGATAACAAGGAGGTGACTAATCCTTGACTCATTTGACAGAGACAATGCTACTATAATAAGGGTAATAAAGTACAGTTTTTATTTAAGTCCCAAATTGAAACACTATGACAAGGCAGGTAATTTGTTTTGCTCAGACTCAGGCTTACCCTAGGGGTAGCATGGAAAAAACTGGCACCAAATTACTATCAGATTTAGGTCAAAGAAACCCTGAGCTCTGTTTTAGGGCAGAAATTCACTGAAATTTTGTGGACAACTTGCAGAATTTTTTTTTTTTCGTTTTACAAATGAGGCACAAGAAGAACAGATATTTTTCTATTAGAAACAATATTTCCTGAAGGTTTCCTCTATCCACTTAATGCTTCAGAAAGATTTATTTTCAATCTACAATGATTAATTAGAAAATGTCCAACTACTACAGAATTAATCTGAGACTATACAAGCAGACCACGCAGTAGGAGCCTAGCCATTAATATGTCATGGAATAAAACTGTTCATTCTTTATAAAAAATAACCTCTGAGGTGTTTGGAAAATCCTCTGATGAACTTATGAAACCATATTTCCATCAGCTTCCCTTATTGACATAAGAAAAACATTGTGATCTTTACAGAAAGTGCTTTCAGTTCCTTCTTGCAATTGTGTTGACAAGAGCTCCCACTACTTGAGTTAAACAACTTCATTTGTATAGCAGAAAGTTCTTTACCAATCAATCAACACAGAACTGTACTCTGTTATCTTGTGTTTAATACTGATTTTCATCTTGCAGCAAATATAGAACAAACACAGGACAAAATACATAGATAGGAAATGTCTAAATTTTAATTGGAAAAATAAACCTGTATGTGAGAATGAGAGGTAGGTAAAATCAATTCCCAGAGAGTTTAAAGGAGAAAACGCTAAAGACAACTAGAATAGCCAGAAAAAAAGCGTTGTATGGAGATAGAGGTTTGAATAATGTAAAAGTATAGGAAAATTTTTAAAAATCCCAGGGATCAAATTGATAAAAGTTTGGTTTCGATTACAGTGAGTTTGGCAATCCAGACTAAAAATTGTATGATTTATGTAGTAAGATAATCACATTTCTCAGTTTAATTTTCTGAATATTCTAGTTACATTATATTACTTGTACTATAAATTTTATTTGATGCCCCCTAAAAAGTACAGTGCAAATTAATCTCCATGACATGAAAATTCTTCTAAAACCTAAATCTTATTTACCTATAAACCCTTATCTAATTATACTCTGGAATAGTTAATAAATAATTTACTCATAACTTTCTTAAACACAGCAGGCCCTTGAATGTCTCTGCTTAAGATATTTACATTTTATCGATTTATTTTGTGAAATTTTCGATCTATAGTATCATATTTTCAGTAGATTCAGTTCTCATGTCACCTATATTGTAAAACTTTCCTTACCTGTAAGTTGGAATTATTTACTTCCTTCGCTGTGGAATATATGTCCATATATATTTATTTATATATTTTTGTGTATGTGTGTACAGGGTGTATATATCTAATACAGCACGTGATAATTGAGCTCCATAATTTAGCTAGGGGATTGTGTATTAATTTCCTCTTCTAAAGCCTAACTCATTTAAAAAAATTATTATCTATAGCCTGCACTGCTTAAAACAATTGTCTTGTTTTTCCAAGACAATTACCTAAGAGATATATATATTGCATATTAGAAATATATACAGCAGGTATTTTATAGTGCCATTTTGTTAAATTAAACGTTGTTTTGTTTTGTTATAATGTTGATAAGAAAAAAAATGATTCCAGGATGTGGTCACTGTGTGTCATTTGCATGTTCTCCCCATGTCTGCTTGTGTTATCTCCAGGTACTCTGGTTTCCTTTTACCATCAATTAGCCTATAATCTCGTTTCTTAAAGTCACAGTTTCCAAGAACCTATTGATGTTACGTGTGGACTTACTGTACACACACACACACACACACAGAGCCATATTTATTGAGAACAACATTTATTTTATAATCCACTTATTCCACTTATATTTTTAATCCATAATGGATTAAAAACAAATGCCCTGTGGAATGGATTATGATGATAAATGATTCAGATAAATCTATAGCATTTCAGATAATAAGAAGACATCACAGTTCATGCTAGGAATTGGTTTCTCAGAAAACCACTATATTTATAAGACCCTTTGACATCCAGGTCTAGGGGGTTCTAGCTAGTGAAATATAAATCGAATTGATATGTGTTAGTCCCTGGTTTTAGAGGCATGTGTTCCTTCTCTATGATCTCCTACTTTTAGTTCCACTGGCAGGAAACTGAAGTCAACAAAACATTGTGGATAGCAAAGCTGGGTCCAGAGAATCCTCACATGATATAAAACTGCCTGCTAAACTGGAACAAACCATCACTGAACTTGTTATGTGAGTAACAAATACATTTACATTGTATCAAGCCATTGAATTTTTGGGATTCATTAGTTACAACAGCCAACATTGTCCTTACTAATATTCCTGGATGACATTCAACCAAATACTTAGTAATAACACTCTGGTCTCATAGTATCAAAATGAAGCACTAGTTTCACATATTTAGCACTTAAAGCAAGATATGACACATTTATATAAAGAAATCAGTTGGAAAATTAATTTATGTAAACTTCTACCAATGAACAATTTACAATGATTCACAAGTATATAAAAGGTGAAAGAAATTTACAACTATGTAATTAGCGAAAGATATTTCAGCAACCTCATTTTACAAGTGAAGAAAAAAAGAATTTAGAGATGTAAATTGTCTTCTCCAATATCATATACATCTTAAATAATATACATATATACATATATAATATATATGTATACATATATACGTATATAATATGCATATATACGTATATATGTATACATATATACATATATAATATACATATATAACATATATATTTATAAGGGTTTTATAAGGTTTTAGTTATACAGTCTAGTTTGGGGTCATACAGAATTACTTATAATTACTTATAACTCTGTATTTTTTCTTTTTGTTCTTCTAAATATACCATACTAAGAAAGTGTTTATCTTCTTGTTAAGTCAGTGGAAAATCCATTACCAGACAGTATATACAGCCTAAAATAAAACTATAGTAATGTCAAACTATAAACTCCTTAAATTATACTCTCAGAAATGCATTTTGAGGGAATTATTTATAAATCCTCTAGCTAGTTTTCAGTTACCTATATTATTTATTAGCTGAAACAAATTTGTCTGGCTTTCTTTTAAATTACTTAATAAATCAAAATTATTATATGCTGGTTTTTAACAACCATAAAAAAGCTGTAAAATGAAATTTTAAAGAGATATAGTAATAATTAGACTAGGTCTAAAGTACTTCACTTACTAATGTAAACCAGAAAAATACCAACCAAAACCTTGCTGATGAAATTATTTCAACTGGTTACCCAGGGGCAAACCTTCCTATTTATATTTGCAGTATTTCTATGATATTATAAAAGGCTACTCAAGTAACAGATTTTATCCAGAAAATTTTACCCTTAAATTATTAAAATCAAAGAATATCATTTTCAAAGTCCTGAAGCTAAATTTGGACATGCTACATTCTATTTAATCTTTTTTTTCTGCTTGAGAATATGTAAGCTTTGACAGTTGATGTAAAATATGAGATGACGTTAGAATGTCTGAGTGATCTTCTTTACTGCCTCAACTAATCTTGACTACTTCCAGAATTTGTCTACTGGTCTTTAAAGGGTGTTTTAAATTTAGCTTTCAGAAAAAAATAATCAGAGATATGATGGATAATACTCTTTCAACATGTCTAGACTGTGGTGCCTATCCTGTTAAACACTGGTCTGTATGTTGCAGTGAAAACATTTTTTTAGATGCTACTGTATTAACATTTACAATCAGTAGACTCTGAGAAGACGACCTTTATAATACAAGTGGGCCTCATCCAATCAGTGGAAGGTCTTAAGAGCAAAGGCTGAGGTTTCCAGAAGGAGAAACAGTAATGCCTCAGGACTGCAACATAAAAAAAGTTTTCTGCCTGCTTATTTGTACTGAAGGTTTTTTTTTTAACTCCAGACTGAAAAATCAAATCTTACCTGAATTTTCAGTAGGCCTGTCTGAACTTACAGACTTCAGATTTGCCAGCCCCCACAATAATATGAGCTAATTTCTTAAAATAAATTTCACTCTATCTCTGTCACACTCTCTATTTATATATTCTTTTATACCCTATAAGTTCTGGAAAAACCCAGATTAATACAGGAAATTACACTAGCCACCACTAGAAAAAAAATAGGTGAAAATATGAGCCAATTTAGTTAGATAAAACTTCTTGCTACTTGGCAAGTGTTATTCTCTCAACATGCCATAAACACCTTTAACTGTTACTCAGTATTTCACAGTAGCTTATTGATCATCTGGTCCCTTCCAATTAAAGATGAGAAAACCAAGGCCAAGAGACATAGAGGTTGAGAGGCTTACCAAAAATACCACACTTTCTTACACTGAAATTCTCAGAAGATCACAAGACAATCAATGATTGTTGTGCAAGTGATGTAATATGAGGTAAGTGATATAGGACAGGGGAAGAAGCTAAACAAAAGTGGACATTAAGATAAACTTTATGCCTCAGCTTGATCCTGTGGGGACACTTTGTAAAGTATTAGACTTCACTGAGTAATGCTGAATATATCCATCTATCCATCAATCTAGTGTATATACTGTATATGTGTATCTCCTCTTGTATGCATACAGTGTGTGTTTGTATCTCCTGTTGGTTTGCTTTTTTACAAGAATGCTCACTAATACACGAAGTGTATCACATTCACCTAGATATACATAGGGATAGGTCATAGGTCATGTGAATCGACCCTAAAAGTAGCACATGTAGAACTCATTATACTTGGACTACTTCTAGAAATGGGATATGTCCACTTCAGAGCCCTGAAGAGAGGAAGTGTTATAATTAAAGCCAACAGTGATTTAAGATAGCCCTGTTAGACTTCTGGTTGGCATTTCTATCAATAATGTAGTTTACCCTCAAAAAAATCACAGGCATATTGAAACTTTAAGGGTCAAATGGTTTAGGATTATTCTACAAAATAAGACAATTAGAAGATATCTCCTCTATTTACCCAAAGGTAGACAAAGCACTGAGCTTCATTGACTATGTCTCCATCAGAAAGTGACTGCAACAGTATAAGTGACAGAGAGGCATGACTGAAGACACAGATAGGTCATGGTGGATGCAAATCAACAAGAATAGCAGGCAAGGAAACTAAGGACCAGTGACTTTTCACTCAGTACTGAAGACTGTAACATAGTTGTGACTTTAGTAAGGTACGGTGATGACATCAAGCCAGCATCAATGGCAGCTTCAAAGACTGAAGGTGTATATCGATGAACTTCTAGAGGCAGATTTCAGTATTTATATTGGTTAGAATCCCAGTCAAGGACACATGGATATTTGGAGAATTTTGGAATAATGATAATGAGGACTACAGAATATTATTGATGAAAACTGTTAGTCAACTTTGAGAGCCATGAAGGTAGAAACAATAAATGAATCCCCATGTGGTTTTGTATTCATTGTGAAAATAATGTAGCTGGACAATAGATAACAGACAGCAAGGAAGAGTAAGAGCATCTTGAATATTGACAAAAATGGCATTCAACAAAAAACATTGTTGCAACCACAGGTGTGGCCAGCAGCGGAAGATGGCTATGCAAAGGATGTTCTAGTGTGGTAGAAGCGCCTCACTTTGAACTACAGAGGTAATCAGATCACAGGAGAACCATCAGATTTTTGGCCAAGTACAGGCCTCTACACAAAGCATTAATGAGAACCAAGAGCGTATCTAAACCTCAAGAAAATATATGAGCATCTGGGCCAAAATATAAATAAAATGACTATGAGCAAAATAACCCTAACAAAAATCTCTATTTTCTAATTTTCAAAATAATACTCTTTCAAGTATATGATCAGCTGTTTTCTTTTATTTTAGTTGTTAAAAATGTTTTGCATAAGGGAAGGGAAACATGATATAGACTTCTTGGTAGAATTTAGTGGGGAAACTCAAGTAAACTTTTCAACTTCATAAGCTCACCATCTTTATTCACATTAACTTTGCAGAAGAAAGCATTATAATAAAGTAGTTTTGATTTTTAAAAATATACATATTAACACAATACGTCATTTTGCCAAAGAGAAATCTAACTACAGTTTCTTAAACTGAATTGCTCACATTACAGTATTATATTAATTATATGTATTATTTTTACTTTTCCTATTAGAACTAACTTGGTGGACAGAGCTGAATTAAAAAAACAGCATTATATATATTTTTAACAATTAGGGTGTAATTTGAAAAAATATATTGGAATGAGAGAAGAATTATTAATATAAATAAACATGACAGGCTTAATATGCTAAACAGAGAACTTACCAAAAAGCATTCTTGATATATCCTATCAGATTTTTGTCATTAAACTTTTCAGGATTTAATTCCACTTTTTCATTTGGCAATATTTTCTCTAAAGTTGTTATAGTAATATGTATTTGTTCAACAATTTTAGGTTTTATTCGTTTGTATTTATTTCTGTATATCTCAATAGTTACACATTTATGAACTCTATGTGACCTTAGTTTCTTATTCTAATCTATAAATCTTATAACTTTTAGACTGAAGGGCTAGATGGAATTGACATTTTCATGAGCAGAGCTCTCATAATTGAGAAAACTGTTTTCAAAATTAATATTAACTTGAATTCTTAAATTAAATACAATGACTAAACACATATACTATTATATAATAATTCCCCTATATCATAGTTTATATAAAATATACATAATTACACAATGCATATTTTAATATGTAACATGTAATTATACAAAATATAATAATACATTAATATTACATATATCATTGTAAATCTATCACAAAGAGAATTTCTATATTAAAAAATAAAATTATAGAAATGTGGTTACTTCAGTAATAATAACAATCTATAATTAGATAATGGATGATAGGTTTCTTTTTACATATGAAGCTCCTTTGGGACAAAACTGTAATTTGATCAGTGTGCTTATTTTCAGGATATTCTTTTAGTATTATTAGAAGTGAATCATAAAACATTTATAGTCACAATCAATTCTGCAGTTACCTCATGGCTGATCAAATTTCATCTACATCCCTACTTACTTATGCTCCTTCTTAGACAAGGCCATATACTCAAGAGAATATAAAATTAGTTAATGAACAGTCATCTCAAAGAGCTTTCAACTAACTATTAAAGTTCTACTTTAAATCAACTGAGGAGAAAGTGAAATAAATGAATTAAAGATCAAAAGAAAATGCTATTACACACCTGTGAGTATGCTGGGAAAGCTCATTTTATAAAAATTGTTTTATAAAACATCTACTCTGAAAGTTTCGGTGACCCCAAGTTATATAGCAGCTCACATATTCCGAGCATGATGGATTGAATTGAGCATGAGATTGGTTATTTGGAGGCTTCATTTTTATTTTCTGAATGTAAACTACATTAAGCAAATCAATTCACCTTTTTATAATATGAGTTTCCCTACCACTTTCTTTAATTTTATATATTCAAGATTTTTTAAAAACTTTCAAATCATAACATAGAGCAGACTGCTAGACTTTTTAAATCTTGCAATACTGCCTTTTGTCTCAAGCATTCTCTGTCCACACTTTTCTCATTGTCTCTGGCATTTATGTGACGTTTGGAAACAATCCACAACTTTTAAAGAATCCACGTTTTATTAGACATGTTGAATCCCCTAAAAGGCCTTAAATAATCTACATTTTTATTTCAAATACAGTAAAAATGCGTACTTTATTCTCACCTCCATAGCTACATTTAATGCAATTCTAGAGCTGAGGCTAATGTATGGGCTGGAGACATTTTTCTTTAGTAGGTTACTCTAACGTCTATGGAGTGAAGTAAGGGAAAATAAAGAAAGGCCATTATACAAATTAATCAGTGTCTGCTCTCACTTATCTTAAAGATGTAACATTTCTGCCTTAATTTATCTGCTGATAACTCTATTTGCCATGCCTTGTTACTGTACAATTGCAATGAAAATAAATGTGAGGAAAATTTTAGCAAAGGTTGCATAATAGTAGGGCTAAAAAAATATTTGTGAACTCCTCCCTCGCTGAACCCATGTTTGTATCAGTATATCTCAAGTCTGAGATCACAGGTTATTAATGTATGTCCAATTAAACTTATGAAGAAGCCTGCCAGTCAAATCTTCTTTGTCTTAATTTACCTTAATGCAGGACCTGACATATTTTCTCTAAAGAAATGAAAATATATTTTCTTCTATAAAATAGAAGTGCTTCAGTAAAGTAGAGTGTTAAAGAAGCCAAGTATCCTGGCTGATTTTTAATATGTTTTGGGGTCTTGCATTCTCTTTTTCTATAGAGTCCCAAAGTGGGTAACTGAAATGGGAATGTGGGACAAAAACTATGATGGGGATTACAGATATAGGTGATTGAGTATTTTCCTGGTTAATCAGAAAACTCTGGCCGGGCACGGTGGCTCACGCCTGTAATCCCAGCACCTTGGGAGGCCGAGGTGGGCAGATCATGAGGTCAGGAGATCGAGAGGATCCTGGCTAATATGGTGAAACCCTGTCTCTACTAAAAATACAAAAAAATAGCTGGGTGTGGTGGCAGGTGCCTGTAGGAGCTCATGAATACAAAGAAGGAAACAACAGACACTGGAGTTTACTTGAGGGTGAAGAGTCAGGGGAGGAAGAGAAGCAGAAAACATACTATTGGGTACTACACTTAATATCTGGGTGATATAATAATCTGTACAACAAACCCCCATGACACGAGTTTGCCTATATAACAAACCTTCACGTGTACCCATGAACCTAAAGTAAACATTAGAAATTAAAAAAAAAAAATAGAAAAACAAAGTTAAGCCTGGGCAACATAATGAGACCCTATCTGTACCAAAAAAAAAGGCTGAGCATATTGGTGCAGTCCTGTAATCCCAAATACTCAGGAGTATCACTTGAACCCAAGGGTTTGGAGGCTGCAGTGAGTGATCACACCACTGCACTCCAACCGGGATGACAGAGTGAGACCCTGTCTTCAAAAAAAAAAAAAAAAAAAAAAGAAAGTAATGTGAAGAAACATGTACCCTCGCACCCAACTTGAAGATGTTTGGACATGCTGTTACCAATTCAACCAACCTCAATGGAAAATAAAATAAAATTTTCTATGTCTGAAATACTTGTCATAATAACAAAGATCAAGACTATTGGATGGAGCTATTAATACTTTGAGTGTTTTAAATTTTCATTGTAATAATAACGTTTTTTTCTTTTCTAGTAAATGTTCAAAAAATAACTTACATAGTAAACATTTGTGATACTAAAAACAATCTGTGCATTTTCAGTACAGATGCATTTTTTTGAAGAATATTTGTTGAATCCACAAATACGGAACGCACAGATAACAGAGGGTCAAGTGTACACACACATACAGCTTTTCAGCTGTTGTCTGTCTTGCTAATGTTTTCAAAGATCAACAGAGATCATGATAAAATAAAGTTTAGCTAAAATTTGTAAAGGTAGAAAAATATCCTGAAGTCCTGTTTTTTATTCTATTCACTAAGAATATTAGAATTAAGTTATCCATTTTTTTTTGGCTTACTTTAAGATCTTATTTTATAGTTCTTTAAAGGAAATTATTTTCTTGGAAACCTTTCGTTTGGATAAGAAGTGGTACAGCCAAAAGACACATTGAAAAATGCTCACCGTCACTGGCCATCAGAGAAATGCACATCAAAACCACAATGAGATACCATCTCACACCAGTTAGAATGGCGATCATTAAAAAGTCAGGAAACAACAGGTGCTGGAGAGGATGTGGAGAAATAGGAATACTTTTACACTGTTGGTGGGACTGTAAACTAGTTCAACCATTGTGGAAGACAGTGTGGCGATTCCTCAGGGATCTAGAACTAGAAATACCATTTGACCCAGCCATCCCATTACTGGGTATATACCCAAAGGATTATAAATCATGCTTCTATAAGGACACATGCACACGTATGTTTATTGTGGCACTATTCACAATAGCAAAGACTTGGAACCAACCCAAATGTCCAACAATGATAGACTGGATTAAGAAAATGTGCCACATATACACCATGGAATGCTATGCAGCCATAAAAAAGGATGAGTTCATGTCCTTTGTAGGGACATGGATGAAGCTGGAAACCATTATTCTCAGCAAACTATCACAAGGACTAAAAACCAAACACCGCATGTTCTCACTCATAGGTGGGAATTGAACAATGAGAACACATGGACACAGGAAGGGGAACATCATGCGCAGGGGCCTGTTGTGGGGTGGGGGGAGTGGGGAGGGATAGCATTAGGAGATATACCTAATGTTAAATGATGAGTGAATGGGTGCAGCATACCAACATGGCACACGTATACATATGTAACTAACCTGCACGTTGTGCACATGTACCCTAAAACTTAAAGTATAATAAAAATAAATAAATAAAAATAAATAAATAAATAAAAATGTTGAAAAAAAAAGAAGTGGTGATCTCAAAATATTTTTCTTACGTTTCAAATACATTTTTCCTAAAACTTATTTACATTCTTCTTTATGAATTCACATATATTTATCTTTTTATCAAAATCAACATTTTACGTTCTTAGTAAGCTGCATTATTTCCAAATCACATTATAGTTAACATACACTCTTATGATGTTATATTTTAATATCTACTATTGTGCAAAGACATAAATACGTTTGATGTCAGTCTTTAATGTTCCTGTCCTTATAAACCTATTTCACAAAGTTCATTCAATGCTCTCTCTTTATTCTACATTAAAACACTATAAAGTGAACTCCAAATGTGTAGTAGCAGCTAAGACACTGCCTAATTATTATACCATTTACAAGGAAACTATTCACATTGGTGAGGTTATATTAACTAATATCTTTATTAGATCAATGATATAATGGACTAAAATATGGCGATAAGCTAGAAGATATCTTCATAGCTCAAATGAGACTGCTGTTGCAAGATAAACAGGAAAGTATAGGCAAAGATATGGACCCAAGGAAGCTCATAGTGATCTAGGAAACAGGGGTTTATGTTAATGACTGGAGCTTAAGGGATATAGAGGTACATGCAAACTTTTTAGGTCAGTTGATCCTAAATAATTAATAATTTTAAAATTCATGATAATTATTTGAGTTTATGCAATGATTTCAACTTTTTAATTTCATTTTATTTAAAATTGACAAATAAAAATTGTCCATATTTACGGTACAATGTGATGTTTCGATACATGTACACATTTGTGGAATGATCAAGCCAACCTAATTAACATTTCAAAATAGCTAAAAAATGATTTTTTTTCTTTTTGAGAAATTAAATCACATATCAACTGTACAAAAGATGTACTTGACATGTAACAGCTATAACAGCAGGATCCTTTAGGGAACAGTTACTTTAGTAGGACACTTTACAGAAGTTCAAATAAGCAAAACTCAGGGTTTGGCTTGGGGCAGCAGGAATGCAAGCAAAAGGGAGGAGACACGTAAGGTTGTAGTTATAGGTGTAATTACTGCTAAAAATGTGGGGGTCTTTGAGATTAGTTGTAATAAATGGTTACCAACATCCAAATTCAAATAACATTGTTGGTTGCTGCACTATTAGTTAAGACATGGAATGCAGAAAGTACAGGCTGCCTATATATATGTGTTTTGCATTGTAACCCCACTTTCAGGATGAAAGTAAGAAAATTATGTGGATTTATCCAAGTTGCAAAGATTATCAACTGACCATTTCAGAAAAAAAAAACTGGCACTGCAAGTTTTTGTTTGTTTATTTTACCCAAGCAATAAATTCATACAACTTTACAACTTTAACTATACAACTATACAACTTTATACAAACTATGCAACTTTATAACTGTATAGTTGTATAGTTTATACAACTATACAACTTTAACTTTTTAGATTTCTAAGTAAGAATGGCAAAGCCAAGCCATATCATATTAAATATTCTAAATATCTAATAAAATGAAGAAACACTATAAATACGAGTAACAACTTTAACCATAGAAATCAAACAAGAAATTTGATAAAATCTTAATTAAAACTATTCAAAAGACATCTGCCAAAGAAACAAGGGAAGTTTATTGTGAGGATGGATGAGACTCTGTGTGGCTCCCAATCCTAGTTTCAACCACCAGAAACAGAAGATGTGTTTTCTAACTCTACAGCTTGGAAATACACATACACACATACACACATACACACACACAGAATATTATCATTATCTTTCTCACCTTCTGACTGGACCAAAGATTAGAAGAGTACAGAGGTGAGACTAGGAAATTGTGAAAAACAAAAAATGTAATGGTAATTTCTCAGTTAAGTAGTAAAAAGAAATTGTCAGTTAATTAAAAGAAGACTCAGCTATATATTGTCTATAAGAAACCCATGGTATTACATTAAAAGGCTCAGGTTGAAAGTAAAGGATTAGAGGAAGATGTATTATCCTAACACTAATCAAAAGAAAGCTGGAGTAACTGTATTAATTTCAAGAAAAGTAGACATGAAAACAAAGAAGACTGTCAGAGATAAAGATAAATGTTAGATTATAATAAAATGGTCAATTGTTCAATTCTTCAAGAAGACATATAATTCCAAATATGTCTGAACATGACTTAAAAAAAAAGTTTCAAAATACATGAACCAAAACTCATAAAACACAAAGGAGAATTAGGAAAATCTACTATTAAATTCAAGAATTCAACACCCTAAGATGACCTAAATAACACTGCTGAACAACTTTATCTTATTGGAATTTATGGAATCTTCCATCCAATAGCAGAGTACACATTCTTTGTAAGCTCACATGTGACATTCTCCATGATTAACCCATATTCTTAGCCATAAAACACACCTTAACAAATGAAAAGAATATAAATTATACAAGTATGTCCTCAGATGACAAAGGATTTAAACTAGGAATTTTTATACAAAGCTGCACAATCTCATAATAGAGATTTTTAAAAACACATTTCTAACTAACACTTTGGTCAAAAAGGAAGTATCAGATAAAAACAATTTCAATTATATGAAAATGAAAATACAATTTATCAAAATTTGTGGGATGTAGTGCAAAGAGTACTTAGAAAATTATAGTATTACATGCACATATTAGAAAATAGGAAAGATTTAAAAAATAACTTCAGTTTCTCCTCTGGAAAACTAGACAAAGAGAAGCAAATTAAGCCTAAAGCAAGGCAAAGACAAAGAAAACAATAGGAATTAGAATGTTCTCTCATTCCTACTATTCATCATCACACTGGATGATATGGGTTGGGTCTGTGTCCTTACCCAAATCCCATCTCAATTTGTAACCCCCACATGTTTGGGGAGGGGCATTGTGGGAAGTGATTGAATCTTGAGGGTGAACTTCCCTTTTTCTTGTCTCATGATAGTAAGTTCTCACACGATCTGGTTGTTTGAAGTGTGTGGCACTTCCCCCTTTGTTCTCTCTCTCTCCTCCCGCCATGTGAAGAACTTCCCCTTTACCTTCTGCCAAGATTATAATTTTCCTGAGGCCTCCCAGTCATGTTTCCTTTTAAGTCTGTGGAACTGTAAGTTAATTAAATCTCTTTTCTTCATAAATTACCCAGTCTCAGATAGTTCTTTATAGCAGTGTGAGAAAAAATACAGAAAATTGGTACCAGGAATAAGGGGCATTTCTGTTAAGATACCTGAAAATGTAGAAGTGATTTTTGAACTCGGTAATGGACAGAGGATGGAATAGTTTGGAGTGTGCAATTAAAGAAAGAATGATGTAGAACGTTTGGAACTTCCTAGAGACTTGTTGATTGGTTTTGACCAAAATGCTGATAGTGATATGGACAGTGAAGTCAAGGCTGAGGTGGTCTCAGATAAAGATGAGGAACTTATTGGGAACTGGAATATAGGTTACTCTTGCTATGCTTTAGCAAAAGGATTGGTGACAATTTTCCCCTCCTAGAGATCTATGGAACTTTGAACTTGAGAGATATAATTTAGTGTATCTGGCAGAAGAAATTTCTAAGCACCAAAGTATTCAAGAAGTTACCTGGCTGCTCCTAATAGCATACAGTCATATGCATTCACAAAGAGATGCTCTGAAATTAAAACTTATGTTTAAAAGAAAAGCAGAGCATAAAATTTTGGAAAATTTGCAACCTGACCATGTGGTAGAAAAGAAAAAAAAATGTGGGGAGAAATTCCAGCCAGCTGCAGAAATTTGCATAAGTAAAGAGGAGCTGGATGTTAGTAGCCAGGACAATGGGGAAAATGTCTATAAAGCATGTCAGAACCTTCATGACAGCCCCTCCCATAACAGGCCTGGAGGCCTAGGAAGGAGAAATGGTTTTGTGGGCCAGGCCCAGGGCACAGGCCCCAACCTTTGATGGCTTCCACGTGGTGTTGGGTCTCTGGGTGCACAGAAGTCAAGAGTTGAGATTTGGGAACCTCTGCCTAGATTTCAGAGGATGTATGGAAGCACATGGATTTCCAGGCAGAAGTCTACTGCAGGGGCAGAGCTCTCATGGAGAACTTTTACTAGGGCAGTGGAGAGGGGAAATGTGGGTTTGGAGCCCCCACACAGAATCTGCACTGGCACATGGCCTAGTAGAGCTGTGAGATAGGGCCACCATCCTTCAGAACCCAGAAATGTAGATCCACTGACAGCTTGCGCAGTGTTCCTGGAAAAGCCACAGGCTCTCAGTGCCATCCGAATAAGCAGTGGTGGGTACTGTACCCTTTGGAGCCACAGAGGTGGAGCTACCCAAGGCCTTGGGAGCTCATGTCTTGAATCACCATGCCCTGGATATGTGACATGGATTCAAAGACTATTTTGGAGCTTTAAAATTTAATGATCTGGTTGTTTGAAAGTCTGTGACACTTCCCCCTTCACTCTCTCTCTCTCTTCCCACCATGTGAAGAGCTTTCTCTTCACCTTCCGCCATGATTATCAGTTTCCTGAGGCCTCCCAGCCATGCTTCCTGTTAAGCATGCAGAATGTGAGTCAAACCTCTTTACTTCATAAATTACCCGGTCTCAAGTAGTTTTATGTAGCCATGTGAAAACGTACTAATTCAATGGAAGTCCAAGTTAGTGTATTAAAACAAATATAAATAAAATCTATCCAGACTAAAAATGAAGAAATCTAACTGTCTTTATTTGCCAATAACATGATTGTCTATGGAGAAAAGTCAAAAGAACCTACAACAAAAAACTCCTGGTACTAATAAGCATGTAGAATATGCATGCAAAATACAAAGTCAATATGTAAAAGTTGGTTAATTTTCAATATAAGCAACAAAAAATGGGAATTTGAAATGTAAAAAAGTACTAATTACAATAGCATCTATATCTATAAACATTTAGATATCAACCTAACAAAATATATACAGATTATAAATGTAGAAAAATATGAAACACTGATGAAATAAATCATAGAAGATCAAAATAATAGATACGTCATGTACATTGATGGGAAATTCAATGGTTAGAATATCAATTATTAACAATTTGATCTAAAAATTAATAAGATTCCAATAAAAACCACAGAACAATATTTCATACTTGTAGATAAACATTTATAATTTACATAGAAAGGCAAGAATCTAGGACAGTCAATAACATGCTAAAGTAGAACAAAGTAGGAGTACTGGCACTACCCCAATTTCAAGACTCCTATAAAGCTTCCTGTAGCCATCTATAAATCTGCAGTAATCAAAACAGTGTTAATAAGAGAATAACACATAGATGAATATGACAGAATAGAGTGTTCAGAAATAGACACATACAAATATTGTTTATTGGTTTTGAACAAAGGACCATGGGCAATTCAGCTAAAAAGAGATAGACGATTTAATAAATGTTGCTGGAACAATTGAACATCCCTATTAAAAAACAAAATTGAACACAGATACAGACCTTATAATTTAACCAAATATTATATTAGCACAAAATAAATCATAGCTCTAAATAATAAATGCAATACCATAAAAATTATAGAGAAAAATCGGAAAAAAATTCATGTGAACAAAGGCTGAAAAACCTTTCAATTTTCAGGTACAATAACAAAAGCACAATCAGAAAAGGAAAAGGTTGGTTTTAGAATGTATTAAGTAAACTTTTGTTCTGTTAAAACCACTAATGCCTAATTGGGTCAACTTTTTGAAAAATAGTTGAAAAATCATATTTCTGAAAGAGGACTTACAACCCAAATATAAAAAGAATTATTAAAACTCATTAAGAAAATGAAATTTCAATTTTAAAATGAGCATAAGATGTGAACAGATATTTTACCAAAGTAGACAGACAGGTAGAAAATAGCATATACAAAACATAGTCAACATAATTTGCTATTAGAGGACTGCAAATGAAAAAATTAAAAAAAAAAAGAGATATGAACACCCATCTATTAGAATGGCTGAAATCCAAAAATTTAAGAATCTACTAACAGGGTTACAGAGCAAAAAATCCCTTATTCCTTCCTGGTGGGAATATAAAATGGTATCTCTATTTTGATATAGTTTGGCAGGTTTTACAAGGCCAAATCTATTTTTTCAATACAATTCAGAAATTTTGCTCCTGGGTATTTACTCAACTTATCTGAAAACTGATGTTCATATACAAATACGCACAAAAATATTGAGAGCAGATCTCTTCATGGACACTCAAAACAGAAAGCAATCAAAATATCCTTTTGAAGGTAAATTATTAAGCAAATGTGGTATATCCCATAGAATGGAAACCAATTCAGTGAAAAAAAGGAATGAGTTTTGAATCCATGCAAATACAAATACATAAGTTTTTTTTTGCTGATGTGTTTTTTTTTTATTATTATTATTTTTAACAAGGTATTGTTCTGTCACCCAGGCTGAAGTGCAGTGGCATATTCTAGGCTCACTGCAACATCCACCTTCTGGGTTCAAGATGTCTCCCACCTCAGCGTCCCAGGTAGCTGGGACTACAGGCATGTGCCACCAAGCCCACCTAATTTTTGTATTTTTGGTAGAGACACGGTTTTGCCATATTGCCCAGACTGGTCTTTAACTCCTGAGTTCAAGTGATCCACCCGCCTCACTCCACCAAATTGCTGGGATTACAGGTGTGAGCCACTGCACCCAGGCTAGATAATTCTTAAATGCATATTTCTTAGTGAATTTACTCAATGTGTAAAGACAACATACTGCACCATTCCATTCAGCTAGTATCCTGGAAAATGCAAAACTATAGAAATTATAGATAAGTGGTTGCCAGGAATTTGGGGAAGGGTATGTTTTGAGTAAGGGAAGTACAGTGAATGTTTCAGAACAGTAAAACTATTCTATATGACACTGTAATCATGGATAGTGGCACTATGCTTTTGTTAAAAGCCATAGAATATTATAGCACCAAAAATAAAAACATAATGTATAAAAACATTTTTAAATAATGTAGGAGAGCAGGGAATTCCAGGATATAATATAGAATGCTACAAAAGCATCTAACCTTGTAAGTGTGTAAAATAACCTCACTGAAAGATGTGGGGTAAATATACTGACCCAAGTAAATTTTAAAATTAAAGGCATTAAGGAACTGTGCATAAGCACTATATTCTAATTGGGAAGGCAATAGAGAAAGTTAAATGAGTAGTATATAAAATCTTTATATAACCTCTTTGCAACTTTTTTGTAAATTTAAAAATGCTCTAAAATAAAATATTTATTAAAAATGAAGAAAACATTATGCCAAGTGAATGAAGCTTATAATTAAAGGTTTCATGCTGAAGTGCAGGTGTATCCAAAAGGATCTTTGCATTGAAACAGGATTCACCATCTAATCTGTCAAAGAAACTCTAGTGCTAGACATTTAAAAAATAACATCCTGAAGAATGAAGAGAGCGCTTCCAAAATGGCCGAATAGGATCAGCTACAGTCTGCGGCTCCCAGTAAGACGGATGCAGAAGACGAGTGATTCCTGCATTTCCAACTGAAATACCTGGTTCATCTCATTGGGACTGGTTGGATAGTAGGTGCAGACTACGGAGGGTGAGCTGAAGCAGGGCAGGGTGTTGCCTCACCCAGGAAGCTCAAGGGGTTGAAGGATTTCCCTTTCCTAGCCAAGGGAAGCCATGACAGACTGTACCTGGAGAAACTGTACACTCTTGACCAAATACTGTGCAACCTGCAGACAAGGAGATACCCTCCTGTGCCTGGCTCAGTGGGTCCCAAGCTCACAGAGCCTTGCTCACTGCTAGCGCAACAGTCTGAAATTGACCTGTGATGTTGCAGATTGGCAGGGACAGGGGTGTCCGCCATTGCTGAGGTTTGAGTAGCTCACAGTGTAAACAAAGAGGCCCAGAAGCACAAACTGGGCGGAGCCCACCACAGCTCAACAAGGCCTATTGCTTCTATAGATTCCACCGCTGAGGGCAGGGCATAGTAGAACAAAAGGCAGCAGACAGCTTCTGCAGACTTAAATGTCCCTGTCTGACAGCCCTGAAGAGAGCAGTGGTTCTCTCAGCAAGGCGACTGAGCTCTGAGAACAGATAGACTGCCTCCTCAAGTGGGTCCTTGACCCCTGTGTAGCCTGACTGGGAAACACCTCCCAGTAGGGGCCAACAGACACCTCAAACAGGTGGGTGCCCCTCTGGGACAACGCTTCCAGAGGAAGGATCAGGTGGCAATATTTACTGTTCTGCAGCCTCCGCTGGTGATACCCAGGCAAACAGGGTCTAGAGTGGACCTCCAGCAGACTCCAACAGACCTGCAGCTGAGGGATCTGACTGTTAGAAGAAAAACTAACAAACAGAAAGAAATAGCATCAACATCAACAAAAAGGACATCCACATCAAAACTCTATCTGTAGGTCACCAACATCAAAGACTGAAGGTAGATAAAACCACAAAGATGGGGACAAACCAGAGCAGAAAAGCTGAAAATTCCAAAAAACAGAGTGCCTCTTTTCCAAAGGATCACAGCTCCTCACCAGCAAGGGAACAAAACTGGACAGAGAATAAGTTTGATGAGCTGACGGAAGTAGGCTTCAGAAGGTCTGTAATAACAAACTTCTCTGAGCTAAAAGAGCATGTTCTAACTCACTGCAAGGAAGGTAAAAACCTTGAAAAAAGGTTAGACGAATGGCTAACTAGAATAAACAGTGTAGAGAAGACCTTAAATGACGTGATGGAGCTGAAAACCATGGCATGAGAGCTTCGTGAACATGCACAAGCTTCAATAGCTGATTCAATCAAGTGGAAGAAAGAATATCAGTGATTGAAGATCAATTTAATGAAATAAAGTTAGAAGACAAGATTAGAAAACAAAGAGCAAAAAGAAATGAACAAAACCTCCAAGAAATATGGGACTATGTGAAAAACAGAAATATACGTTTGATTGGTGTACCAGAAAGAGACGGGGAGAATGGAACCAAGTTAGAAAACACTGTTCAGGATATTATCCAGTAGAACTTCCCTAACTTAGCAAGGCAGGCCAACATTCAAATTCAGGAAATACAGAGAACACCACAAGATACTCCTTGAGAAGAACAACCCCAAGACACATAACTGTCAGATTCACCAAGGTTGAAATAAAGGAAAAAATGTTAAGGGCAGCCAGAGAGAAAGGTCAGGTTACCCACAAAGGTAAGCCTATCAGACTAACAGCAGATCACTTGGCAGAAACCCTATAAGCTAGAAGAGAGTGGGGCCAATAATCAAAATTCTTAATGAAAAGAATTTTCAACCCAGAATTCCATATCCAGCCAAATTAAGCTTCATAAGTGAAGGAGAAATAAAATCCTTTACAGACAAGCAAATGCTGAGAGATTTTGTCAACACCAGGCCTGCCTTACAAGAGCTCTTTTAAAGGAAGCACGAAACATGGAAAGGAACAACTGGTACCAGCCACTGCAAAAACATGCCAAATGGTAAAGGCCGTCAACGCTATGAAGAAACTGCATCAATTAATAGGCAAAATAACCAGTTAACATCATTATGACAGGATCAAATTCAAGCATAACGATATTAAACATAAATGTAAATGGGCTAAATGCCCTAATTAAAAGACACAGACCGGCAAATTGGATAAAGAGTCAAGACCCATGTCTGTATTCAGGAGAGCTTCCTCACATGTGAAGACACACATAGGCTTAAAATAAAGGGATGGAGGAAGATCTACCAAGCAAATGGAAAGCAAAAAAAAAGCAGGGGTGGCAATCCTAGTCTCTGACAAAACAGACTTTAAACCAACAAAGATCAAAAGAGACAAAGAAGGCCACTACATAATGATAAAGGGATCAATTCACCAAGAAGATCTAACTATCCTAAATATATATGCACCCAATACATAAGCACCCAGATTCATAAAGCAAGTTCTTAGAGACCCACAAAGAGACTTAGACTCCCACACAATAATAACGGGAGACTTTAACACCCCACTGTCAATATTAGACAGATCAATGAGACAGAAGGTTAACAAGGATATCTAGGACTTGTACTCAGCTCTGGACCAAGCAGACCCAATAGACATCTACAGAACTATCCACCCCAAATCAACAGAATGCACATTCTTCTCAGCACCACATAGCACTTATGCTAAAATTGAGCACATAATTGGTAGTAAAACACTCTTCAGTAATGCAAAAGAACAGAAATCACAGCAAACTGTCTCTCAGCCCACAGTACAATCAAATTAGAACACAGGATTAATAAACTAACTCAAAACCACACAACTACATGGAAACTGAACAACCTGCTCCCAAATGACTACTGGGTAAATAACGAAATGAAGGCAGAAATAAAGATGTTATTTGAAACCAATGAGAACAAATACACAACGTACCAGAATCTTGGGGACACATATAAAGCAGTGTGTAGAGGGAAATTTATTGCACTAAATGCCCATAAGAGAAAGCAGGAAAGATATAAAATCGGCACCCTAACATCACAATTAATAGAAGTAGAGAAGCAAGAACAAACAAATAGAAAAGCTAGCAGAAGGCAAGAAATAACTAAGATCAAAGCAAAACTAAAGGAGATAGGCACACAAAAAACCCTTCAAAAAAATCAGTGAATCCAGGAGCTGGTTTTTTGAAAAGATGAACAAAATAGACTGCAAGCAAGACTAATAAAGAAGAAAAGAGAGAAGAATCAAATAGCCTCAATAAAAATGATAAAGAGCATATCACCATTGATCCCACAGAAATACAAACTACCACCAGAGAATACTATAAAAACCTCTACGCAAATAAACTAGAAAATATAGAAGACATGGATAAATTCCTGGACACATACACCCTCCCAAGACTAAACCAGGAAGAAGTTGAATCTCTGAATAGACCAATAACAGGTTCTGAAATTGAGGCAATAATTAAGAGCCTACCAACCAAAAAAAGCCCAGGACCACACGGATTCACAGATGAATTCTACCAGAGATACAAAGAGGAGCTGGTACCATTCCTTCTGAAACTATTCCAATCAATAGAAAAAGAAGGAATCCTCCCTACCTCATTTTATGAGGCTAGCATCATCCTGATACCAAAGCCTGGTAGAGACAGAACAAAAAAGAAAATTTTAGGCCAATATCCCTGATGGATATCAATGTGAAAATCCTCATGTAAATACTGGCAAACTGAATCCAGAAGCACATCAAAAAGCTTATCCACCACAATCAAGTCGGCATCCCAATCCTGGGATGCAAGGCTGATTCAACATACACAAATCAATAAGCGTAATCCATCACATAAACACAACCAATGACAAAAACCACATGATTGTCTCAATAGATGCAGATAAGGCCTTCAACAAAATTAAACAGCTGTTCATGCTAAAAGCTCTCAATAAGCTAGATATTGATGGAACATATGTCAAAGTAATAAGAACTATTTATGACAAACCCACAGCCAATATCATACTGAATGGGCAAAAACTGGAAGCATTCCCTTTGAAAAACAGCAGAAGACAAGGATGCCCTTTCACCACTCTTATTCAACATAGTGTTGGAAGTTCTGGCTAGGGCAGTCCAGCAAGAGAAAGCAATAAAGGGTATTCAATTAGGAAAAGAAGAAGTCAAATTGTCCCTGTTTGCAGATGACATGTTTGTATATTTAGAAAACCCCATCATCTCAGCCCAAAATCTCCTTAAGCTGATAAGCAACTTCAGCAAAGTCTCAGGATACAAAATCAACGTGCAAAAATCACAAGCATTCTTATACACCAATAATAGACAAACAGAGAGCCAAATCATGAGTGAACTCCCACTCACAATTACTACCAAGAGTATAAAATATATAGAAATTCAACTTACAAGTGATGTGAAGGACTTCTTTAAGGAGAACTACAAAAGGAGAACTACAAATCACTGCTCAATGAAATAAAAGAGGACACAAATAAATGGAAGAACATTCCATGCTCATGGGTAGGAAGAATCAATATCGTGAAAGTGGCCATAATACCCAAGGTAATTTGTAGATTCAATACTGTCTTCATCAAGCTACCACTGACTTTCTTCACAGAATTGGAAAAAACTACTTTAAAGTTCATATGAAACCAAAAAGAGCCCACATAGCCAAGACAATCCCAAGCAAAAAGAACAAAGCTGGAGACATCACGCTACCTGACTTCAAACTGTACTACAAGGCTATAGTAACTAAAACAGCATGGTACTGGTACTAAAACAGATATATAAACTAATGGAACAGAACAGAGGCCTCAGAAATAATGCCACACGTCTAAAACTATCGGATCTTTGACAAACCTGACAAAAACAAACAATAGAGAAAGGATTCCCTATTTAATAAATGGTGCTGGGAAAACTGGCTAGCCATATGTAGAAAGCTGAAACTGGATCCCTTCCTTACACTGTATACAAAAATTAAGACAGATGAAAGACTTAAACATAAGACCTAACATCATAAAAACCCTAGAAGAAAACCTAGGCAATACCCTTCAGGATATAGGCATGGGCAACGACTTCATGACTAAAACACCAAAAGCAATGGCAACAATAGCCAAAATAGACAAATGGGATCTAATTAAACTAAAGAGCTTCTGCACAGCAAAAGAAACTATCATCAGAGTGAACAGGCATCCTACAGAATGGGAGAAAATCTTTTTAATCTACCTGTCTGACAAGCTAATATGCAGAATCTACAATGAACTTAAACAAATTTACAAGAAAAAAACAAACAACCCCACCAAAGAGTGGCCAAAGGATATGAACAGACACTTCTCAAAAGAAGACATTTATACAGAGCCAACAAACATGCAAAAATGTTCATCATCACTGGTCCTCAGAGAAGTGCAAATCAAAACCACAATGAGATATCATCTCACACCAGTTAGAATGGTGATCATTAAAAAGTCAAGAAACAACAGACGCTGGAGATAAAGTCATACTGTAGTAGGGTGGGCTCCTAATCCCATAAGACTCATGTCCCTATAAAAGGGGACATCTGAAGATAGACAAACAGGGAGAACAAACACTTCTCAAAGAAGACATTTATGTAGCCAACAAACATGAAAAAAAGCTCATCATCACTGGTCATTAGAGAAATGCAAATCAAAACCACAATGAGATACCATCTCATACCAGTTAAAATGGCAATCATTAAAAAGTCAGGAAACAACAGATGCTGGAGAGGATTTGGAGAAATGGGAACACTTTTACACTGTTGGTGTGAGAGTAAATGAGTTCAACCATTGTGGAAGACAGTGTGGCGATTCCTCAATGATCTAGAAGTAGATAGACCGTTTGACCCAGCAATCCCATTGCTGGGTATATACCCAAAGGATTATAAATCATGCTACTAAAAAGACACATGCGCACGTATGTATGTTTATTGTGGCACTATTCACAACAGTAAAGACTTGCAACCAACCCAAAAGTCCATCAATGATAGACTGGATTGAGAAAATGTGGCACATATACACCATGGAATACTATGCAGCCATAAAAAAGGATGAGTTCATGTCATTTTCAGTGACAAGGATGAAGCTGGAAACCATCATTCTCAGCAAACTATCACAAGAACAGAAAACCAAACACCACACGTTCTCACTCATAGGTGGGAGTTGAACAATGAGAACACATGGACACAGGGTGGGGGGAACATCACACAGTGGGGCCTGTTGGGGGGTGGGGGGCTTGGGGAGGGATAGCGTTAGGATAAATACCTAATGTAAATGACGAGTTGATGGGTGCAGCAAACCAATATGGCACATATATACCTCTGTAAAAAACCTGCACGTTGTGCACATGCACCCTAGAACTTAAAGTACAATAAAAAAATTTTTAAAAATCACATCAAGTGACAGCATGGTGAACTTTCTTTACCAGTTTATGCACATGGCTCAAATTAAGTACCCTTCTCCACCCATATAATTGTAACCAGTCAACCCAGTATCCAGTCCTCGAAGTAGAATTTGAACAATCTTTCTTTAAAGTAGCACTTCTGACCTAGAGTTTGTGTAAAGCAAATGGGTCACAAGAACTGTCTGACAGTATATCATAACTTGTAGAAGATCTGCACAAATCTACCCATGTTAAATATAAACAAAATATAAAGAAACAATGAAATTCCATTATTAGAATACATGGGAAACTAGATAACCTAAAACTCTTCTGCTAAAACATAGATAAAATTACTACATAAAATCAAATGAAGTCTTTTAAATGATTAGACAAGACTCCAAAAATGTAATAAGATTTCTCTAAGGCCAGGAATACATGACAAAGGAATTAAGACAATAGTGCCTCTAACACATTTCCTGAGCATATCCAGCGATCTGGGAGGTTTAAATATTGTGTGCCCCACATAGAATAGAGTATACAGTCTTCGTGTGTGTGTGTGTGTGTGTGTGTGTGTGTGTGTGTGTGTGTGTGTGTGTGTGTGATGGAGTTTTACTCTGTTGCCCAGGCTGGAGTGCGGTGGCGCGATCTCAGCTTACTGCAACATCCGCTTCCCAGGTTCAAGTAATTCTCCTGCCTCAGCCTCTCGAGTAGCTAAGATTAAAGGTGCCCACCACCACACCTGGCTAATTTTTGTATGTTTGGTATATACGGGGTTTCACCATGTTGGCCAGGCTGGTCTTGAACTCCTGACCTCAGGTGATCCACTCGCCTCCGCCTTCCAAAGTGCTATGACTACAGGTGTGAGTTCACCGTGCACTGCCAAGAATAGAGTCTTAATGAAGACCAAGCCGTGTAAAGACAGTATGTAGAAAAAACTTACTCAGCAATGCCAGACTGAAGGAAGAATTTTCTTTCTCATCATTAGTTTGGTTGGTACTGAAGAAAAAGGAAATTTCCTTTGATATTTCATAAATGTACGTAAGCTAACATACTTTTGGAACTGAAGATCATAACTGTGTAATGTGAAACCTTAAAAAATAATTCCATTTAGCAAAGAAAAATTTTATTGTGTAATAGATGCTTGGCAGAGGCAAAACACAGCTACTTCATGGAGGAAGACCCCCTAAAATATGCCTCATAGAATACTCATGGAAAGAATTCTTAATCATTAGCTTAAATTTGAGGTTTTCTTTTTTGTGGTGGCTGTTCTTGGCTATCATTGTCCATTTTCTCATTGGACTAGTTTTTTCATTAATATTTAAATATTCTGCATGTTACATTGTCATCATAAATGTATTTTTTCAGAATCTATTATTTGTAGATTTTTCATGGTATATTTTCTATATCCCAAATTTTATTTTTATACATCCTTTGAGTCTTCTGTCTGGGTTGAGAAACTCCTTCTTGACTCAGGATAGTATTAGTAGTTGCACATTTCTTGCAAAATTTTTTTAAAAAATCTATGTCTAAGAAAAAGATTTAATTTATTTCTACATGTGACAAAAGATATGGGTGTTATAGTCTTAAGAAGTTCATAATTCTTAAGATAGTAATTTGTGTCAGAACCATTTATTAAAATCTTGTTTAACATTATTTTTAACTGTAATATAATTGAACACTGTCAAAATTATTTCAAAGAACCATAAAAAATATGTATTAGCAAATACTTCAAGCAAATCGATCAATTTCCCACTTTATCCCACTAGCAAAATTATCAGGTGGAAAATGTGAAATGAGCATGTCTAGTATGCTTAAGGAAATACCAGAAAGAATACAATACATAGCAAAAAGCAATGAAAAAAATAAAAAGATAACAATAGAAATTATAATTCTAAGTAAATACTTAACAGCAGACTAACCAGGACAGAAGATAAAGACACTCGCAATTTTAACTATACAAAATTTACAAATAATGTAGCAAAGAGAGATAAAGAAGTGGAAATTTGGAAATAGCAGTTAGCATAGTTCAGAGTTCCTGAATGAGATCATAGGGTAGACAGCAGAGAGTGATGAAATTTTCTTGAAAGAAACAACAGCTGAGAATTATTCAGCATAGATTTAGCGACAAAGATTTTTATTGTCTGTTACTATAAGAACTACAAACTTAGAAAATAAAAATAAATCTATACCATAGCCAAACGGCAAAATAACAAAGAGTCTTGAAGTAGATATAGAAAAAAAAAGATAGATTATTTGAAGGGAACTACATTGACAGTTGCAACTGTCTCAACAAGGGTAGATAACAGAAGACAATTTCTTCACTGTTCTATGAGAAAATAATTGTCAAACTAGAATTCTTATGTCATGTAAATTCTTTCACAAGAGGGATTGTGAAATAAAAGTATTTTATATAAATAAAACTCCAATCTTTTACCATCAAGAAGCTCTCATTAACAAAATTCCCTGGGAATATTAAAAAATAAATCTCTGATAAGCAAAAAGAACAAATAAATTAAGAAAACTGTAACAATGTAGTTAAATCTAAGCAAAACTTGTCTATACATATCAATAATAATGTTTAATTTACAGAATAAAAAATAAACAGAAGTTTGAGAGGTGGAATAACAATGATGGGGTGATCAGCATTACAGCATAGTTTATTTCAAATTAATGCAAATATATTACTTAACTTTAAATGTTTAAATGTATTGTTACAAGTTAATGACTGTTAGCATAAAAATAAAAATATGTATCTTTCAAAAAGCTGAAAGGCAAAAAAGAGAATGAGGCCAAAACCAACCATAGAACCCTAAATTTAAAATATTAGGAATTGAATAAAACGTAAAATTGTGACAAATAACCCCCAAATTACTTGGTAGAAATAATTTCAAACATATTCATAAGCCAAATGAATATATTTACCCTATTTTTATATAATGTAAATACACTAAATTTTTCAGTTGAAAGCATAGATTCTCAGTCTCACAAAATAGTAACCAAAGCAAAGCAGGTATATTTAATTAAAATAACATTCTGATCATTTATTCTATTAAACACTGTACCAGAAGTTTTAGAAAGGACATTTTGACAAATAAAGTACACGAATGGTAAAGATTTGAAGGGGAGAACATGAGGTAGTTCTCTAGGATTAAATTTACAAAAGAAAGAAAAAAATTATAAAATATTTAATTAAAAATATTAGGGAAGTACAAAGTAATTAATTTTGTAGAGATTGCACTAACTTCATAAAGATTTCAACTCTACCCAAATTTATATAGTCATTGCAATTCTAACCAACATCCCAACAAAGTTATTATTGACTTGATAACTAAAAAATAAAATTTTTATAGAAGTCCAAAGAACCAAGATTATCCAAGACATTTACGATTAAAAATCAATAGAGTGAGTATATTTGACCTAGAATAAATAAAGGTCTTACAAACTGAAGTCATTAATATAATATGTGGTAAGATTCTGACATGGTCATGAAGAAATAAATAAATGGCACAGAACAGAAAGCTAAGAAACATATCCACACATATATAAAAGTTATTAATATATCACAGAAGAGTCAAAATAGGTCTTTGGAAAAAGAATGGACAATTTAATAAGTGATGGGACAAATGATCATTGGCATAAAAAACCCATAAAACAGTTTTTATAAAATTCGGTGTCAATATAGAAATTTATTTTATAAATTAGAAAAGAAAGATTTTTTTAAGTATATAGATTTTCCCCATTACTTGGAGAAGAGGAAGCATATCTTAACAGGACACATCAAGTGTGATCATAGAAATGAATATTGAGCATTTGATACTGTCAAATTAATAACTCATATCAATTAATTGACACCACAAGAAAATAAAGAGAAAAGCAACTAACTGAAAAAATATATATGTTTGACACTTATAATAAAAATAAAAATATGTAAAGTCTCTACTTGTAGTAAAAGCAATTTTCTAAATATTATCTCTTTAGCATAGAATATCATCCAGCAGTATACCAGGGATTTTATTTTACATTTTATCAAGGTAAAAACTATGGCAATTAATTTCACCAAATCTGATAATGACAGGGCAAGATGTAAGCATCCAGGGAGTCTAATATAATCTAATATTATAAAAAATGTTAGTGGTGTATTGATAACCATTCTCTGTATTCCGTTAATGGACTGCATATGGATTGCATGCTCTAGTTCATGGATAGGATCAGAAAACATTTCCTCCCTAGTAACACAGAGAGTTTGCTGTATATATAATTTGATATCTTTAGATTGCATAGTAACACATTTCCCAAGTACTTCCGATATGAAATTCAACTTGAAAGTTAGATTTGTGTGCTCCAGCTCATGAACTTGACACTATTCTGACTATCACCATGGGTAAGTTATTCTCTGCATGGTATCGAATTTTAGAAGTTAATCAGAGATGCTACATGATTTCAGCTACTTGTGAAATGTGCAAATGGAGATTTGATAATCCTCCGGAAAATATTTTTTCTGACACAGAAAAAGGATAGATATGTAGCTGTAGCTGATTTGCATTTTATTGTTTCATATAACGTGACTAATTTAGATAAAATTGCCAAATTGTCTACCGTTTATCATTTGCTTACAGGCTCTGAGTTCTGTGTGTCATCCCTCCAGTGATATAACAATTTATAAGGAAGTTACAGGAGCAAGACTATTGGTATTAATGGTAATTAAGACTAAAGACAATGCCAATAACTCTGAGGGATAGGATATTGAATTTCTTTCCAATAAAAAGTCACTTAAAATCATAGCTTGTGTACCGCAATATATTATAGTATCTGATTTTGTTTATCTATATTCACCACAATACCATAAGCTTCATGAAAACAAGGACTTTATTGAAGCTAACAGTGTGTGTAACATGACAGGCCCTAAATAAATATTTGCTGAATGAATAACTAAATGAGTAAATGAAATGATCTTTTTCTCCTTGATAAACAGGTTATACAAAAGCAAATATAAGATTAACCAGATTAAATAAAAGATTGCTTTTTTAGTGTTCTGTGGTAGATATGCTGTGATCTAGCCAATTTGAATTCTTAGTGTAGTATCAAAACACACATCCCATAATACTGCTGGAGGGAAAATGGCATTTAGGATTAGAATTAATTTTTAACTGATGCAGTTCCAAAATGTTCTAAGCATAAAAGCTATGAAAAACTGAATTATTTATTATGGTTCTTACAGACCTTTCTTTTCACTGAGAGTCCAGGTAAGTGCAAGTTAATTATAAAAATTGTAGGCTGGGCGCGGTGGCTCACGCCTGTAATCCCAGCACTTTGGAAGGCCGAGGCGGGGGGATCACAAGGTCAGGAGATTGATACCAACCTGGCTAACATGGTGAAACCTCGTCTCTACTAAAAATACAAAAAATTAGCCAGACGTGGTGGCATTTGCCTGTAGTCCCAGCTACTCGGGAGGCTGAGTCAGGAGAATCACTTGAACCTGGAAGGCGGAGATTGCAGTGAGTCGAAATCGCGCCACTGCACTCCAGCCTGGACGACAGAGCGAAACTCTGTCTCAAAAAAAAAAAAAAAGATTGTAGGTGTTCCTTAAAATTTGGGGGTTTTCATTTATAAATCGCATTGCAAAATGTGTTTATATACAGCATAACTTCATAAATTTGATTCAATTTCCCAGAGAAACATGGGATTGGTGTATTATTAACCAGAACATAGTATATATTATAAAAGTACTAAATAAAGGATAATTTAGTGCAAATTTCTGCATTAACTGTAAGGCAAGAATAGTTTCCAGAGCTTACATAATAGCACATAAGTGTGTTATATACTTGCACCTCCTAAAATAATAGATGTATAAGTATATATTCAGGACATTAAACAATTGTTTTGATTTGTATGTTAAAGATTTGATCTAAATGACAGTAAAAATTTAAAAAATAATTGTTTTGGTTTTCATTTTAAAATTTCACGCTATTTAAGAGAATGTTCTAGTTAACTGTAAAATGATGTTGAATTAAGATTTCTTGGATTTTTCTTTTTCAAGGAGTAAACTTTCTATTTATTACGTTTATTGAAAGTGTTTTCACAAATTTTAAGATCACCTCAAAAATGTATAATTGTCAATGTCTATATTCTTGTTGGTGATGGTAGTGATAATGATGACAAGCTTTTAAGAAGTTTAGAAAATAATCAGTTTTCTTGTCTTTATTATTTCCTAACAATCACTTTTCTTTCAAAAACTAAATTAACATATGACAGGTATTCCAATTCCAGTCTTCATTGAAAAAACGAAAAAGGAAATCTATTATCAATCGTTTTCAAACTTTTCAGAGGATTCTAAACCTCCTCAACAGACTGCTAAAATATGCATTAACATTTCAACAGTATATGCTTAATTGTCATTGCCCTTTTACTCAGTGAATGAATAAACGCACATGGGGTATGGGCACTTATTAGGAAATGTTGAATCAATAGAGAAGGAAAATACAAAATTTTCTACTTTAGTAGGTAAAACTTATATTGATGACTTCAGGAAAGGCAACTTAAATAAAAATAGCTAATGTATGTAAAATGTAAAGTATGCATGTGTTACGATTTGATATCATTTACATGAGCCAATAATAACTGAGTGAAGTATTATAAGTACCATTATGCAAACCATTTCACAGATGAGAAAACTAAGGTCCAGAGAGATTAAACAACTTGCCCAAAGTTACACGCATACTAAATGGAAAAACTGAGACTTAGACACAGGTAAGCTGGTCCAGAGTCTACTTTTTTTTAACAACTAGCATTCTGCCCTAGCATTGAATTTAATTGATTTGAATTGGAACAATTTTTGGGTCAGCAGCTAGTGCTTTACTGAGAAAAAGGCAAAGATAAATAACACACAGCTTCTGCCCTGAAGCAGCTTTCAATCTCATAGCCATTCATAAATATTGAACACTTAGAAATGCATTCACAGATCTTTGGTATGCAAAAATATCTTTTTTGTATGATTTGCTATTTAACACCTCTACATGTTTTTATCTCTCTTCTTTGAATTACTTAGCACTAAGTTGGCTGGGTTGCTTATTTTGGCACCCAGTCACCTATTTTCTTATCCCATTAATTGCATTCAGAGTCACTCACTCAGGCAACTTTATTGAATGCCTGTATTGCTTAAGAAACTGTGGTGACACTATTTTTGCCTTTTCTCAACGAAAAGTCTTCAACCTGGGGCCCTGGGGTACATAAAGACTTTCTATCAGGTTGGCATGCACCAGTAGTTTCAATGGAATTGATTCCTAGATTCTCGTTCTCATATATGCCTTTTTTAAAAAAATGATCTGAAAACAAATCTAAATTCACATAATCTGCTATCAATATACACAATTACAGGCACACCTTTCTCTGAACCTAAATCTTAATACTGTTTATTAACCCAAGGTTTATAAAACTTCGGGATGTCAAACAAATGGATACACATATATAGAATACAGAAAATTCTCCTTTAATCTTTAATCAAAGCTGTCTTAAACCTTAAAATATTTTTTTCTCTTTACACACACAGAAACACACCATATCAATACAAACACACACACAGTGTTTTATATTATTAATGGATATTTTGATCCATGCCTCAAGATCAAATTTAGAATAGCCAAAGCATAAGTTACTGATGTTCCTATTTTGAAAGATTAATAATTCATACATTTTGCAGGAGTACTGAACTCTGCCAGTAAACAAAATACATGGTATGGTTTGGACCTGTGTCCCCACCCAAATCTCATGTTGAATTGTAATCTACATTGTTGGAGGTGGGGCCTGGTGGAAGGAGACTGGATCATGGGGGCGGTTTTCTCATGAATTATTTAATACCATCCGCTTGGTACTAACCTCGAGATAATGAGTGAGTTCTGGTGAAATAAAAGTGTGTGGCCCCACCCCCTTCTCTCTCTTGCTCCTGCTTTCTCCAAGTGACTTGCCTGCTCCCCCTTCACCCTCTGCCACAATAGTAAGTTTCCTGCGGTCTTCCCAGAAGAAGATGCTGCTGTTTCCTGTGCATTCTGCAGGACCATGTGGCCATTAAATCTCTTTTCTTTATAAATTAGCCAGCCTTGGATATTTATTTCTAGTAATGTGAGAATGGACTGATGTAATACATTTTTTATATTTGTTTTATTCAATTAGGTAGTTAAAGTTGACTTTATAAATATATTCAGTATTTATTACTACTTTAATCAGTACATTGTTTCAAATTTTAAAATGAAATATCTAATATTTTTTATCACTTATGAGTAATAAATTTATTTAATCTTAGGATGGACATCTTTAGTTGTCACCCCTAAAAAGGAAGGGAAGTACAGTGTTCCAGAATTCTTTTAGGTATGTGTAGTTAAAAATTTGAAGGCTACTACTCTAAAAGTTTAGCTCTTAGAGAACAACTTCCTGTGAATCTACAGTAAAATATTGTGACTTTTCTACTGAAAATGAATTATTGAAAGACATTTGAAATATTAGAAGTTGTAAAGAAACATATAGGCTAATACTCCACTGTAACATTTCACAGTAAGTAGTAATTCAGTTATGGTCAAAGTTAAATCATGTCCCCAAGGATGGCAATGGAGGATTCAAATCCTTCTCAATAGCACTGAAAGGGTATTTATTGCTACAGCAATATTGCATAACATTCACAAAATCTCACTGATATACACTTATTAGCATTTATTTCACTTATATGAACCCCTTAACAACTAAGAGTAGCCATAAATAGAAGATCTTTTTGATTTTGGCCGAGGTGACTTATGCACCTGAGTATATGCAGTGATAATTGGGGCAACTCAGCTCTGCCCCATGTGTTTCTCATCTTCCAGTAGCTAGACAGTGAATTTCTTTTTTACATACAATTTAAAATTGTATTTTACATTCAGGGGGTACATGTGCAGGTTTGTTACATGAGTATATTGCATGACACTGAGGTTTGAAGTACAAATCATCCTGTCACCCAGGTAGTGAGCACAGTACCTAATAGCTAGTTTTTCAGCCCTTGCTCTCCTCTCCACCTCCCCTCCCTAGTAGTCCCCTGTGTCTATTGTTCTCATCTTTATGTCCATATGTACCCAATGTTTAGCTCTCACTTTTAAGTGAGAACATGAAGTTTTTGGTATTCTTCTCTTGTGTTAGTTCATTTGGAATGATGGCCTCCAGCTACATCCATGTTGCTGCAAAGAAAATACTTTTATTTTTTATGTTTTTATCAGCCAGTGCATTTCTTAAGGCAATGAAATAAGTATAGGAGAATGAGTAAAAATATTCACAGACTTGGCTTAGTACCAGCATAATGTCACTTCCACCTTACTTCATTAGTCAAAATTAGTGAAATGACCAAGCCCATATAGGTAGGGAGGGCACTACAAAATACCATGCCAAAGAGCATGGTAACAAAAAAGAGTAAAAAATTATATTCAGGGCCAGTTTTATCATCTACATCAGATGTACACAGTATTGAATTATTTCCCTTTATTAATTAAGCAGAAGGATGAAATCTTAGGTAGTTTGCCTAGATGTTAGCTTTGGGCATATTTTTTACAGCTCTGAGTTAGGTGACTATGTTCTAGATGTCCAAATCTGAAGGGGAAAAAGAAGAACACTTCACTTTATATATAATAAGTAATTTTCAAGCTATACAATTTAATATACAAGATAATTAAAATATGTACCATTAAACCTAAAGATAAAAAAGAAAGATCTTACAATGTGCGTAAGGCTTCTAGACCAGTGGTATGGCCTAGGACCAATTTGACTATTTTTTCCACTTTTTATATTTCCTGTATTTTCTATCATTTATTACATGTGTGGTACTTTTTTCCTACTTTTTATATAAATATGATGAATTTTTATCATAGCTATAATAGAAAAAGCATGAAAAATATTCTGGAAATAAAAATGGGTTAATTATAACACTGAGCCTAAGTCTTTATATCCCTAGTCATTTTTTTAAATGCATGAACTTTTATTTTATCTTCTTTGTACTCAGATATATTATAGGTTGGTGCAAAAATAATGGCAAAAACTGCAATTACTTTTGCACTAACCTAATAATTTATATGACAAATTAAGAGCGTATTTGATTTCAAATTTGTGGTTAAACAAAAAATTGTAAGTGCTTGTTAGAAAATCCCTGGAGGCAGAGATAGTTCTGGATGTACTTATAGATGTCACAGTAATTTCACTGTTCAACAAAAAAAAGTAAATTATTATTTTTAATGTCTGAATAAAAAAGCTTTATATAATTTTAGTTCAGAAATATAAACAAAATAAGGAAAATAGTGTATTCACATAGGAAATTAATTACCAAATATATTAAGTCATCTAACTTGTTAGATGGAAATATGGTCTGTCTTTGTGAATATTTAAGACCATATCAAAAAAATATGAGCATAATTCTTGATATTCTGTTACTGAAATATAATATGGTCCTGATGATGATGGGGACAAAAGTATCTTTTTTTTCTCCAAAAGAGCAATGATTAATTAAAAGCAACAAGTTTATGATGGTAAATCATCTTTCATTTCCTCCAAACAATACATTCCGTTCTAGCCTTAATGTCCAGCTTTAAATTCCATTAATGTTAGACCATTCTGTGAACAAATTTTCAGGGTCTTCCTCATGAAAATCACTGGAGATATTTGGGATTGAAAAGGGGGGGTGAAGAAATAACTAATGGGCTTCCTTAAGTTGCTTATGAAATATTTAAAGATACATAAAGACATAGAATACAAATAGCTAGAAAATTAGTGTCTATGATAACTAAGAGAGAAATAGATAATGTAATCTGGGACTTTAGGGGATGGGGCAATAATACTATAGCATATGAATGCCACTGGAAAATAAGGAATATAACTCAATCAGATAAATAACAAATGTTTTTAAGCATCCTCAATAGCCCCAGAAGTTTGCTAGCAACTGTGATAGAAAACTAAACAAAACAAAAATATAGTGCCTGCACTCCATAAGTTTTTTTAGTGACCTAGTAAAAAAATCGATTCATTTTGTAAAATTTAAATACTTTATTGTATGGTAGAGAATGTAAGTGCATTCGGGCTAGGGAAAAAGAGATCAGGGGAACCTGGCAGAAAATAATTCATCGAAGAAACAGAGCCAAAACTGAACTTGGTAAGCCAAGGAAGACACTGGCTGTGAGGAAAGGGCATGTGAAGTGATGAAGAGCTCATAATGAGTGTTTGTGTTCCAGGACTAGAGAGCAGATATATTAATTTTTATAACAGGTACTTTTTTTTTTTGGAGGAAACAACAATGGGCTAAACATATAATAGAAAGGCAGACAAAAGGAGACAATGGAAACACATCTGGGTTTAAAATGCATTTAGGAAAACTTCTAGTTTCATAAAGACATGAATATTTATTTGGCAGCTAAATGCAACATGGATTGGAACAGGCAGAGAGAGGAGAAACAGATGACAGAAAAAAATTGAAATGCTTTTCCAATACAAAAGCATATTCCATTCTTGCTCCTTTTTCGGAAATGAAGAGTTTATTTCCCCAGCTGCTGCCAGTGCTGCCAGCAGACAGCTCAGTTGTCAGCCCCCTTGGAGATTCCTTGAGCCAAAGGGAACCACTCTACCAAATACCAGACCTCCCTCTCAGGGTGACCTGCATCTAATTTTCTTGTTCCCACTGGGGAGATTTCTGAAGCATCATCCCATTTACTATGACTACATTGGAGCTTGACGTCTTTCTCTGTCCAATCCTGATGCCTTGTCTTCTCTTCCACAGGTCATCTGGCGAGCACCCCGGTATTTCTCCCGCACATTAATTTCCTTGGAGTCCACTTCACACGAGCCCAACTGGCAGACATTCTCTCTTTTTTTCTCTTTATAGAACTATAAAACTGTGTTATTTGAGTTATACATTACCATAATGGATGCGGTAATAGTGCTTTGTCAGCTGTATCTCCCTGTTGGCTGTCTCTGCTTTTGCCTTGAGGAGCTATTATTGTACTGTAGCAAATGTTAAGAAAAAGAGTAGACTTCTATCTTATTTATTAACAATGGTGAGTAATTATATCTTAAAACATTTGTCCACTCCATTTACCCTCCATAACATAGTTTCTTGCCAAGAAGACATTATTTAAGAGAAATTGAAAGAACATATGCATTGTGCACTGCCCCAGTATCACCATCACCTCCACCTCTACTTCCTGGGTAATCCTGTGTGCTGAATTACTCACTTTCTAACCCAGCTCTTCATTTTTCAGCAAAGAAGAATTGTGTTTATAAGATGTGTGAAAAGAGAAGAAAGATGTTTGTCAGTAGGTTGGTTTACTCTGTGAAAGTAAGTGTCCTTAGGACGCATCACTTCTGTTGTAAGAGTCTTAATGGGAATAAGCTTTAAGTGGAACCAAACAACTTCAAATGCCCTGTTATTTATCATCTCACATTCATTAAAAAAAGTGTGTGAAGAATACTCTTTTGAAATGCTGTATTTTTTAAAAATGTATTTGTATTAAAAATAATAAAAGTCATTTTGACCATTAGTAAAGGTAATAGGTTTTAATTAAGATATTGAAAAGAACAAGTTCACTTAAAGAATAAAGCAAGTATATTTGGGGCAAATTATTCTTTGAATATTAAAGGAGCAGAGCCTTTAATGAGCTAAAAAATTACCATTATTTGTCTCAAACATTGTTTTCTCATTGGCTTATAATAGAAGAAAAAGCCTCATTTTTGGATATGCAAATTTGCAAGAAAAGCTAACAGGTCACAACTTTTATCATTTAATTCATTTGAAGGAGAATACTCCAATTAAAGTAAAAATGGTTCACAGTTTTAGTCAGAAACATGAGTCTGTGGCCCATCCACCAGATTAAGTATTGAGAGCTTAATTAGCCAATTCAGTACTAATTTCCAGGGAAGTATCCAGCTGAAGTCAAAAAACGAGGAAAGACTATTCAAGGGAATGTTCTTCTCTATTAGGCCTTACAAGTGAATTTAATAGTTCTGAATTTAAAAACCTTAAAATAAATGTTTTTGCTATATACAATTTTAAGTTATGTTATATTACTTTCATCTCCAAATATATCTATATCTAAAAATTAACCTATTTAACTTGTGCAAAAATTTACTTAAATAAGATGTATTTTGTTAAAAATAGTAAAAACTTGTATTATTTTTATTATTATTATCATCTCAAATACTATGACACAGAGTGATTTATACACACAGTATTTAGCAAAGATGTCAGCTTTAAAGATCCAGGCTGATCAACAAAAAGTATTCATTTTTATTCTGATAACCAGTTAATGGAAACCATCCTTCAGCTGGGAAAAAGAAGCGATGAGCTTCCACAATCTAATAGCTAGGTAGATATTAACTGAAACAGCCTCAACTCTATAATATGCAAATGTAATACAATTTTGTGAACATTTAATAGAGATATCAAAAATTCACTCTATCTTATGTCTAACTTCTTAGGTTTTGAAAGTGATAAAAATAATCAATAGTTAATATTTCAAAATATTTACTCTAATTGCCAAACATTGTTTTCTGTCAGATTGTTTATTCTGCAACATACCCATAAGCTCTAGTCTCCAAACCTCTGTGACTAAAATAATCAGTTGATTACTTATTAACGTATTTTATTCGTCACTTTACAATTTCTTGAAGCGATAACATTTTTTTAATGATAGACTATGTTTTTCTCCAAAAGTCCTCGCTGTCCTGGTAACTATATTTTATTGTTATGGCTTATAATTACTATGCAGTGAAAATTCGACCAATGCTTCCAATATCCTCTCAAAAAGAATAAAATGTTACAGAAACAGGAGTCTAAACAGAAACAAATCTAAAAATGGCAAAAGGATAAGGAAATAACTATAGTATAAATCATAGGCAATTAACGAAAACTCTAATATATCTTCTTGCATACTAAATATCTTTATTCCTGTATATGAACTGATTCATATTTCTAAGGATTTTATTCTCAAACAATATTCTTCTATGCAAAATTATATAGCACTTTAGTTTATTAGAATAAATCAAAAATTTGTTGAAGCTTTACTTATAATCCCTAAGTGTATCCTGCTAAAATTATCAAATAATATATTTATATAATAAAGTTACTCTCACTGAGAATGGTATATTATTTGCCATTATCTATGTAGAATGATTTTATAAAAAGAACAACACAAATTTAAATGATTGAGTGCATAAGGAGTTGTTTAATAAATCCCAAAGCAGTTAAAGAAACGTCAGAAAAGTTTTCAAAAATTTACTGAAAACTATAAACAAAAATGGCCTTTAACTTTTATAAAACCATAAGATTTTCTTTTAAAACTATTCATATTTATATGTACTTTCCTGTCATCTTCTTAGACTGTTTACAACCTGAAAATAAATGCTGCTTTGATAACTATTTATATTTAGTAGATATTTGCTCTCTCTTAGTAGAAGCTCAATATATATAAATTGACAATTGTAAAATCTACTAGTTTCATAAAGTACTTGTGGCAAGTTTTGATAACCATATCTCTGGATATGCACTGAATATAATTCAGCTTTGCAATGACCAGATGACTCTGGAGAAGTCCATGCTCAATCTCCTGGATTCCTGGAACAGCAAAAGGCCTAACAGCAGAAAGAGTAGGGCACAAGAAAGCCACCTGGGGAGCAATGCTGTTTGTTAGGTCTATGTAGTTACAGCCTGAGTAATTGCAGGGTGCTTGTTCTAGGAGCAATTTTGTTTTCTAGGTCTCTGGAGCCCTGCAACAAGCAATAGATCAGACTAGCCACCAAGGAAAGAGCTCATGTTACACAGCCCTACATATGGCAAGGAAGGCAAAAATGGCCAAGAATGGGAATCAATCTTTTTTACGGGCTCCATTTGAAAACCAAAGTAATATCATGTGGTACAAGACTAAGTGACCCACCTTGGGACAAATGCAATTGTACCAATTCTTTGAGCATGAACATAGCTTAGTGGATATTTGGTTGAATGATACGTAGCCCTTAACTATACGGTTGGGAGCAAGTTGTCTCTTGTAAGAATGAAATGTTTTGCACCATTATTTTCTAGGTTGGGTTATATAAACAAGGCTGTTTTATTTTCTATGTGGTGGGTTTAGAGAGAAGAATACATACTAGTCTACCACTATTTAGTATTCAGTTGCTAATGTGCAGTGGTTTTTTTTCCAAAAAAATTTCGCTTACAATTTTCATTTTTTATACAAGGATTGAGTCTATCCAGTAATTAGCATTGAGTGAGGCTTACCTGAGGAATCTTGCATCTGAAATTCATCTTCTTAGAGAGAATGCCTGTGTGGCAACTGCTAAGTACTAAGCAGTCAGGTACCCAAAGAAAACAATCAAAAAAGTAAAAAATGAATAAGATGAAAATGAATTTTATCTGAAATGGGTCCCAATGATTACATTTTGCATTTCATAACCACATGTGCTTTGTAAAATATTCAATCTTAATGTAATTGTGTTATAATGATTGCAACAGGTAAACATGGGAGGAAAATGGAAAGACTAATAAAATCAGCAGAGAAGTGATTTTATATCTCTCTTCCACTCAAAGTTATGATTGAGGCCAAAGAGAATAATGAACAACTGTTGTGTCCATTGAGGTAATTAGGGAGTTTTAGGAAGAAATTTAGAGAGTCAAAGGGCAGAGTCTCCTGCGTAAGCAAAGTAAACTCCAATGACTGAAAAGCCTAGGACAGTAAGCGAAAAGTGGAAAGAGTAGGAATGATGAGAGAGGTAATTTTTAGAGCAGTAGAAATACTGTCTGTACAAACATACCTAGTGCTTAAGGTTAGTAAGTAACATGGTATCATTTTCTCAATTATAACACTGAGGGTCAGATTAAATGGCAAAATGGACAACCATCAGGAGAAAATGAATCACAAAAGTAAAGCAACCTGTTCCTATGCATGTGGTACTTCCAACTTATTGATACATGTAGATGTCCAAAGAAGGACTGGTGGTACGCATTCCCTTCAGTCATATCATACAGGCTTGGAGCGGCTTGATCTTTGAGAACATTCATTGCTACCCAGATTATTGGTGCCTTTCGACAGCTCAATTCAAGGAAACTGACCTGGTAAACTTCTTGTTCTACTGCTCAGTTAAGATATTCCAGAGGATACCTCAAGCCCAGCATTGTCCTTTTTCTGAGCTTCACAATCAGGTGTTATAGCCATTTAAATTACTGGAAAATAGCTCGGTGTGGTAGTGCACACCTGTCGCCCTAGCTACTGGAGAAGCTGAGGCAGGAGAATAACTCAAGCCCAGGAGTTTGAGGCTGCAGTGAACTGTGATTGTGCAACTCCAGCCTTGGAGTCTTTTAAAATATTGTAAATATTGATATTTGAATTTTCATATATATGGATATATATATATATATGTATATAAAAATAGACAACATTTCAGTGAGGCAGCAAGTAGGTACTATTTACCACTGTTAGATACTAGAATGCTAGACATCATGCTATACTAAGTGGTTTCAGAATAATGGGGTAGTCTGTCCCTGGTAACAACCCAAATAAGATAATCTTATTGTGCATAACACCAAGGAGGCTTATATACCATTTCCAACCACAGTCACAAGAAATACATGAGTGTGTGTGTAAACATAGATAAGCTTATCTGTATTTCAAGTAGACTTAAATCTAGCAATTTCGTATCCACTTAGAGTTGAACAATGACAAAACTATCAAAATATTAATTACGATCATCATATAGGTAGTTGAATTACTTTAAAAACTAGACTTTCAGTTTCACAAATAAATTAAATCCATTACTCCCTTCTTTGTTTAGTTGTGGGGCAGAAGGAAGAGGAGAAGGAAGGGAAAAGAAGTAATGATAAAACATTGATAATAATAATTAATATTTATTTAGCACTATAAAAATTTAGGCACTATTTTAAGACATAACATGTATTAATGCATCTAATTATCTACCTGGAATACAGGAACTACTGTTGCTTACATTTTCCAAATTCGAAAATTTGCACAGAGAGAATCAATAACGAGTTCAATCTGATGCAGTTACATAGTGTCAGGGACAGAGGATAAGCCCTGGCCTTCTGATACCAATGCCTATATGAAAATGAACAATCTGACTTAGGTGTTTTCTGAAGAGCATTAGATAAGAATGTCAAGGTGAACAGAGACAGATCCCAGTATACTGCATAACTGACTGATAACCTAAAGTTATCAACAACAGAGGAGATGGACTAAAAGTTAACAGTATATCCCATTGCATTCATACTTATAAATTACTCTGTATTGTCAGCAATATGATACCTATTTCCAAGACTTATAAACAGTATGTAGTTTTCCCTAGGCTTAATTAATTCCTTTTTTTCCTTCATAACATTTAAAAATTAAAGAACCACATCAGAAAACACTTAAGATGAGGTACCTGAAATTTTTGGTTTAAGGCATATTTGTGTAATGTTTATTTTGATATCCAAAATTAGAAGTCAGATAAGGCACAAGTCTACACAATGATTTTGACCAGGACTTGTTCTTAGTATAAATTTGTATCTACCTACTGTTATTATATACTGTTTACTATCCACTGTCACTATCTACTGAGCTTTTGAGCTTGAAAAACATAGAACCTAAAAAAAAAAAACTAGAACTAATGTCACCCCATTGTTTAATTTAAAACTATAACAAAAAGCTGACAAAATTATTTTTCTTGTGGCTAGCTGCATCTCCTTAAAATGTACACCCTGTAAAGGATACTTTTAAATCATATTCTGAAATTTCAGTAATATAACATTCATTGACATTAATGGAAACTGCCCTGCTAAAACATCATATGATGTTTTCCTAATGCACCCTACAATCCCCAGTGACCAATATGGCCATAACATATTGATTCACTCATTACTGCCTGAAGCTGCACAAGAAGAATAAACTAGTGAACTGTTAGTTCCTAGTTTTATTATTCTGCTTCAAAATGAAAAACAAATACCCTTTTCTACTATTAAACTTGCACCCTATAACTTAGGAATTACAAATAAAAACAATTACATCATAATTCATGTTAAAAGGGCAATACTGAATTTCGTCTTATTGAACAAACTCTTGCCACATCAAGATTGAAGACACTGAATACTAGCCATGATCTCATGACCATTGAGTAAATATTGCTTTATTGCAAACTGGGATTCTGAAGTATACAGCAACTGACCTGAAATCCTTTCAAGTACAATGATCTAAGAAGGATGTTTAAAGCAATCCTTCCTTATGTAAGAATTTCTCAGATGTCTGCATCTTTTTCCTTACCTAGTACTTATAAAATTGTGTTCATTATAGCACAAAATGCCTTGCAATACATTAATAGTGATTCAAAATATCTTTGTGACTTTGTTTCATTTTTGAAAGAAGATATAATTAGTTATCTTAGAGAGATGTTAAATACACACATCCATGATACTAACATATATATGTATCATATATGATACACATACTAACATATATATGTGTGTATCATATATATGATACACATACTAACATATATATGTGTGTATCATATATATGATACACATACTAACATATATATGCGTATATATATATACACACATATATGTATATATATACACACACGTATATATAAATATATATATATGATACTGTTCCACAGACATATGAGTGATTTTAAGGAAATCTGCTCAGAGAAAAAGTCCAATAACTTCATCCCTGTAAGCCATGTTTATGTCTGATTCCAAGGTTCTTCTGCATTGCAATCAGTAAATACATGCATTTCTAAACATTAAATAGGTAAACAAGTTGAAGAAACAACACACAATGATGATATACTCTGACATTATTTTGATGGACTCAAAATACCAGACTAAAAAAGACAAAATAATGAGAATACTAGTTGTTACATAATATTCAATAGTAAAACCACTTTCTTCTTAGTTGTTCATTGCATTTACTTTCAAAGTCCATCTATGTGTGTTTGTATTAACCAAAAGAATGTTAGATGTTCCCTAATACCAGAGAGAGCCAATTTTGTAGAGTTTTGGGGATAGGGTGATTCTGTAAAAAATATATGTATAGTCTTATTTGATGAGTAATTTCAACCCTAACTATACTAACCTTTAGCTCCACTGTTTATCTGTTTATATTTGCATCAATTAATTATATATTGATACATACCTAAACTATTAAAATTGTTGCGTGGTTTCTATATCTGTGGTAATAAGGGATGAGCATTTTAAAATAGTTAATACACTTGATCCGTTCAAGGCATATACAGAGTTATTTAACTCATTTTTTTTCAATAATTTTACCTAACAAGGCTATACATTTAATAAAGAAGATGTGCTACAGTTATTTAAAGAAAATTTCCCATACTCTCTTGGTCAGTACCTTTTTGTGCTTAATGGCTGTTCAACCTAGATATTCTTTGTCATTATGCCAGAAATCCCCCATACAGGGTTTAAGCCAATTTATTCTTATCTCTCATTGAGAAAGAAAACCTCTATTCACAGTTTATCTAGATTTATTTTTACTTTTCAAATACCTCAAATTAAATAAATCAATTTTCTTTATATAATCAGAGTTGCATGTATCATCTAATTGTAGATAATCTTTTTTTTTTTTTTTTTTCAAGACTGGGTCTTACTCTGTCCCCAGGCTGGAGTGTAGTGGCATGATATCGGCTCACTGCAACCTCCGTCTCCCAGGTTCAAGCGATTTTCCTGCCTTAGCCTCCCGAGTAGTTGAGACTACAGGCAGGCACCACCATGCCCAGCTAATTTTCTTTTGTATTTTTAGTAGAGAAGGGGTTTTACCATGTTGGCCAGGATGGTCTCGATCTCTTGACCTCTTGATCTGCCCACTTCAGTCTCCCAAAGTGTTGGGATTACAGGCATGAGCCACCACGCCCGGTCTGGGATATTATTCTTAAATTTCAGTTTTTATAGTTATTCTATAGGTATAATTTCTAAATCTTTATATAATTATTTAAATATAGTTTATTTCTAAAAATTAATATCTAGAGTGGTCTCTCCTGCTGAGAATCATAACTCCAGAAGAATTGCTTAAAAAATATGTTAGCTTCTCCATTGTTTAGAACTATTGTCATTTTTGAGGGAAAAAAAAGGAAGTGCTTCACTCTTGAATGCAAAGTATTATGTATACTTATACAATTAAAAGAATCCACATAACATACAATTAAAAGAATAATGATTCAGTTTCAGCTAATTATTTTGCTGTTTGTTTACTCTTCATGTTACTATAATCTAATGTTTAAAATATCTCTCCTTCTTCTTAACTCTACTTTTATTCCTCTTTAGCTATGTGTCTCTATTCTCATCACCTCTGATAGCTTAATAAATATTTTGTCATATATAATAGAGAAACATTTATTTTTTTAATTAAAAAATATATTTTAATGGTAAAAATATGCTGCAAAATTTTGTCTTAGTCTTTAGGCTTTTATTATGCAAAGTGACTTCAAAAACCTGACGGAAAACACATATAAGAAACTCTGCATGGCTTTCCATCTTTCTGCATTAAACTCACCCTAGCTTGTTACAACATACCTGAACAGGAAGTAGCTTGAAGCCTTAAGAAGGATACGACATCAGTTTGCAAAGAGCTCCTATTGGAGCAACGTGAATTCTGGTAAAATCGAAGCAAGAACAAACATCAAACTTATGGTGAAGCTTGGGTGGAAGAATGGTGAAATCATGATGCATTACAAAATGTTTGTGAGGACAATGCCCCAAAGAAATCAGCAGTTTACAGATGAGTAACTTGTCTTAAGAAGGGATGAGATGATGTTGAAGATTAAATCCACAGAGACAGACCATCCACATCAATTTGCAAGGAATAAATTCATCTTGTTTGTGCCCTAATTGAAGATGACTGATGATTAACAGCAGAAATTATAGCCAACCCCTTGACATCTCAACTGGTTTAGCTTACACAGTTTTGACTGAAAAATTAAAGCTGAGCAAACTTTGCACTCAACAAATGCTAAAACTGTTGTGCCCAGATCAGCCGCAAACAAGAGCAGAGCTTTCAATGCAAATTTTAAACAAGTGGGATTAAGTTCCTGAAGACATTTTTGAAAAATTGTAACAGGATATGAGACATGGCTTTAACGGTAATATTCTGAGGACAAAGCAAAATCAAGGTAATGGCTATGTGGAGGTGGAAGTAGTCAAGTCGAAGCAAAAGTGAACCAGCCAAGAGCAAAGATGATGGCAATCGTTTTCTGAGATGTCAAGTCATTTTGTTTGTTGACTTTCTGGAGGGCCAAAGAAAATAATATCTCCTTGTTACAAGAGCATTTTAAGAGAGTTACCCAAAAGCGTTAGCAGAAAAATGCCCAAGAGAACTTCACTAGGGAGTCCTTCTCCACCATGACAATGTGCCCGTTCATTACTCTCGTCAAACAAGGGCCATTTTGCAAGATTTTCAATGGGAAAAAATCCACCTTATCTAAGGTATCCACCTTAGAGTCCTGATTTGGCTCCTTCTGACTTCTTTTTGCTTCCTAATCTTAAAGAAAACAAACAAACAAAAATACTTTAAAAGGCACCAATTTTTCTTCAGTTAATAATGTAAAAATACTGCATTGACATGGTTAAATTCCCAGAACCATCAGTTCTTTAGGAATGAACTAAATGGCTGATAGCATCACTTACAAAATATCATGACCTTGATCAAGCTTACGTTGAGGAATAAAGTTTATATTTTTCATTTTTACCTTGTAATTCCTTTTTCCACAAGCTTTTCAAAGTCTCCTCGTATTGACTTAGAGTAATATCTTAATGAATGGGTTCCTAAAAGTACTTTTATATTTCAGAGTGGATCAATTCAATTAATTTACAATAACTACTTGAAGGTCTCTTATGTGTAATAAGCAATTTTAGGAAGATAAAAATTATTTCGTGGAGTTCTTATGTGAGTTGTGTATTTGTGTGAAATCAGAGGAAAGACAGAGAGAGCCTCGGAAATGGATAGCACTTTTAAAGAGGCATAGTTGCCTTAACTTTACTGTTTTTATATTGTATGTCACTGTTCTTCTGCTTATATGCAAATAACCATTTTCCTTAGTGCGGTTATGCAAACATTTGACTTAGAAAGGGAATAGATTAGGGGGAATTAGAAGAAAACAATGCATATTAAGTAAATTTGTGTGTTATGCTATGTATGAAATGAAGCCTATAATATACTTTTACTTGAATTCTATGATCTAATGAGGCAAATACTACTCACAATTGAAAGGCTGGCTTCCAGAAACTTTCTTTTCAGCAGTCGCAAACCCCTTTGTTAATCTCTCTGATTTGAATGTCAGACACCCATTCCTCAAACTTTAAATAAAATGACATTTCTAGGTTTTTTTGAATATCTTTAGAAAATATAAAAATACTTTCTAAACATAAAAGATTCAGATGGAAGGTATATTTCACGATTGTGCTGAGATTGATCTAAAACTAAACACAGCTTATTTTTCTGTGTGCTTCATGAAATTTATTTGTTATCGAATAGCTATATTTAAGTCTTAATATTTATTAATTTTATTGCTGTCACAACTAAGAAATCATACCTTTTCTAGCATTTGTTTCCAGGATCTTCTCTTAATTAAAAAATAATAATTACTGCCTCCTTTTTGTACATCTTGTGACACAAATTCTTCAATCTTGGTATTGCTTACCAAGTTGAAAGGGAGAGTGATTTTCCCAGTTTCCATGGCGCAGTCTTGCATCTTTTCTTCAGCAGTCTAAAGCACAAATCACTGCTGAGTACCAGGTACACAAGCAGGGGCTTACATGAGATATCCTGAGGAACAAACAAGCTGCTCCGACACTGATATAACTTGCATTATAATAGGAGTTTGATGAAAACCCCAATTTTTTTTCCAAAGAACTCCAGATTCTAGGGTGATAACCATAAATACTAGAAAGCAAGGAAAGGGAAATGAATGCATTTCTTTGTTGTCCTCATTCTCTTTTCTAAATAAGATACAAATGGCAGCTAATAAAATGCAAAGTAACAAATAGCAATTTTTCCCTGAAGTGATTAACCATTGTACTTCGCTTTCCTACTACACGGCACTGTTAACACTCAAGCACCTCCTGGATTCTATCTTTCCCATCATATAATTCTTGTTTAGATTTATGGATCACTTACACTCTACTCTTTGTGACCTTTTAGACACTCTTGCCACTGAGAAAACCTCACATTTATGCCTATTTAACCATTGCCTCCTCAAGTATATACTTATCAATGTTCAGAGTATACATGAATAGAAAAACAGGCCGGGCACGGTGACTCATAGCCGTAATCCCAGCACTTTGGGAGGTCGAGGTGCATGGATCACCTGAGTTCAGGAGTTCAGGAGTTCAGGACCAACCTGGCCAACATGGTGAAACCCTGTCTGTACTAAAATACAAGGCACATATCTGTAATCCCAGCTACTCCATGGGAATCGCTTGAAGGAATCGCTGGGAGGCAGAGGTTGCAGTGAGCCGAGATCACACCACTGCACTCTGCACTCCAGTCTGGGCAACAGAGCAAGACTCTGTCTAAAAAAATAAAAATAAAAATAAAAGAAAAAAAGGAAGTACAGATGCATTTTAAATGCATTTAATTTAATCAGAAATGCCTCAAAATGCTTTCATGCAAGTCATTATTAACATGCAAAGAATAAAGTGTACGTAAAACTTTAAACCCTTCGTGTAATAAAGGAAGAATCCCATCTTAGAATATCTTCAGATGTTTTACTTTTTCTGATACTAATAGAATATTATCAAACTATTCTATCACCCAAATTTGAAAGAAAATACAATGGGTATAACAAACTAAAAATAAATTGCTGATTTTGCAGTGATTGAAACTTATTACCTATGATGACAAAGAAAATATGAATATCCAAATAATAAATAGTACTGTATTTTTCCTGATTCAGTGAAGAAAGCAGCTGATGGCTCTATGAAAGATAAGATGAGTCAAAAGAAATATCTGGAAGATTATAGTTTTCTGCTTTTGAAGATTAAAAAACAGAAAAATTGAAATTGTTCTTTACAGAAAGGAAATAATCAAGGTGGTACGTATTTCAAAAACATATATAAAGTTGCCTCAGAACAACTTTAGGACTTAATATTTACATCTTAATAACAATTTCTTATAACAATTTCTAATTACTCATTAGAGCTTCTAGGAAGAACATTTATAAATCGTGTTTATGAAGCAAAAAAAAAAATAAAAATAAAAAGAAGCGATTGTTGGTATAAGTGTCATTATTTCTTATGGTACATTTTCTTAAAATGAAGCCTCAGAAAAGCTAGAACAAAATAATAAACCAGTGAAAAGAAAACAGTAAATGGTTAACTTTCTAAATAATGTGACTCAATTTATCAATCACCATATTTTCTAATTCCTAATGTAACGTTTACATAATTTATTGTTAGCTCAATCATACAGTATATTATTTCTGCTATAAAAGTCTTACTTTATAATCTCTTTTGTTTATTGTATAATCCCTTATTTTACTATATATATGAAACAGTAGAAAATATTTGTAATAATAGAAAATTAGTAATTATCATTGGAGCATCACTATGTTTAGGTACATTATCATTTTCACAGTCCTTTTTGAATTTTATTTTTATGAATAGTGGGATAAATATTCTAATACTGTATTTTTTGGAGATCAATATGTGTTTTTCGTGGCATTCATTATTATTTTTATTAGCAGTAGTAGTCATAGTAATAACAATGGTATGCTTCTTTTTCTGATAGTGATACTAGAGTACTTGGGGAAAGATATGATGTATACATGCCATTTTCAACTTCATATTTTGAATTGCTATAATGACTGATTTTATTATTACATTAAAGATGCAAGATTATTTAGCAAAGTGAAAAAAGTTAAATTTGCTACATTATATACATGAGTATGGATAGACATAGATATATTTTGGATACATGTGTATATTCACACATACAAATGTGAGTAAAAATTTTATAGGAAGAAAACATTTGTTTGAAAAATGCAAAGGCAATAATCATGGAATGTCCATCATCACAGACTGCAGCTGTGGGTGAGTTATGATTACTATAAGAAGCCACATTTTTGCTTTTCCTGACTATAATGGTTTTCAAATTTCCATCTGCCACATTGTTGAAAACCTCATCCCCTGTTGCCGTCCACAGTAAATCATACCTGATTGCTCAGCACCAAGCTTTATAATCGAATCTCGGGGCCAAATCATTTACTAATGATTACTGTTCCAAACAGGAATAAACAACAGAGCCTACAATTGCTGCACTGTTTTTTTCTGGTTTTAAAAACAAACTGCTTTCCTGCAGCTAATTATGTTCCATTTTAAGCAGGTATAATCTTTTCCTTGGCCTTTTCCTCTAAAAATTAATTCATGCACATAGAATGCAATCACATGCTCTCCTTAAAAAGAGACATGCTTTTAAGAGACAAAAAGTTAATTGAAATATCATAAACAACAGAATAATACTAAGTAAAAAAACCTAAAAGTAAAATCCTGAACATCGCAAAAACAGACAGGGGACCCTGGACTTTTCTTTGTCTATTATTTTCATTCAGTCAATTAAACACTTATTTTTCCTTTTAAACTTTCTCCAAGTGGTTTCCCATTTTCCTCTATGACATATATATTATCTTCTTCAATAACATATCAAATTTCTTCTTTTACACAGCATATAATAAAAGATCTATTAACCATCTAAAAAATCCCCAAATAGATTATATTCTTTTTATTAGGGTTTATTCAATTAGTAGAGAGCTGCTATCATTAAAATGGTTTGAAGTATGTCAAAATGCCTTTTGATCCTGAAAAGGTCAGAGTAATTGTATGCTTTCCATTTATTTCCCACTTGACCAAAGCTGACACTAAATGACATGTTGGCAAGAGTACCACCATTACAGGGACAATTTACTAATCAGTTGATTGTTAATGGACATTAATGGATAATTCACTGTCACATTTAATATAGGAAAATTCTATTCCCATAATTTCTTCCAGAAGTTAAATGTAATTCAACTCTACATTGGCTTTACAGATGAAAAATTGCCTTAAAAATAGTAACTTGCTCACTTATGTCAATTTTATTTCAATAAGAAATTTCAAAGGCATGAGGACACAAAGACTCAATGTTGCAGGTAACATTTTTTGAAACATCACTTTGAAGTACATAAGACCATTTAAACACAAAAAGTAATATATCTTTCCAACATTTTAGGGCGGGGTATAAAGCCATGAAAATTTTTCTATCTCAACATTCTAGATATCCTTAGTTATTTGCCATAACAATAAAAAAACTTATTATTTTGCCATTTACCCAATCAGCACAACTGTAATATTACAATTGGAAGGAATTTTATACCATCAGTTTTTTCCTAACCATCTATTTAAATCAAAATTTCCTCAATTTTTCACTATATAAACATCGAACTTTTTCACTACATTAATATCATCGATTGTTTATATTTACCTTTAGTGAAAAGGATTAGAATTTTTTAGAATTCCCTTGAAAAGAAGTGTTTTGAAAGGATTTTATAAATTAAATACTGAAAGTAAAACTTGTTTTGCAGTGTATAGAGTGGTTCTAATGTTAAGAATGAACACCAAATGACAATGACTTGGGGATACAAAATTCTTATATAATACAGAATTCTAGTTTTTATAACTGATATAAAAGTGTAAATATTAATGCAAATTTACATCTGTAAGACAATAATAGTCTCCCTAACCTAAACACACTACCTTTACTATTCCTTAGATTAATCACAGTCTTATTTCTAAGGTAAAATCATTTTTTAGTTTTTATTGATTAATTACTGATGCGATGTTTTTCTTTATATGGGACTGAGTCTACTGCACATTTTACAACATATGTTAAATAATGTATGATTTATACATATATTTCACAGTTTAATAGTGTAACTGAGAAAATGAAGGGAAATGTTGTCCTCAAATCAAATAGAAGTGATTTTTTAAAAAGTGATTGAAACAAAGAGGCATAATTCAATGAGGAGTTTAAGGTGATTTCATTATAGCTATCACTCTTTAAAATGGAAGAGAGAAAACTAGATTATAAGATTTTATCTTCAAAAGCATTAAGATTCCACTTGACAAGTTATACTTGAAATTTACTTAAAATCACCTGTGACTTAATGGGTTGCCAGTTGCTTCCACAATAAATTGTTCTTAAAATTGATGAGATTGTGTTGAATAACAACATGCATATAGTTAACACTACCGTAATGTACTTACTTAACAGTTTTCAAGACAATAAAGTTTATATGATTTTAAGCACAATTTTAAAACTTGTATGAGATTTCAATGTTTGAAAATGATTTTAAAGACAGGAACAGTGTAAGAATCTAAGATTAGCCCAATCAAATAAATAAATTCTAGATTAGGGTTAATAATATATTGTTTAATGAACGTAATTACTACACTATCTTAAGAAACACTTACAAATGTAAATATAACCTATAAAGTCAATAAGAAGTGTTGTCAATTTTAATGATTTACTTAAAAAACACACACTCTGGTTTGATTTGAGCTTTGTATTTTATGACATGAAACATGGAATATTTTAAAGAAAAGGAGTGTTACATTATAAACAGGACTAAAAATGCTAATGAACACTAATAGAAATATGTAAAGTCTTTAAACAAATCATAGCTTATTTAAAGATTAAACAATACCAAAATCTTTTTTTATTATTTTTATAGCACCAGGACCCAAACACTGACTATATTTATTTTGTTGTTTAACTGTATTCACTTTTTTTCATATATTGCTCTTATAAGCAGCAAATGTCTTAAAATTATTAGTTGAAATAATGTTTCTATAGCATGTTTAGAGTGTTCTGGGTGGAAAAATACATCCGCTAATAACGACAGTGTGCTGTTTTTGTCTCTTAATTTATTTTTCTTGGTTTCGTACACAGGCTGGAACTTCTAGTACAAAGTTTATTACATGAAACAGCAGTGGGTATCTATCTGTGTGTTTGCATGTGAGGTTTCTCTTTAAAGAACATATCTGTTTAGGTTTTTGTAATGTCAATATTCACAGTTGAAATTGATCTGTAATTTTCTTCAGGTATAGTCTTCTCAGATATTGTTATTAATATTTTCAATATTGATACATAATAATTGTACATATTTATTGGGTACATGGAAATATTTTGATACATGCGTGCAATGTGTAATTATCAAATCAGGGTAATTAGGATATCCACCAACTCAAACATGTATTGTGTCTCTGTGTTGAAAACATTTTAAATCTTTTAGGTATTTTTAAAATACGCAGTAAATTATTGTTAACTATAGTCATCCTATTGTGCTATTGGACACTAGAATTTATTCCTTCTATCCCACCTGTATTTTTGTACCTAATAACAGACCTCAGTGTTACCCTTTTGCTCATCTTCACCAGCATCTCTTAGTCATTGTCTTTCTAATAATGGCCATTTTAACTGGGGTCTGATGGTATCTCATTGTGGTTTTGACTTGCATTTTCCTAATAATTAGTGATATTGAGTATTTTTTCAGATAGCTGTTGGCTATTTTATGTGTTCTTTTGAGAAATATCTATTCAGATCATTGATCCATTTTAAATTGGATTATATGATTTTTTGCTATCAAGATTTTTGTTCCTGATATATTTCATTTATTAATCCTTTATCAGATGGATAGTTTGCAAATATTTTCTTCATTCTGTAGGCCGTCTCTTCACTTTGCTGATTATTTCCTTCGCTGTGTAGAAGCTTTTTAGCTTGATGTAATCCCATTTGTACATTTTTGCTTGTGCTGCCTATGCTTTTGAGGCCTTACTCAAAAATCTTTGCCCAGACCAATGTCCTGTAGTGTTTTCCCCAATGTTTTCTTCTGGTAGTTTCATAGATTCAGATCTTACATTTAAGTCTTCAATGCATTTTGAGTTGATTTTTGTATACAGTGAGAGATTATTGCTAAATTATAAAAATCAGTGAGTTAATTCCATCTTGTTCCATCATTTGAAACAATTTGCATAATATTGATGATTCATTTCCTGAAAATTTGATAGAATTTTCCTAAAAACTGACGTGTGGTTCATGTGTGAAAATAATTACAGGTCTATTTTCTTTTTGTTATACTTCTTGTGTCAGTATAGATAATTGTATTTTGTGAAAGTTGTCTTGAATTAAAATTTCTACTTTAAGAACATATAATTTATTTATAGTATTAATTCGTGACATTTTAAATTTCATATACATATAAAATTTGTAACGTTCCTCATACTTATTGATCAGTCATACCAGAGGAGTATTTTTTGGTTGAATTACATTTACAAAGAAAACGTTTTCTTGTCACTAATATCTTTGACTTTTTACCTTTATTAAATTCAAAATTTACATATAATAGTCACCTTACAAAGCTTTCTATCAATTTCTCTTGTTCTTTATGAGATTTAAAGTTGTGCACATTAATATCCATTTTTTCTTCCTTTCTAATATATAAATATATGCTAAAAGTTTTCTTCTAAATGCTATTTTAACTGAATTTTAGGGATACAGCAATACTGTGTTTTTGTATTCATGTGACTAATTTGTCATATTCATTTTAATGAATTATTTTGCAGTAATTTTTAAATTTCAGAAAGTAAGGTGCTGAGTCTTATATCTTCATTATTGAGTTGTAATAATTGTATGTGATTACAGATTCATTTGCTAAGACCCTGCTGAGATTTCTTCTGTTGCTTAATACATGGTCAATATTTCTAAGTATTCCATGAATGGCTTTAAAAAGTGTTTCTTCATATGTTATTTAAGTCAAATTTGCTAAATATGTTAATTACAATGTTTCATATCATTGCTTATTTTTGTCTATTCTATTTATCTATTGTGCAAATTACACATTAAAATCTCCAATGTGATTGTGAAGCTTTTGTTGTCTACTTGTTAATGTTAAAATGTTTGCTTTATAAATTTAGTAGTTTGTTTCTAGAGATATAAAGATTTAAAGTGGCTTTTTTTTCCTGTGGAACCACAGAAATAATATCAGTAATTTTCCTTTTTATTACCAATTTGAGCATATATATGCATATACACTGGTTAGTATGTAAATATATTTACATGCAAATATGTGTGTATATATAACTTTATAGTCAATATTTTAATTCTCCTCTCCATTCTTTATTTCTAAGCATATATAGTAAATAATATGCAGTGATATATATTATAATTATATATTATTAAAAGCATGTACTATTATACATACATATATACATACATTGATAATTTCTAGTAACTTTGTTTCAACTTTGAATTTTATATACCTATTAATTGTTTTCCTTTTCAGCTTGCTAGTTTATTTATCATGTTCACTTCATTTTCTATTATTTCCTCTTATATTTTTGGCAATTAGGTTTACATTTACACAAATACTTAGACAGTAGAAATTTCTTTCTTTTTATTTGTTTGTTTGTTTTTAGAGACTGGGTCTACCTCTGTTGCCCAGGCTGGAGTATAGTGGCACAGTTAGAGCTCACTGTAATCTCGAGTGCCTACGCTCAGGCAATCCTCTCACCTCAACCTCCCAAACCCTGGTATTACAGGTGTGAGCCACTGCACTCAGACGTGGAAGTTTCTTAATCGCTGTCTCTACTAGCCTCTTTCTGAATAATATTAAGATAGAATGTTGTAATTTTCATTAACCCAAGCCTATCTTGTTATTATATCTATATATTCTCAATTGGTAACTATCATCATTACTATTTTTCATAGTTTATGATTGTTCAGATTTACTCATATACCTACCAATTACACTGTGTAATGTTTCTTCTAGCTTTCTCTCAACTGGATTTGATTTCACTTTCATGAGTGAGTGACAGAATATTTTTTCCTGAAAAAAAGAAACTGTTTTTGCCCTTATTCTCACATTATAGTTGAATGGGATATAGAAATCGGGTTGACTTTTTTTACTGATGGATTTGATGATATTATTCTATTGTGTTTGGCCTACATTTGAGGTTAAGATACCTAAATATATATCTGATAAATGTTCTTTTGTTGAAAATTTAGTGAGCTTTTTTCTCCTTTTATGGTTATCTTTTTGCAAATATTGTTCTGTAGTTTTACTAAATGTGTAAAAGTATGAGTTTATTTATTTATTTATTTTTCTTTAAGGCCATTTTGTCTTTCCCAAGATTTTGTGCTTGCCTTAGCCAGAAGCTGACATGACAATAGCATCCTGGTACCATTTTTAATATTTTCTTCACTTGAAAATTTTCTACCCACAAGGATTCTGAAACACAGTTTTCAGTTTCTCAGGAAACTCCACCCCACGCCTCATAAACTATCCCTCAAACCAGGAAGAAACAAGGTTATTTTTTCTTTTGCCTGTAACGCACAGGGAGGCATTTTCTGGTTCTTCCTTTCATGCTGATGTAGCCTTTCAAGCATTATGGTTCATGCAGTTTCATTTGTTGCTCTGAGTTTGGTTCAGACTCAAAGTCTTTTAACCTGTGATTGTATGTCTGTGAGCACCAAGTTTTTACAGAACATCGTCTCATATTTATTCCACCACCTCTTCCAAAGCAGTTTGAGGTTGCAGTCTCAACAGTGGCTCCTGTGTTTAACATTTTATTTTTATTTTTTTATTTCTGCCAACTTTACATTTTCTAATTATTGTTGTTATTAGTGTGAATAATTATATTAATTGTTATATTTAAGGAAGCCTAGGTCTTTTAGCTGAAGGGCGTGTAGATTTTCTTAGTCCTCTATTTTTTCCAGGATCAAGAATACATATTTATTGATTAAAATCTTTTATAAGTAATAAATAAATCCGAGATCATTTCACTTTAAAGCTGTTTATGTCATTACTCAAAATACTATCTTTTTAATAAAATAAAATTTATGAAGATACATTAAAACATATGTTCTACTAATTTGATGTATTACTAAAAAGGCATATGATTTACATTTAACTTATAGAACAGAAATATATATGAGTAATGCAAAAATCATTATAATCATAATGAATAAACTTTTTAACTTTGCTAAAATAATTGTTATTATAGATTATGCTCCTTTGGCTGTCATAGATCGTTTCACCAGAATCAAATGATACTTTGACTTGTTTTGACAGGAATATTAAAATTCTGGATGTCTCACGGTCTCTGATGGCTACATAATTCAGTTAATTAATTTGACTAAACCCAAACACATTGGTTGTATCACTGCTCCATTTCTTCAGTATATTGACTTTCCAATTAATTGAATATTCTCACTTTATTTTAGTAGTACGATATAATGCTATTAATAATAGTTAACATCCTATATTTGAGCACTTAAAAAGATTAGGGATTATAATTGAGCACTTAATAATGGTTTGGCACTTCTATTGTTATTAACTTACTTCTATTTCTCAAGACACCTCAGAATTTTTTTTTGTTAATAACTCTATTTGATAAATGAGGAAACAGAGGTAAAGAAAGCTTAACTATCTTGCTAAGGGCACACAGATAAGTGGTAAGATGGGTTTGCAAATTCAGACATGTTGGGCTCCAGAGACAGGACCTTAACCACCATTCACTGCTCTGCAACTGAGAGAGACCCTTGTAGAAATTACCTTGCAATTCAAGTTGAGTGATCATTAAGTTAGAGAGAACACAGGAAAAAAATAGCAAAAATTATACCCTTTTCATTTTTAAGAGTTTCCCTTAAATTTAATAAGAAATACACAGATTTATAAGACAAAAATTATAAATCTTAACTCAGAGACAAAAGAGAAGACTTGAACAAATCACATCATATTCTTGGATAGTAAGATTTAAATGTATAGATCCTCTTTCTCCCTCAAATCTTTTATTAGTTCATGAAGAACAATATGAGATAATTTTAACAAATACAAGTGGAAAACAAGAGTTCTACAAGAATGTACTTTAGTACATATATTGTATAGTTAAATAATGTGGCTTATTAATAGAAAAATTGATGTAGTATCAGTCAAGTTGATATGATAGATTGTGTTGGAACACTGTGTGTGTTTGTATGCCCGTGTGTATACAGAATGTACTTTCTAAAGGATGATAAAGAAAATCTATAAAGAATATAGGCATTATTCAACAATTAGTGCAAATAAAAATTTTAAAAACTTTAAATATTAAAAATCTATTCTAGCATATATCATATAACAAAGATATACTTCAGACGTAGTAGAAATTTAAAACAACAAATAAATTCCAAATAGTATAACAATTTAAAGGAAACATTAGCTAATATTTATTATCAAAATAGTGAAGAACTTTCTAAGCATAAAAACAACTACAAAAAAAAAAAAAAACAGAAAAGAATCACCCAGAAAATAAAGTATGTATTTAACTACATATAAATTAAAACTCCAATATTTGCAAATATTATATGAAACTTGATAAATGAGAAGCTTGGAAAAGATGTCAGTATATATAAGGATGAGTTACTGATATGTTTAACAGTCCTTAATGGATAATAATTGATGTCTTTATAAAAATATGGTACTATGTATAGGAACCAACAAACATGTAAAAAATGACTAAACTGTAGCACTCAAGGATTTACCTATATAATTATGACATATTTTCAAGACTAGAAGTTGATGAGACTTTCTTTTCTTTAATGATAATTCCCCATGTTAGTGACAGTGTTTAGAGAGATAGGCACTTCCAAGCAATGCTGGTGGTGAGACAACTTAATCCAACATTTCTCAATGTCATATTGTTGATATGCACTAAAGCTTTCAAAATAGTAATATCCTTCTATGACTAGAAAGAGTTGTAAGAATTTCTCATAGTTGCATTTATACCACACAGAAAAAGAAAAAAAAAACCTTAATATAATAGACAGGAATACAGTTTGATTAATTATAAGGCACTTATGTTTCAAAAAATTGATTTTATGTAACTTTTTATATTTTCAGGGTATTTAAAAGCAGAAAATGATAATTATGATTTATTTATCTGAGAGGTGAACAGGGTACTATATTATGTGCAGTAAAAAGAAAAATTCATTTATATTATATATATATATAATATTTTTGAAAGTGATAAACATTTATTCTGTGGTTTTCACAGCATCAGGAAGGGAGGGGGAAAACTGGAGAGGGCCTGCGTGGGTGCTGTAGGGACTCCTGAAGGCTTCTTTCTGGTGGCTGGAGGGCATAGGTTGGGGAAGTAATCAAGTTAAAGTGTTGTCCTGGAAGTTCTGCAGGTTGAGAATGGCTCTCAGGTGACAAGGTTTAGGAAAGGCCCAGATGGTGGTGGAGTAGAGGTGCTTCCTTCAGCCAGGCCAAGCAGAGCAAAGGGCACAGAGCAGATACAGGAATGCAGACTGCAATCAAGAATGAAAAGGGTCACTTAGCCCAGTTTGGCTTAAAGGGCACTGGGCTTTTTCCCCACCAGCTGCACCTTCAGCACACTGTAGATGGGCAGCACATGTCAGATGTTCAACTCAGAAGTCACTGTTCATGACAATCTTGATTTCAGTAAGTGTCTTGTTCATAATAGAATTTGTAACAGCAAGTTTGGAAGGTCAGGAAGCCTTCCCTTATGTGTAACAGGGACATCTTGCTGAAAAATGAGAGAATAGAAAAGAGCATCCCATAAATTAGCCGCACCTGTACATCACCTCCTTGGGATCTCCAATTGTTCCCTGAAGTGCCATTGCTTATAGCGCAGACACACTTGATTCCAGAAGGCCAAACAGGTTAAACAGGTACAGGTTGTGGACAGTGATTTGAACTGCTCCTAATTGCTCCTAATGCCTATCACTAGCCACTTCTGGTATATGTATATACATGTATACTCACCCACCCAGACATACGTGTCTATATACATATATATGATGATTTGTGTGTGTTTGGGACTCAAACACCCAAGTTTTGTTTATGACATTAATGCTCACAGAGTGACCTGGGCTCTTTCTTAATTGAGCTGAGCTCCCGTTTTGTCATCTATAAAATAACAATAATCAAACCTAACTCCAATGTTGGTAAATTAAATAGAAGTCTACATAAAAAACACCTAGTAAGTCCCCAATGCATTTTTCATAACTACATGAAGTTATATTAAAACTAATTTTGAAATAAAATGACTGCTTATTGTGACAAATTGTTTTTTAAAAATTAGATTCTTCACACATTACATTTACTAGTCAAATAGCGTAGTGTCATTGTTCTAATACTATTTTGTCTTGGAGATAGTATATTAATTTTAGTAACAGGGGATATGGATTGAGAGTGACAGGGTATAGTGAAAGATTTGGAGTTTGAATTGTGCTTCTGAGACTTGTGAGCTGGGCATCCTGGGACAGTTATTTAGGCTGTTAAAACTTTCATTCACCTTTTTAAAATATGATAACATTTATATCTAACTTATAGGGTTTTTATAAGAGTGTGATTCATTAATGAACTTAAAGTGACAGAAATTGTGCCTTCCATATAGCGAGTATTAAATTTTAAATAAATTTATTATTAGTGGTACAATTTCCTCTATTAGTTGTAGTAGAACTAGTAGCAGAAAGCATAGTACTGTTTTATTTTAATAATATCATGCTCATCTTTGGATGATGTTACCTGTTTGCTGTGTTATAGATTTCTTACATATTTTTCAGAGTTATTCTATAGCATTAATATAACAAGCTACCTGTAAGAAAAAAGGCTGCCAGGGCTTAAGGTACATGTTTGGTACTTTCTTAGATTTGCACCTGTATTTAGAGATAATTAAGTAAAATTATTACCAAGTGTGTAGAATTGTATTTATAAGTATAATGATGAAGATTTTCATTGGATAGATTAATTATTTAATTTAATCAAGAGCCTAGTAAAGTTACTTAAAATGAAATTGTCTGGTATTATGTCATATAAGTAAATTAAGAGCATTATCGTAGTTGATTTTTTTCAGTTGGTCTTTAGGCACATGCCTGATTAATGTAAGTTAAGTATTTAAGGAGAAAAGCTATTGTGATTATTTTAAAAATCTACAAACAAATAATATTATCTCGTTATGATTTTTTCAATGTTTGAAATATTCCCCTCATATTTTTATTTATCCAACAAATATTTATTATCAACTTTGTGTTATGCACACATTTATATCAGTTTTTAATCATGTGTTTAGTAAATTATATGCCCTGTTTTGACCATGTAGTTGTCACAAGTTCTCTATATGAGAAAATATGTATGCTTTATTTAAAAGTAAAGTAAGTAATTGACCATGAGGCTTTTTCTTTCCTCTTGACTTTTAAGTTAGTAACTTTGAATTCTTAAACCATTTCAGACACTTTTATGGTAGTGAGATTTTGCATTTGGACTTCAATTTGAAGTTCATTCAATCTGAAAGCCATTCTCTAAGAGATCCACAAAAGGTCTTGTACATGGATGTCTACTTTCCCCATCCCTTCAGTCTTGGGCTAATTATAAGCAGATTAATACTTCTAAATTAACATAACAGCTCTTTGCCTGAACTGATTGCTTAATATTTGGTGACCAATGAGAAGGTTAAGTTCAATTAAATCTACCACTGGGATCTAATCTATGTACAAGTGATGTTAGATGTAATTAAAAAGTCTTTATAAGGCCAAGTAAATTTGAGTAAAACTTTTACTGAGTTTGCCGGGCACTTTCATATCTCAAAAGCAAACTTCATAATTATTTGTTTAGGAAAACTGAAGACATTCATCATGTACCTCCTAAGTGAGCTTAGTCTTCACGGAGATCACAGTGGCAACAGAATATGGCTTGATCTGTATTAGTTCCATCTTTGTTTTTTGAGACAATTAAAATAGTCTTAATCTTATGTAATGTTCTGTGAAAAACACAGCCTCCTGTCTGTGCTTTCAACAGATTGTAACCTTGGGTTCCCTCCCATAGAGAAATGTTTAATCTGCCAGAGAGCAGTGGCAAGATCGTTAGTGAGGTGCCATCTAGTGGGATTTGGGGGATTTTCCAAGGAGGAGAGAGCCTCTAAATTAAACTTGTCTACTTAATTTCTAATCAGGGCCATGAGTATCAGTGAGAATAAGTCTCAACACATCATAATAGGAATTAGATAAATGCATTATTTACAAGTGAAACAAACACAATATTATAGAATTATAATGTTAGAAATTATAGAAATTTAAATCTGTCTTCTAACCCACATCGTCAGCTATCTAATGCTGAATAAAGCTTTCCATCTGAGCTAGGAAAGATAGTGCTGTGTCAACTCCTCACAATGAATCTAGAATTTCTAAGTCTTATAAAGTGAAACATTCTATTTTTGAAGATGAAGCTTTCAGCTGTAATTTACTACTGAATACATTTATAGGTGATGCTTAAATAATTCAAGCTAAGTGAATTGGACCACACTTACAACTAAAATCAATTTGTATTTGCTCCATAAAATAGCTACTGCTCTCATTTACTTGAGTCTTAGATTGAAACCCAAAATACTACACCATAGTTTTTAAAGCTTTATAAATTATTTCATGCGGTGTCAGGCAAAGGTCATCAAAATATGGTGTAGTGGTTACACTGGAGAGTCAGAAGTCCTGAATTATATTCTCGACAACGTTAACAACTCCCTTTTTTTTGACTCTGTGGAAATAAGTCAGTTAACCAATAGCCAAAATAATTAGCTTTGAAATAGTCCAATGATATTACACTCAGGATTTTTAACTCAGAATTTTAACTTCAGCCTAACTTTAATCTTCTTCATTCTAAGGCACCACACTTTGGCCAAGTGCAGAAAAGAAAATGTAAGATTTAATAAAATTTAAAAATATAAAATATCCATTGCCATCTGACTGAGCACCAGAATCACCTGAAGACCCAGAGATGCATGTGAAATTCATCTCTATTTTAACTTTATAATGCCCTCCTTTTATTGCTTCCACCTCAAAGAATCCTGTACCATTATGCTATCGCCCTTTGGAAATTAATCACCATTCTTTACTCTCTTTCATACTGTGCTTAGTCTCCTGACTATTAAAAATTGACCATCTCTTATCAAAACATTAGTGTCATGTGTCATTTACTGAAAGCTGACTTAGATCTAAAAATGCATCTCATTATCTTATCTTGTTCTTTTTCTTATTCACCAATTTTTCCATTTACGAAATTCTGACAAGTTTTCTACTCTCTACTTGCCCTTAGATTCAACTTTAAATTGGTAAATCTTTTCTATAGCTTCAGTCTTCGAAATCTTATTTAAGATAGCATCTCTTCCCACATCTACCTCTCTGGTCCCAGAATTTATATACTTAACTCCCTAGCTCCAATTTCCTGCCAGTCCTCTCTGCCTAAGGCCTTTATTATAGTTCAATTTGTTTAATTTTGACAGCCAAAATTTGATTTTCATTTATTTTTTGTAGATGACCTTTAAATATTGTTGTAACTGTTATTATTTAATGTACTATATTTCATATACTTCATCTATCTACTATGCTTATTTTTTGGATTATTGTTAAATTAGAATAAGTATTAACAATAGTAAAACAATTAATTATGAGGACCAAAACACTAACAGAGTTACAAAAGAGTCAACACCAAAAGAGAATCATATAGACAACTAAGAAACAGAGAATTAAGTAATATGTAATTAGATTAAGGTTAAATATCTTGAGATTAAAATTTGAAAATGTAGCTGAATATATAAACATAATTCAAGAATAGAGTAAATAGTATAATTTAAAAATGATTTTATAGGCATTAAGGGTGGCAAAAAGTAAAACTGTAGAATATTACATGAAGACCGCACCATGTAAAGAAATAGAATAAGAGTGGAAAAGATGAAAGACAACAAAAATACTAGTGATGGCACAAAATAGATATTTATCAGAATTTAAATCCTAGTACTCTGGGCAAAGATAAGAAGTCTGTCATATTTACGTACATTAAGTAATTGGATATTGATTAATTATCTAATATTTCATCTTGCTGCTAACTTCAAAGGATCCCTAGAAAGAAACTGCCCTGGAAAGATTACCATTGTTGTGAATTAAATACACAAATTTAATACACTAGATGCATTAAAATGTTGATTGATCAAGCATCTAGTTGCTTCTGGAATGCAACTTGTGGATGTATATTTTACAAAAATATAGAGCACTAAAATGTTACATAATAAAATTAGTATTGCTATAAAGACATTATGTATCTTTATTGATTCAAAAGAAAAATATTAGAATAATTTGACCATTTCAATGAACTAAAGAAAACAATTATAATTAAACGATTCCTGAATTTCTAATGAAGATTTGCTCTTTTTCTTTGCATCAAGTCTTATATTAATCACAATTCTGGCCACACTGAGATCTCAGGAAATTTGAAATGGTAAGAAACACAATTATAGTGACTTACTTGTTATTTTTTCATTTAGAAAACTTTATTGCTACTTCCATGTGTCCCTCTTGTAAGCTAACATTCAAAATAGTGTTAGAGGCACTATAATAAATATCTTTATAGATAAAATTAATTTTTGTCATTAGAGTTTAATTTACACGAATATTAAAATTATATAATTAAACAGAGCAACTACTTATTCTGACAAGTTACATCAATTTAGCATGAGTGATAATGTAAGTAAAAATGATAAGAAAATAAATGCATTCATTGCAAAGTTTAACAGTGTCTTTTCAGAAGAAAAATTTTGTAGTGTAGAAAAGGCCTCCAAACTGTAAATTAATATAAGATGAAATGGTATCACTAAGAACAGTGAAATTTAATAAAAATAATTTCTCATTTATTTGAAAATAAACATTTCATTTTAAATAATGAAAACATTTTTAAGGGAAATATTTAACTTCTTAGGTAATATAGTGAAGAAACTTTTAGCTGACTTTGTCAGAAACAAATAATCAATTTTCATGAAATATTTATTTCTTCCCTGCGTTTATATACCATTAGTCAATCCAAATAAGAAAGATAATTTAAAAATCACTCATGATGAAGACCAAATTCTTTTAACTGAATTTCCAACTTTCCAGATATTTTGACACCTTAGCAGGCCAGTCTTTCCCAGAACTTTATTCTCTGGACACCTACATTAGAATCATGTATGTGATGAGGTAGAGGATGTAAACTGTTGAGATACTCAAGATTGACACACAATTTGCTGAGGGAGTGGTAAAGGCCACGAACTGACTCATTTCTGAGATAATCCTGATGTCCAGTAAAGTTTGAGAAATGTTGTTTTAGAGAACATTTGATGTCATTAAAAATCCATTGAAAACACTCTTGATAAAAGGGTTTGCCTACACTGTACTATTCATTCTTAAATAAAGGAGAGTGGAGAAGGAAATAGAACCATTGGACCATAGAACTGGAATTTAGGGTGATCAAGTTTCATTGTTTCACAGAATCTGCCCAAAGAAGGATTAGAGTGTTCACTGACTACGTAAACAAGAAAAGTGATTTTTGAATCACAAGCCCAGGGATACAAATGGTACTTATTTGCCTCTAAATAATAATTATTACAATTTTTATTTTCTGTACCTTTGGAAATTATATTTTAAAGATAAAAATAAACAAAAATAGTATTCTAGTTTTTGAGTACTATTTATTCCAGCATTTGCCAGTGAGTCAATAGAAAAAACAGCAGAACACTATAAGGGTGCCAACAAGAAATTATTGGAAAAAAAAAACTATTATTGAGGTTCTAAAAATGAACTTAAATTTATCTACATTTCACATTAATTTATTTTTTACTGATTTTAAAGAAAGTAAAAAGCAAATCAAGACTAATAAAAGAAATAAATAAAAAGCATACGATGAAAAAAATCCACAAATAATAAAAAGTAAAGAAATGTATACAGCTGATTTTAGCTATTCACAATTGCTAAGGCAATATCAGTTAATTCACTTGACTTGCCCCTTTAGCTCAGTTAGGGCAGTCATCATAGAGAAGAGAGTGTTAAGCAATTTTGAAAGCATAATCTATAAAAGTGTTTGAATAAATTAATTATAGAGAAGATACTAGATAAGACTGTGTGTGATTACTCTTCAGTACATTCAGGATAGAAATTAAGTTTGTTTCCCATAGAAGAGCAAGAAAACAGTGGTTAAGCACCCAAGAATAAAGGTTTAAATTTAGTTTAATTTATATTCAGAGCTACATACATTTCCCCAGTCTCAAAGCTCTAATTTTCTATTGCTATCATTATAAAACTTAAAATTATGCATGGTTAAATGGAAATAACGCTTTATACTACTCACTTTTTCCATTAGTCTTGGTATTAATCACTATATTCTGAGACACCAAACTCAGAAACATGTAATAATTTATAATCACGTATTTCTCTTTATTTCTCACAGTGTATCCATTAAGCTTACTATTGTGCATATGTTATGTCTTATATTAAAGTTTCCTGTTACCATATTTATTTATTCCCATAAAAATATGCTCTTTTAGTCTAGGAACCAAATTTTCTATGAGGTGCATGACATTGACTTGATATGAACTCATGTTAGATATTCAAAAGTCACTTACTCTCTCCTCTAGATCACCTAAAAGACTAAGAAGCACAGAATTCTAACAAATAAGTGTTACATAAATATGAGTTTATTAAATATGAAAATGCAGGTTCTATTGATACTTTCTGTATCTTATTTCAGCTTTTCTTTGTTAGCTATTACCCTAATGTAATCATAGAAAGACTTGCACATTCTTATAGCTGACTCCAAATTTGCCATTCCTTGGTTCATTCTGTATACAGCTACAGTTACAATATATTTATATAGCAAATATATATAATCTGTCTTTCGTATTTGCAACAACAAACTAAGCACTGTAGGAGATCCAAAATTTAATAAGAAATAATGCCTAATATCAAAGGAACTTAAGATACATATGTCTTTAAATAACACAAGGGTACATGGAGTATAGAGCTCAGGAAAAGTAGTTTGAGTTGATGTGGTAAAATACTAAGAGTGGATTCAAAATGAAAATGTAGAATCTTGTGTTTCCATAATTAGAATTATGATTTGAGGATTTTATTAAACCTTACTCATTTTAAGTAGCACCATTGTATAAACGTTTTTTCATCTTTCTTGTTCAGTGGTCATTGGGTTGATTTGTACTGTTTCCAAAGAGTTGTGATCCTAAATGACATAACAATATTAATTCTTATGTAAATATATGGGTCCACACATTTAAATACCATATAGATACTAACATATGGGAGGTCTTTAGTCTGTTATCTCTGTATTCACAATAAAGAGTATCATACCCAGGCCATACTAAATGCTGAAAAAATAGTTAACAGAATTGAAAACGTTTGATAAAAAAAGTCATAAATTTTGTAATATTCCATTTAAAATACAATAAGCAGCTTTTAGGAATTGGAGATTCTTGAGGACATTTTGTAAGCCACTCCACTCAAAAATTCATTCAAAAAATGTTTCTAAATGTATTTAGTTAAATGTTTTATGTCTAAATTGTTAAATGTAATAACTTAAGACTTTTAATGCACCAAACTTATTAACTTGATCTGGAAAAATAATTTTGATCCACTCTATTGCTTTCATTTTTCTAGAACTTTGCATGTCTTAAATGCCCTAAGACTTATGAAATGCTATTTTATGTCATAATAGACACAGACAATGCTCCTTTTCCTTAAAAATAAACAACAATGAGAACACATGGACATAGGAAGGGGAACATCACACTCCGGGGACTGTTGTGGGGAGGGAGTAGGGGGGAGGGATTGCATTAGGAGATACACCTAATGCTAAATGACGAGTTAATGGGTGCAGTACACCAACATGACACATGTATACATATGTAACAAACCTGCACATTGTGCACATGTACCCTAAAACTTAAAGTATAATAATAATAAAATAAAAATAAAAAATAAACAACAACAAAAACAACAACAACAAAAACAGTTTAAAGTAACGTATCCATAGATACTTAGTGAGTCCCAATTGACCTGCATGTACGCTGCCACAACATAGAGTATTTATTGTTGACTTGTACATGAATTCACACATAAACTATTTTACTAAAGTTTGTGAATAATTTATGCATATAGATAATGCATTCTTTTGCAAAGGATTGAAGTTTAAACATTTTGTGATCATTTTTAATTTTTAGTCATCAAAGAGGCACTGTCATCATAGGAGCAAATAAACAATGGTTATTAACCTAGATAGAGAAAAATGTATTTACTGATAATTAGATTAGGTGGCATTTTGGAATTCTGCTTTGTTGGAGTAAGGTTCCAGAAGTTAGTAATATACTAATTATAGAAAGCCTGGTATATGGGTTAGTTAAGGACACACAGGTAAGTGATAGTTGCTAGGTCCTGGAACTGAATTTTAAATATGAAAAGAGGAATTAAAAAATCAGGGTCATTAAAAAATAAAAGAGGAGCCATTGATAGTTTGGGCAAGAAGTAAGTGAAACACATATGACAAATTTACGCCTAACAAATAAGGCTAGTGAACTCAAAGTAAATTCATTCATTTAACAATTATGACAATCAGATTTGTGATATTGAAAACATTTTAAGATGAAAACATTCTAAAATTCTATAAACAACCTTGTTCCCATCACGACCAAAATGTTTCTTCTTTCCATTACCAAGATACTTATCAAGAGAAAACAAAAACCGTATAGAGTGATATCAGCAGAGTCGTCAGTTCCAAGCTCTTGTTATTCCACAGAAATTGTCAGAACCAACTTTGACAGAACTCTGGTAAATAGTCAAAGATTTACCTCAACCATATGGATGCTAAATTAAGAAAACTGCAAATTAAGATGGTAGAAAGGCATTTGTGGCATTTTTACTTTCCTTGTCCATCTTTCACAAGTCTTAAAGCAGTAGCACCCTGTGTACCCAGTTCAGAATCCTGGTCCTTCATTCTGAAGAAAGTCAAATGGACCTTATTCACAAATTATTGCGTATGTCTGTTCTATTGTGTCTGGGGACTACCTGGAGAAATCGTGAAAAGCAGTCATCTCTGTTTTGGATCTCAGGCTAAAGAATCAGGTATTGCTCAAAAATGCAGCAAGGCAAACAAACAGATGCTTGAGGTAAAAGATTACAGTTGTGACATAAAGTAGACTGCTTAAGATCTAGGAAGAAATTCTTTGGAAAATCAGGATATTCAAAAGCACTTGTATATACAGGGGAATTTATAAAGCCAAGCACATGATCAAGGCAAGACACATGTTAATAAAGGAACAGAGAAAACTCTGTGTTTCCACCCTGAGCTGATGCCTAGGCTCAGTTCAAGTCTGGCTAAATGATGAAAATGCCACAGCACGGAGACAATCTCCAAATACTAAAGCTTTTTTCTTTTGTAATTATTTTCTAATATTTTATTTGCTATGTTTTGTATTTTTGCTTTGTTTTATCTTTATTTTAGCTCCTAGAGTTCAAGGAAATATCTGTTAAAACATTAGTCAGACATTAGCTGAATGAACAGATATTTTAATGGTCACAAAAAAACAAGAAAAAAGTTTTGGCAAGAATAGCTTGCAAAAGTAACTAAACAAATAGACTAGCACAGACTTCAACAATTGAAAATATAGCAAACTTTAGGGAAGGAATAAAGTTTGATTTCCAGATTCACTATATTATAATATGTAAATGTCCAATTTTCAACAAAAATCAACAAGATGTATAAAGTAATAAGAATGAGTAAAAAGGAAAAAAAGTAAATTGAAATAAACCGTATCAGAGGAAGCCAGGCATCACACATACTGGAAAAGTATTTTTAAAAAACTGTTTAAATATGTTTAAAAAGCTAAGGGAAAACATAGAGAACTACAAAAAACATAAACAAAAAAGGATATATGAAAAAATTATGGTATCAGTAAAAACAGAAATTATAACAGAGAATACAACAGAAGTTATTGAAGTAAAATTATAGCAACTGAAATAAAAAATCACCAGAGGTGTTCAACAACAGATTTGATCAGGCAGAGGAAAAACAGCATGGACTTAAACATAAGACAGATTAAGTTACTAGGTTTAAAAAAGAAAAAAATAAAGAGGAAAAGTGAACAGAACATAAAAGCCCTCTAGAAAACCATCAAGTGGATTAACACATGCATTATCTAAGTCCCAGAGAAGACAGAGAAAAGGGGGTTGAAATAATATTTAAAGAATATTCAACTTCTCAAACTTACCAATTTTAATGAAATACATGAATCTAAAAGTCTAAAAAGCTCAACAAACTTCAAGGTGGAAAAATTCAATTATACCCACATTTAGACACATTTCACACACTGAAAACCAAAGGCAAAGAGAGGATCTTGAAAGCAACGAGAGAAGAAACTTGTCACTAACAAGGGATCTACAATAAGATTCATAGCCCAAATGTAATCAGAAAGTATGATGGTAAGAAGGCAAGGGAATAGCAAAAAATGTTGAAATTCTTTTATCATAAAAGAATCTTACTTGATTTTAAAAAGTCAACCAAAAATTCTATATCCAGCAAAATTGTACTTAAAACTAAGAGAGGTATTCAGAAATTCTCAGATAAAAAAAAAAAAAGAGGATGGAAGACTGTTTTACCATCAGATCTGGCCTAGAGGAAAAGCTAAAGAGAATCCCTCCAATTGAAATGAAAGGACACTTTACAGTATTTCAAAATCATGTAAGTAAAGGTCTTAGTAAAGATAAATACACAGAACTATAAAAAACTAACATTACTTTATTTTTGGTTTGTCATTCTAATTTGTATTTCTTAAAAAATGTGTAAAACACAGTATTCTATGTACCCTAGAACTTAAAGTATAATTTAAAAAGTGTAAAACAGAAATGCATACAAATATTTATAAACTTATGTTATTGGATGCACAAGGTATGAAGCTGTAGCTTTTGATAATAACATAGAATGAAGGCTTATACTGTTTAGGAGTAGAAATTTTGTATGCTATAGAAGTTTAATCAGAGTCAATTCAAATTATGTTGTTATGCATTTAGTATGATAAATATAACTCCCATCATAAACACAAAGAAAATATTCATATAATATACATGGAAGAAATGAAAAGAGAGTAAAAATGATTCATCATCAAAAATTAACTAAATACAAAAGAAGGCAATAATGAAGGAAATAAGGGACAAACAAGGTATAAGACATACAAGAAAACACATAGCAAAATGAGAGAAGTAAATATTTCCTTATCAGTAATTATTTCAAATGTAAATTAAATTAATTAAATTCCCCAATCAGAAAAACAGAGATTGAAGACATCATGAAAACAGAATGTAAAATACCTAGTTAACATTTTATATTTGAACATAAATGTAAAATTTGAGTTTTGAATCTCAACACTATTAATGTTTCTCTGTCCTGCTTACTGATAGCTGCAATGATAGAAGATATAACTTACTAAAAAGTCCTAATTAAAAAGTATTTTTTCATAATTTGGTGATTACATAAACTCTATTGGTATTCAAGGACTCTTGAAAGCAGAGGTCCTGGATATGTCATTGTTTATTTTTTTTTCCTCTTTCATGTTTTCTGAGGTTGCTTATTGACATCAATGTACTGAGACATCTTATGATTTATCCCAAGACATCTTATCCTAAGACATCTTATCATTTATCCTAAGACATCTTATCATTTATCCTAAGACATCTTATGTCTATCCCAAGACATCTTATGATTGACCAGGGAATGGAAGACCAAGTCCTTCTAGTTTTCACCAAAGAGAATATGACCATGTGGAAAAATGCCAAATATAAACAATATTGTGTGGAATTTTTTCAAGAGTAAAAAAATCAAACAAATAAAAAAATCCAGTGATTGGTAGAATTGGTAAGAAAAATCACCCAATAATATGCTGACACAAATATTGTGTCCAAAAACATAAATATATAAAAGGGTCACTTCATCAAGAAATATAACAATTGTAAACTCATATACAACAACAAATATGAGCAAAATGAGCAAACATTGACATAATCAAAGGTACAAACAGACAATTCTACAGTAATGGTTGGAGACTTCAGCACACCACAATCAATAATAGATAGAACTGACCTTAAAGAATCAAAAAGAATTATAAGAAAATATTACAAATCACTAGTAAATTAGATAGCCTAGATGAAATTCAGCAATTCTTAGAAACACAAAAATTACCTAACCGACTCAAGAGAAAATAGAAAATCTCAGCAGGACTATAACAACAAATACATTGAATTACAATCCAAAACCTTTGAAAAAAGACATGCTAGGACCAGATGGCTTCACTGGGGAGTTCTACCAAACTCTTAAAGAGAATTGTTATCAGTTCTTCTCAGACTCTTTAAGAAAATGAACAGAAGAGAGGACACAGTCCTTAACCCATTCTATGGGGCCAAAATAGTCCTGATACCAAAGCTAGATGAAGATATCACATGAAAATAAAACTGCACCAATACCTATTTTATACATATACATAAACATTTATTATATATATTATATATATAAATAAAACTGCACCAATAGTCATTATATATGTATGTATATTATATATTATATATATAAATGAAAAAGCTATATATATACTAATCTACAAAAGAACACTAGCAAAAGAAGTGCAACAGTATAGTGAAAGGATAATAACAATGGCCAAGTAAGATTCATCCCAAGAATGCTATGGTAATTACAGATCGAAAATCAATGAATACAATACAACACAATATAGTAAAGGAGGACAAAGCACATATGATAAATCAAAACCAATAGGCATTTGATAAAATCCAACACTCCTTTCTGATAAAAACGCTAGAAAACAACAACGAAAGGGAACTTCCTTAACATGACAAAGCTTATTTATGAAAAATCTACAGCTTACATCATACTCATCATGAAATATGAAAACGTTTAATATCGATAACAAGACAAGGATGTCAATTTTCACCACTGCTCTTAAACGTTCTACTGGAATTCTAGCCAGAGAAATTAGAAAAGAAAAGGAAATAAAAGGCATCCAAATTGGAAAGGAAGAAGCGAAGTGTCTCTATTCACAGATAACATGATCCTACATAGAGAAGTTCCCAAAGAATCGACAAAAAAGCTACTAGAGCTAATCAACACATTCAGCCATGTTAAAGGGTACAAGATCACATATAGAACCAACTGTGTTTCTAAACAGCAACAAAACCTTGTTGAAAAAAATTAAAATGACACAAATAAATGGAAAGACATCCAACATTCACAGATTGGAGGTTTTAATATTGTTGCCATGTTAATACCACCCAAAGCAATGTACAGGTTCAATACAATCTCTGTAAAAATTCCAACAGATTTATTGCCAAAATGAAAAATCTAAACTTCAAATGAATATGAAATTGCCAGGGGCTTTCACTAGACAAAACAATCTTGAAAAAGAACAAAGTTAGTGGACTCACAATTCCAGATTTCAAGACTTACAAAGCTACGGTAATCAAAACACTGTAATATAGACAAATAGACCAATGGGATACAATAGAGATCCAACAAATAAACCCAAACATCTTTGACCAATTGATTTTTGATGAGACTGCCAAATTAAATGAGAAAATAACAGCATCTTCAACAGATGAAGCTGAGACAACTGGATTTTCACATCCAAAAAAACAAAGTTCGAACTCTACCTCACACTATCTACAAAAATTTACTCTAAACAAATCAATTACCTAAAAATAATCACCATTGTCTTGTGCACTGAAACTATACAACCCTTAGAGGAAAACACAGGCGCCAATCTTCGTGACCTTGAATTGGGAAACAGGTTCTTAAAACGACACCAAAAGCACAAGAAACAAAAGCAAAAAATACAATCAGAATCATAAAAATTTTAAAAATTTAATCAAAGTATATTATTAAGAATGTAAAAAGACAATCTACAAAATGGGAAAAAATATTTGCTAATTATATATCTGATAAAGGACTGGTATCCTGAATATATAAACAACTACCAAAAGTCAACACAATTTTAAAACGGGCAAAAATGTTGAGTAGACATTTCTGCAAAGAATATATACAAATGATCAATAAGCACATAAAATAATGCTCAATATCATTCATTATTAGGAAAATGCAAATCAAAACCAAAAACCATAAAAAAATTAAAAAGTTGGAGAAATTGAAACCCTAACACCCTCACAAATTATTCGAAGAAATCTAAAAAGGTGCAGCTATGGTAGAAAACACACTGACACTTCCTCAAAAAAGTAACAAAAAACTCAAAATTAAAACTATCATATGACCTAGCAATTCCACTGCTAGATATATAACCAGAAGAACTGAAAACACACAGTCTCAAACAGATACCCGTACACTGATGTTCAATGCGGCATTGCAGCATTATTTGCAGTGGCCAAAGGTAGAAATAACGAAAGTTTCATCAAAAGATGATGGATAAACAAAATGTGATATATAAAATATCATTATACCATAAGAGGAGGTGAAGATCTGAGGCATACTTCAACATGGGTGAGCCTTGGAGACATTACAATAAGTGGAATAAATTAGACATCAGAGGGCAAATATTGTATGATTCCACTTACATGACATATCTAGAATTGGCATATCATAGAAAAAAGGTAGATCAGAGTCTATTAAAGATAGGGAGAGAGGAGGAATGAGTATTATTTGCTACATGGGTATAGAGTTTGTATTTAGGTCATAAAAAATCTTTAAGTGCTTTTTAAGAAATATTTAAAATAGAGGGTGATGATTGCACAGCATTGTAAGTGTAGTTTACACTATTGGCTTGTACAGTTAAAATGGTTAAAATGTCAAATTTTATGTTATATATTTTCCAAAGTAAAATCTTCTTTAAAAAAATTAGTGTAGATAGCCTCCCTATATAATTTTATATTAAATAAAATAATCAGGTGCTGGGGACTTTTACGTGGTACTATACTTTTACTTTTTTACTTTTACTCTTCTACACAAAAATTTATACCTCATTTGCATTTTTAGACAATTTCATATGTTTCAATACACACCAGTGCACATGATAATTAATTATTAGATCTATAAAAGTCTGTATGAATATATTTTGGAAACATAAAAGTAAAGAAATAAAACTTGAATAATTTTCTGGAACAAGTACAACAGAGTGATTGAATAAATAACCTGAGTTTATGAGTTTATTTTAGAAAAAATAAAAAAAGTGTCCTAAAACATTCCATATATAAGAAAAAGAATATTTTGTGATTTATCTGACAGTTAAAACTTGTATAGAAACTAGCCAGAGAGCTACAAAATTATACATAAAATAAAAAATAAGTTATTTGAGATTTATTTCCATGTGTTACTCCTTTCTAACAGTACTTTATTTCTACAAATTGTTAGAAATATTAGAACTCTTTAGTTCTAAAGATTATTCCAAATTTTAAAAATCATGATTTTAGATTTTCAAAAGAGGAACTTATAGTTTGCAGTCTACTTCCACACCTCATTCAGCTATAACTCTATTGCATTCAAAACACTTTTATTTGAAATTCTTGTGTTTGTTGTGCTTTACAGTATATACTATGCATTAGATGTGCCCTAAGATGTATGTATTTATACTTTCATATTTTTGGCAGCTAGACTACTTCCAAAATTACCCAGGAATGTAGAGTAACAGGAATGATTTAAATGGTTTCCAGTCTATGTCCATTAACATTAGCATTGAGACTTGTTATCATAGATTAGCTAATTCCTGTACCTTATAAATATGCTCAGCTAAAACAAATTTCTCCTGCTTATTTTTAAAATATAATTATGCCACTTTCTGTAGAACTTTATGTTTTTGTAGAACTCTATTTGTTAATGATTATTAATCTTATTTAGTTATGGGTATACACCTATGTTCTGTTAATCTCCTTAATATAAGAATTAAATACCATTTCAGAGGTGGCAGCCAAGATGGCTGCATAGGAACAGCTCCGGTCTACAGCTCCCAGGGTGAGCGACACAGAAGACGGGTGATTTCTGCATTTCCATCTGAGGTACCGGGTTCATCTCACTAGGGAGTGCCAGACAGTGGGCGCAGGTCAGTGGGAAGCGCAAGGGGTCAGGGAGTTCCCTTTCCTAGTCAAAGAAAAGGGTAACAGACCGCACCTGGAAAATCGGGTCACTCCCACCCTAATACTGCGCTTTTCCGACGGGCTTAAAAAACAGCGCACCAAGAGATTATATCTCCCACCTGGCTCGGAGGGTCCTACCCCACGGAGTCTCGCTGATTGCTAGCACAGCAGTCTGAGATCAAACTGCAAGCGGCAGCAAGGCTGGGGGAGGGGCGCCCACCATTGCCCAGGCTTGCTTAGGTAAACAAAGCACCTGGGAAGCTCAAACTGGGTGGAGCCCACCACAGCTCAAGGAGGCCTGCCTGCCTCTGTAGGCTCCACCTCTGGGGGCAGGGCACAGACTAACAAAAAGACAGCAGTAACCTCTGCAGATTTAAATGTCCCTGTCTGACAGAGTTGAAGAGAGCAGTGGTTCTCCCAGCACGCAGCTGGAGATCTGAGAATGGGCAGACTGCCTCCTCAACTGGGTGCCTGACCCCTGACACCTGACCCCAAGCAGCTTAACTGGGAGGCACCCCCCAGTAGAGGCAGACTGACACCTCACACGGCCGGGTACTCCTCTGAGACAAAACTTCCAGAGGAACGAGCAGACACCAGCATTCGCGGTTCATGAAAGTCCGCTCTTCTGCAGCCACCGCTGCTGGTACCCAGGCAAACAGGGTCTGGAGTGGACCTCTAGCAAACTCCAACAGACCTGCAGCTGAGGGTCCTGTCTGTTAGAAAGAAAACTAACAAACAAAAACAACATCCACACCAAAAACCCATCTGTACATCACCATCATCAAAGACCAAAAGTAGATAAAACCACAAAGATGGGGAAAAAACAGAGCAGAAAAACTGGAAACTCTAAAAAGCAGAGCACCTCTCCTTCTCCAAAGGAACGCAGTTGCTCATCAGCAATGGATCAAAGCTGGACGGATAATGACTTTGACGAGTTGAGAGAAGAAGGCTTCAGACGATCAAACTACTCCGAGCTACAGGAGGAAATTCAAACCAAAGGCAAAGAAGTTAAAAACTTTGAAAAAAATTTAGACGAATGTATAACTAGAATAACCAATACAGAGAAGTGCTTAAAGGAGCTGATGGAGCTGAAAGCTAAGGCTCGAGAACTACATGAAGAATGCAGAAGCCTCAGGAGCCGATGTGATCAAATGGAAGAAAGGGTATCAGCCATGGAAGATGAAATGAATGAAATGAAGTGAGAAGGGAAGTTTAGAGAAAAAAGAATAAAAAGAAACCAACAAAGCCTCCAAGAAATATGGGACTATGTGAAAATACCAAATCTATGTCTGAGTGGTGTACCTGAAAGTGATGGGGAGAATGCAACCAAGTTGGAAAACACTCTGCAGGATATTATCCAGGAGAACATCCCCAATCTAGCAAGGCAGGCCAACGTTCAGATTCAGGAAATACAGAGAACGCCACAAAGATACTCCTCGAGAAGAGCAACTCCAAGACACATAATTGTCAGATTCACCAAAATTGAAATGAAGGAAAAAATGTTAAGGGCAGCCAGAGAGAAAGGTCGGGTTACCCACAAAGGGAAGCCCATCAGACTAACAGCGGATCTCTTGGCAGAAACTCTACAAGCCAGAAGAGAGTGGGGGCCAATATTCAACATTCTTAAAGAAAAGAATTTTCAACACAGAATTTCATATCCAGACAAACTAAGCTTCATAAGTGAAGGAGAAATAAAATATTTTACAGACAAGCAAATGCTGAGAGATTTTGTCACCACCAGGCCTGCCCTAAAAGAGCTCCTGAAGGAAGCACTAAACACGGAAAGGAACAACTGGTACCAGCCACTGCAAAACCATGCCAAAATGTAAAGACCATCAAGACTACGAAGAAACTGCATCAACTAATGAGCAAAATAACCAGCTAACATCATAATGACAGGATCAAATTCACACATAACAATATTAACTTTAAATGTAAATGGACTAAATGCTCCAATTAAAAGACATAAACTGGCAAATTGGATAAAGAGTCAAGACCCATCAGTGTGCTGTATTCTGCAAACCCATCTCACGTGCAGAGACACACATAGGCTCAAAATAAAAGGATGGAGGAAGATCTACCAAGCAAATGGAAAACAAAAAAAGGCAGGGGTTGCAATCCTAGTCTCTGATAAAACAGACTTTAAACCAACAAAGATCAAAAGAGACAAAGAAGGCCATTACATAATGGTAAAGGGATCAATTCAACAAGAAGAGCTAACTATCCTAAATATATATGCTCCCAATACAGGAGCACCCAGATTCATAAAGCAAGTCCTGAGTGACCTACAAAGAGACTTAGACTCCAACACAATAATAATGGGAGACTTTAACACCCCACTGTCAACATTAGACAGATCAACGAGACAGAAAGTTAACAAGGATACCCAGGAATTGAACGCAGCTCTGCACCAAGTGGACCTAATAGACATCTACAGAACTCTCCACCCCAAATCAACAGAATATACATTTTTTTCAGCACCACACCACACCTATTCCAAAATTGACCACATAGTTGGAAGTAAAGCTCTCCTCAGCAAATGTAATAATTAATAGCTTACGAACCAAAAAAAAGTCCAGGACCAGATGGATTCACAGCCGAATTCTACCAGAGGTACAAGTAGGAACTGGTACCATTCCTTCTGAAACTATTCCAATCAGTAGAAAAAGAGAGAATCCGCCCTAACTCATTTTATGAGGCCAGCATCATCCTGATACCAAAGCCGGGCAGAGACACAACCAAAAAACAGAATTTTAGACCAATATCCTTGATGAACATTGATGCAAAAATCCTCATTAAAATACTTGCAAACCGAATCCAGCAGCACATCAAAAAGCTTATCCACCATGATCAAGTGGGCTTCATCCCTGGGATGCAAGGCTGGTTCAACAAATGCAAATCAATAAATGTAATCCAGCATATAAACAGAACCAAAGACAAAAACCACATGATTATCTCAATAGATGCAGAAAAGGCCTTTGACAAAATTCAACAACCTTCATGCTAAAAACTCTCAATAAATTAGGTATTGATGGGACGTATCTCCAAATAATAAGAGCTATCTACGACAAACCCACAGCCAATATCATACTGAATGGGCAAAAACTGGAAGCATTCCCTTTGAAAACTGGCACAAGACAGGGATGCGCTCTCTCACCACTCCTATTCAACATAGTGTTGGAAGTTCTGGCCAGGGCAATTAGGCAGGAGAAGGAAATAAAGGGTATTCAATTAGGAAAAGAGGAAGTCAAATTGTCCCTGTTTGCAGATGACATGATTGTATATCTAGAAAACCCCATTGTCTCAGCCCAAAATCTCCTTAAGCTGATAAGCAACTTCAGCAAAGTCTCAGGATACAAAATCAATGTACAAAAATCACAAGCATTCTTATACACCAATAACAGACAAACAGAGAGCCAAACCATGAGTGAACTCCCATTCACAATTGCTTCAAAGAGAATAAAATACCTAGGAATCCAACTTACAAGGGACGTGAAGGACCTCTTCAAGGATAACTACAAACCACTGCTCAATGAAATAAAAGAGGATACAAAGAAATGGAAGAACATTCCATGCTCATGGGTAGGAAGAATCAATATCGTGAAAATGGCCATACTGCCCAAGGTAATTTATAGATTCAATGCCATCCCCATCAAGCTACCAATGACTTTCTTCACAGAATTGGAAAAAACTACTTTAAAGTTCATATGGAACCAAAAAAAAGCCTGCATCGCCAAGTCAATCCTAAGCCAAAAGAACAAAGCTGGAGGCATCACACTACCTGACTTCAAACTATACTACAAGGCTACAGTAACCAAAACAGCATGGTACTGGTACCAAAACAGAGATATAGATCAATGGAACAGAACAGAGCCCTCAGAAATAATGCCACATATCTACAACTATCTGATCTTTGACAAACCTGACAAAAACAAGAAATGGGGAAAGGATTCCCTATTCAATAAATGGTGCTGGGAAAACTGGCTAGCCAAATGTAAAAAGCTGAAACTGGATCCCTTCCTTACACCTTATACAAAAATTAATTCAAGATGTATTAAAGACTTAAATGTTAGACCTAAAACCACAAAAACCCTAGAAGAAAACCTAGGCATTACCATTCAGGACAAAGGCATGGGCAAGGACTTCATGTCTAAAACACCAAAAGCAATGGCAACACAAGACAAAATTGACAAATGGGATCTAATTAAACTAAAGAGCTTCTGCACAGCAAAGGAAACTACCATCAGAGTGAACAGGCAACCTACAAAATGGGAGAAAATTTTTGCAACCTACTCATCTGACAAAGGGCTGATATCCAGAATCTACATTGAACTCAAACAAATTTACAAGAAAAAAACAAACAACCCCATCAAAAAGTGGGCGAAGGACATGAACAGACACTTCTCAAAAGAAGACTTTTATGCAGCCAAAAGACACATGAAAAAATGCTCACCATCACTGGCCATCAGAGAAATGCAAATCAAAACCACAATGAGATAGCATCTCACACCAGTATAGAATGGCGATCATTAAAAAGTCAGGAAACAACAGGTGCTGGAGAGGATGTGGAGAAATAGGAACACGTTTACACTGTTGGTGGGACTGTAAACTAGTTCAACCATTGTGGATGTCAGTGTGGTGATTCCTCAGGGATCTAGAACTAGAAATACCATTTGACCCAGCCATCCCATTACTGGGTATATACCCAAAGGACTATAAATCATGCTGCTATAAAGACACATACACACATGTTTATTGCGGCACTATTCACAATAGCAAAGACTTGGAACCAACCCAAATGTCCAACAATGATAGACTGGATTAAGAAAATGTGGCACATATACACCATGGAATACTATGCAGCCATAAAAAATGATGAGTTCATGTCCTTTGTAGGGACATGGATGAAATTGGAAATCATCATTCTCAGTAAACTATCGCAAGGACAAAAAACCAAACACCACATGTTCTCACTCATAGGTGGGAATTGAACTATGAGAACACATGGATACAGCAAGGGGAACATCACACTCTGGGTACTGTTGTGGGGTGGGGGGAGGGGGGAGGGATAGCATTAGGAGATATACCTAATGCTAAATGACGAGTTAATGGGTGCAGCACACCAGCATGGCACATGTATACATATGTAACAAACCTGCACATTGTGCACATGTACCCTAAAACTTAAAGTATAATAATAATAAAATAAAAAAAAGAATTAAATACCATTTCATAAAAACAATAGATTCTCACGAACCTTGAGAATCAGAGTCTGTGCCTACTTTTCATCATAAACAAAATTAAAAAAAGAAAATGTGTACATTATGGGTGTCTGAGTAATGTTGTTTGATTGAATATATGCATAAATGGAAATTTTGGATTTAGGTGTAGGGGATGCAGGGTAAAGTCTTGAAGTGATTAACTTTCATTTTAACTCACTAACAATTCTGTTCCTTCGAAAACAATAGCATAAATATCCTGAATGAACAAAAAAGTAGATGACAGGACAGGCTATGAACAACACTGCTTTGTTATCACCATCAAGAAAAGAATTAGCCCCAAAGGGGTGGGAGGACTGTAAGAATAAACAGGACAATGTCCTTGAGGAACCAAGATAACTGAAAATGTCACTCTGAGCTGAAATCCAGGAAAGCCATTCCTGTTCTTGATTCTCTCTTTATACATGTATATTAGGAGAAAAGCTGTATACAACAGCAATGTATTTGCAGAGGCAGAATTCACTGTTCAATCCGTCTCTTTTTAATCATCATACACATTTATGTATGCATATGCATACACACCCATAAGCAAAATTGTTCCAGGGTGTTGAAGTTGTCAGAGAATTAGGTAAATTGCCCAATGTCGTGACTACAAAATGTAACTACAAAAATTCAATTCAAACTTGTAACTTCTGTTTCAGTCTTGCATTGTGTATGTCAGGGAGTGTGTGTGTGCGCGTGTGTTTGCCTCTACGTGTGTGCATGCAAACAACTGTGTCTATGTTGTCCGGTGGAGTTACGTTCCTGAGCACGGCTTCCAAATGTTCTAAATGGCTAACGTCTTGAAACCTCTCCTTGGATGACTGGATATTTTTAATAGTCCAAATGTGGAATAATTAACAGATTAACCTGAATTTCTTAAAAGGCAAAGAGTTTTCTAGCTTATTTGACTTGAATTAAAAAAAAAAACTACATATTGGTCTCAATGATAACTATCAGAATTACCAAGGAATAGAGATATAATCTATAATATCTGAGAGAGTCTGAATTCAGTTGGGAGTAACAATGCTCTTATGAATATTTTTATTGAACTTATTGCTTTTGCCATGTATTCTGATAAATGTACGTGTTTTCAAATTTTACACTAATATCTTTTCTATGACAACATGGAAGATTGCTGTGCATAACTGGCCAAACTCACACAGCTGAGGCCTGCTTCACACCAGGGGCAGCTCTTAAATGCTTAGCTTGGATATTGCTTAAATATGACTGCATTCTCCTGTATTAGCCCTCAAAATTAACTCAGTTCTACGTATGCTGGTAGTAAAGCAGATGCATATTCTTTGTTCTTACTCTGAACTTGTGCAAAATTGGAGAAATGTGCACTTAAGGCTTGTAATTATTAAAACCTCTTTTGCCCCGGCTCCCTAGAAAAGCAATGAATCAATTTGGATTCATTATAATATTCCTATCTTGATCATTTTGGAAGTTTTACTAGGAGAAGAGAGCCTTTATCACTTTCTATCCTATACTGAGGCATAAAATTAGTATAAACTTGCTTAAATAGCTGTACTGCTCTCCCAAAGAACTGGGTGCACTGAATCATGGAAGAAATATTTCCAATATTATAAAGCCGCTTGTAATCTCTTAAGGTTTTTGCACGGCCTACATGTAAAAGAGTAGTATTTGTTCTTGCAATAATTATTTCACCACTCACACTTGAAGCAATGGGTACTTTCACAAATCAGGCAATGTGCAAATTCTGTCATAGTAAAACATTTATTTGTTAAAGTGATATAGATTATTCAAGATTCTACAGTCTGTTAAATCATGGATGGCAATGTAAGATGGATTGATACAGAACTTGATGCCAATGTAGGCTTTTTTTCTTTTTTAAAAAAAAAATACTTGTAGGCCAGAAGAAAAAAAAATTTGGTTTTAAAAGAGGATGAACCATGGTCTAATGGAGCCAGTTCCGCCGTCATCAGAGACTTTCACCTTGGCTCCTGTAGACAATTTCTTCTACGACACCAGTTCAACAATTAGCCTTTGTGAATTGAAACATTTTTGAATTTTATCCAGTAAAAATATCAGTGGCAAATTTTTTCAGGAGAGAGAGGAGAAGTGGTGCTCTTCAGATTAACTCCAGCCTCTGAAATGAAAGAAAAAGAAAAAGGAAAAAAAGAAAGAAAGGAAGAAAGAAAGAAAACACATAGCTAATAAGATCATTGTGCTAGCAATCTAAAAGTAACTAAATGTAAGCACCCAAGGAGGAGTTGCTTGCCATGAAATACAGCACACACCCATGAAAACTATCTAAACATGCATATAAACATATAAAATGCTTCTTAGTAACTTCAATTGGTGAATATATAAAAGTATCTTATTTTTTTAATCTAAGTATATGAAGCCTAGATAATTATGTAAAGTCAAAGCTACATTGTAAAATGGCATTTTCTATTGCTTTGTTTTTCACATATATAATTTCAAGGTAAGATAAACAAATAATAATTGCAGTTATTAAAGCATGCTACTTACAAATTTTAAAAATTCTGCTAGAAAATGTGTATGATATTAAAATTTTACAAATATTTAATAATACATTTAATGGTAGTAAATTATTCACCTTAACTAATCAGTTTTTCACCCACAAAACAAAATAAATGGAAAACTTACAATAACTCTTACAGGCATTCCATGTTTGAATTAAACATGATTTTGAAAGAAAATAATGTAAAAGCCATTTTATAAAAATATTTAAACATAAAACTGTGAAAATATTTTTCCTCTAATATGTGTTCTCAGTCTTCATGGATTTAAGATATGTCTAATGAAGTCTATTCTTGATGAAAATGGAAAATAATTTTTTGAGAAATATATGCTTTCATATACATGAGTACAAGTAATTTTCTCTTTTCCATTAAAAAACAACTGCATCTTAACAATTTTTTATTTGGGAATTATAAAATGCATGGCATGAATGAATCATGAAATAGAGATTCATTTATTTAGTATTCTATATTAAAATGTTGATGTAGAATATCTTTAGATAATTTTATGTGATAAAGTTATTAAAGTATATTAAAGGTTATTTTTGGTAACTTTATGTGAAGTTAGGTAAAATGCTGTAAAGATATTTTATTTAAGAAAACATTTCAAAATAATTGATAATCTGAATAGTGAAATTGATTTTAGCAAAAATAATAATTTTGGAAAGCTAATAAGAAATACACCATATATGTGAAGACTGTTAAGGGACCAGTGTGTATCTTATTTGTAAAAAAAGAATTACTTTTTAAAAAGCTACTGAAATATAGATATTATTATCATAATTTACCTGGAATATACTAAGAAAAACATTGCAAAATCACTGTAAAAATGTAATGGTATATATTACTAAATTCTTCTTTATTTGGTTCATTGCAGAGCTCATATTGGTAAAATTGAAAATCAACATGTTTTCTCTTTTTATATTTCAAGTGATATACTCCCTTTGACACAAAAAAGGTGTTATGATACTATATCAAAGGTCAAGTTACAAAAAGTAGTAAAAGTAAAAGTTGCAGTACACCTAGAAGGAAAATGACAGTGGACAAAATAACTAGTTTAAGTTTTTAAGTAATAAATGGTTCCAGGATAGCAAACTTTAATTTAGTATCAAGTTAATGATTTTGTAAGCTGACATATCTTAAAGATTTACTAGAGTTTCACATTAACTAATCATATTAACAAACTGTAAAATTATGGTTTATATTTGAACAGTAGGAAATAAAAATTTTGTGAACTAAGAAGTTTGTCTGCTCTGAAGATGTAGCAATATTAAAATTATTAAATAATATGAAGCCAAATAAAAACTGGCATTTAATAGAATATCCAAAATGACACTTTTTAATTTACTTATCAATAGATAGCTCCTATAGTAATTCCATAAATACCTAAACATAAAACACAAAATTACAAGAGTATCAAACAATACAAATAATACAGACTAAATATGGTAAAAATGTTACAAAAACTAAAAATAATCAAGTTGTAGTAGGTTTAGGATGTTTTGGTTATTGTCCTCATTTAAGAGTGAGTGGATATCATGCAAAAATCTGTGGACAGTCTTATTAACAGTACTAAAAGATAAATAAGAAATGCAAGCTCCCTGAACATTAAGAGAAGAAAAAAAATCCTGACATTAAATGAATTGTGGGAAAAGATTTATTACTGCCCCTATTCTCAATGTAATTAAGAACTGTGAAATATTTTGATCTTTTATAGCTAGGATGTCTAAGCAAGGAGATGATTTCTAAAGGTCATTGCTGACCCAAAGGCTCTCCTTTTTTAAAATTTGTTATAATGTTCAAATATATATGTTAAAAACATGCTTTAATTATTATAAAAACAGCCAAATGTTTCCTACATATGTGTTTATTCTATTACTCTTATTTCAGAAAATTTACTTGAAAAGAATATCATAGGAACCTCCTCCTGCAGAAGCAAATATTTTACATTGATCACACTCACCTGGAAACAAATTGGAAGCATATTTGCATCATGTGTATAAAATTTGCTTTTCTCTTTGGCTCTTATTTCATGTATTTTCCTAACCCTGTGTTTTCCCATAGTTTTATCAGTGTTGTTATGTATTCATAATCAATATTAGCTTTTAATTTGTATATTAATTATCTAAAAAATTGTACTCATCTGTAACAGAGATTTTATTGCAAAGTTTACACTTTTGCTTGTTATTAAATGTGGACTAATCGCAAGTTAAATTTATTAAAATCAAGAAGCAATTATCTTAAAGGCCTGTGCAAGCAATCACAGAATAAGCTATAGCTCTTGTGCAAAGCTACACACACACACACACACACACACACACACACACAATGCATACATATTTTATTGGTCAGAAAACAGCAAACAGTTCTTAAGAAATTTTATTTAAGGCATTTTCAGTATAAATGGAAACTACTCAACTATTTCTTACTTAACTGCCGAACAGCATAACTATTGTTTTACTGTGTTCCTTGTAAAGATAAAAATCTTGGCCAAACACAAGGAAAATTTATAGGTAAGTGTCAATTTCCACGTAGAGTTATCAGCATTAATTTTATACGTAATTCCTTTCCCCTTTCCTCTCAATTCATTTTAGTGTGATTAAAATTTTATGATTATATTATAAAAGAATTGTATTATATATTAGATATTAAAATATTTCAAGGCCACTCAACTTTTATATACATTCCTAAAGGCTTCTAAAAAAGAAAATTGGCATGGGGCATATTCTGAATAATGGAAATGAAATAAGTGTTTTAACTCTCTATGCTTAGAAAAAAATTCACCTTAACAGGTACCTCAGTATGACTGGCTACGGAAAACTCGGAGCTGAAGAGTTGCAATCACAAAGGGTCTCTGCCCGCTCTCCACCTCTGTTCATTCACACACTGACAATGTGAAAGGCTATGACAAAGCTAAGAACACACAGGTCACACACTGTCTTCAGTAGGGGCATCACTGTTTGGTCTTCTCACAGTGGTAGACATAGGCCTGCTATAGCACAAATCATTTACCGAGAATCAAGAATAGTTACCTTGGGGTCATACAGTAACTTAAATCTGATAATAGAAAGGTAGCAAGGAGCTGGCTAATAAGTGAGTGATGTATGGCCACTGAATTTTGTTAAAACTATTATTTGTCTTTGGATTTGTTTTACTTGCTAATATTTATAGAAAGAGGAACAAGGTAGCTTAAGTATGAAGGGAAGTTTTCTATAATATATGACAGTCATTTATTTTTAATGATATTTTCTTATTTTTTGTAATACTAATTACTTTAAGATAAAAAGTTATTATTCAAAGCCTTATATATGTATCACATTTGCAAAATTTTGTGCTATATCTCTTAGTACAAAGACTTCCAAAGAAAGTCTAAATTCCATTTATAATAATATACTAAAATAAATACATAAGCAAAATAATATACAATATTCCATTTCAAATGTGAATCTTTCAAAAATTCTTTAAATTGGTAATTGAAAACTTACGTAGACATTTACTCGCCTGCTTCCAAATTTTGAAACAACATTTAGTACCATTTTGGCTTGTGTTCCTTATAGATTAATCATCTGTTTCCTAATTATTATATAAAGGTATCCTATCCTAAATTTCAGGTTGGCTGGATATGATTTATTAAAGTTACATGATAAATGAACTTTAAAAATGAAAGAGAGAAAGAGAAGGAGAGGCAAAGAGGGAGAGAGAGTGATGGGTAGAGAGAGAGAGATGGAAAGAGAAATAAGAAGAAATGTTAAAATTGAGAGAGAGAACAAAAGGGGTGATGGAGAAACAAGACACCTTCATGCAGGTCAATTCACTGCATACAATAGAACACAAACATGTGCCAGACATTGTGCTATTGATTGTTTCAGTATTTCCAATGAGCCATCTGCTGTTTTTTGCAACATAAGAATGGGATTCTAAATTCAGTAAAGAAATGATGCATGAAAACATTTTGATTTGTGGATAGAATTCATTAGGGAAGATCCTGAAAGATTGACAAAGTTGTTTTTCTTTTAAATATAAAATGTTAAAAACCAAGACCCTATTTTTACTACCAGCAAATAAATCAATGGCCTTTTTTAGAACTGTTAAAAGCAGAATTTTTGTGTGTGTGCCAAACCTCAAGCAAATGGCTGATGCTTCCAGCTGTTTGAACAGATTGCTAAAGTGCTTCTCTGCTCTGGAAACACACTCTCTGATCCAATTAAAATTCAAGAATCAAATACTCATTTCAAACATCCCCCCTAAAAAAACCACTCAAGAAGAATAATTGGTTGCTGACAAAAGTAATACCATGAATATTTCATATGTAGTCTTTTGCTCCATTTTAAAGAGGCTTCATTCATTTTAGATAACAGTGAAACACTTCTGTTCATCTGTTTTCAAAGAGGCATAATGTGTCATCTCAGCTCTAATTAGGATGTGGAGGTCAAGGATAGGAGTAAATACATTCTTATCAAGGTACTGTCTTCACATTTGGAAATATTTGTAAAAATGCACATTGTATCATGTATGACTACAAGAGTGACTCCAAAGTTGCATGCATCACTATTATTAACTTCATTTCTTACAGGACAAAGCAGAGATGTTTAGTTAACCCCAAATATCTCTAAATTTAGAAACTGTGAATTCACTTAATCAAACTAAACTTCAATCTTCACTGTTGAGAATTATAAGTAAATTTTAAAAGAAAATTTCAACAAGCTACATAAATTAGCAAACTAATTACTTAAAGTTAATTTATAAAAAGTGTATACCCATTTAAGTGTTGAAGTAAGTTATAGGTAATAAGAATCTCACCTGTGTTTCCTGGACAATCTGGTCAACATTAGTCAGCAAAGCATCTGGGAATAAAATGTTCAGTGTCATAAACAATTCATTTTTTTAAAAGAAATAGATTCAAAAAACCTCTTACTGAAATCTTGGTAATACTTCATATCAAGAATTAACAAAGATTTATCTAAAGATTTTTTTTAAAAAACTTACCAGTTCATGGGTTAATTGCAATTGACTTTTATAATATTTCAGTTCTCTATGTCTACTTTCTTATTCCTAATGCTTAAAAACATAATATTCTAAAATGTTATTCTAATAACTAAAATGAGTGATTTTCAATATGCATTTGGTATTCGTGACAGAGTTCAATAAGATAATCGAGTTTCTGTTCATTTTCTTACTCACAGTTGACATTTCATCTATATAGATTCATCAGAATAATATGCAAAATTACATCAAGGAAAAAAGAATTCAAAGCAGAAAATATAGTTTAACTATGTTCACCATATGGAGTACAAAAGAATCACTTAAAATATTAACCATCATTCAATACCTACTCCCCAAATAATAGCTAATATTTTAACAAGTACCTGTTTGTCCCTATGTAAGACACTAACATTCTAAATACGAACAACCTTCCTTTAAATGTTTATATGTAGGTTCCAATTGCCTATAAAAGTTTAATACCATTACATAAACCTGTGCAGCACACATTCTATTTTTTTCCAAAATGCCTTCCTTTTAAGCAAATACGTTTAATCATTGAGAAGTGACACATGATAGAAAACTAGGAGTAAAGGATAAGTCCTTCTTAGGATTCACAGGTGAGTGTCACGAGATTGAGACAAATTGTTTTTTACAAAACTTTCAGCACAAATATTCATGTAAATATACAATGGTCTTTGGAGATTAGATTTTACATAAAATCAATAATAGGAGATGTTCACATTATAGATGAAAAAAAGAATACAAAATTGTATTATGGTAGAGCCAATAGCCAACACGGTATATTTCATAAGCTCCTTGATTTTACTCAAATATTTATTTATTAGACATATTCTAGAGCAGAAACATAATATGTACATAGCCTATGTGTCAGGTAAGGTTATATGTTCAACCACTTCCAAGCACAAGTACATTAAATGAAAGGGCCGTCATGGCTTATTCCTTAATGAATTTGAAAATATTTCGTTTTTGTTTTCAGACATCATGAACATAACAGTCACCAAGTTTGAAATGGATGAAATTAGGTTGTAGAGATGGTTATAATTAAAAAATGCAGAAAATTAAATTTGTACTTTATATTCTATTGTTATCTGATAAGTAACAGTTATAATTTTTACAGTTTTTCTGGGAGTTCTCTGACAGCCAGTCCATTTAAATCTATGTTTTCATAGTAATTAAAATTAATCTATATTGCAGGACACAAAATTATGATTTTAGCTGGTTAATGTTATGAGTATAAATATTTATATGTCTATATAATACATATATAGGCAGATATTTGTTGAGCACATATATATTTATACAAATGTATGTGATGTATATATTTATTCAATGTTAACTTTAGATCCTAAATTTTGACTTTGAAAGTGCTGAACATAATCAGAAGACAATCATTCTAAGTGTACCATTACACTTACCAGAGAAATCAGTGATTATTTTGTTATATTCACTGTTTGTGTAATTTGATGAAATCCCCAATGCATTAACAGTACCTTAGTGAGGTAATTTACTACTTAAATATACTCCTGGTTATAAATTGTTACTTTCTATATCCCTCTTCAAGATAACACCACATTTTTAGGATGGCTCAATCAAAACAATATGCTTACCACTCTATTTTTTAATATTTATTTATTTATTTATTTATTTATTTATTTATTTATTTATTTTGACAGAGTCTCACTCTGTCACCAGGCTGGAGTTCAGTGGCACGATCTTGGCTCACTGCAACCTCCGACTCCAGGGTTCAAGTGATTCTCCTGCCTCAGCCTCCCGAGTAGCTGGTATTACAGGTGCGCGCCACCACACCCAGCTAATTTTTTGTATTTTTAGTAGAGATAGGGTTTCACCACGTTGGCCAGGATGGTCTCGATCTCCTGACCTCGTGATCTGCCTGCCTTGGCATCCCAAAGTGCTGGGATTACAGGTGTGAGCCACTGAGCCCGGCCTACCACTCTTTTTAAGTGGCCTTCTGTACCCTGCTACATGAATTGATTGTTTCTGTGGAAAAACATAATAATAAATAAACAAATAATAAAGATGTGAACAAACTAATTTTATTAATAATCCCAGCGTATATTTATCTAGCATGGGAAGAAAAAGACTGGGCAATCTGTCCTTTGAAAGTAAAAATTCAAATATTAATTTTGATTATTCTTTTCTGAATGCCATTTCAAAAATGACATATTTCTTGTATATAAATTTACTTAAATATCACTAACATTGTAAGGTACAGTGTTATTATTAGCAACATAAAAGGATAAGAAAAATATCCTTTTCACATACAATCCACCTCTGTGCAGAAGTCCTTTCCTCAAAACACTTCACACTCACACAGAAGCATACATTGTTAATCACTGGACTGTTCTTGAAACAAGGGAAGGCTGAACAAGGAAAGATCGTAGATAGTCTTCATTCTGTCTAATGTAAATGAACAGTTTTCTTAGCATGATAAAATCCAATTGGAAATCAACTATGCTGAGAAGACAATGACTTGCATTTGCTGTCTTCTTAAGAAATGTCTAATTTGCTTCACAATTCTACCCAAAAGATGATACTTTATATTTATGGATTTTTAAACTATTGGAATTTTAAAAAATCTTATATTTATTGCTATAATGAAAGAGAAAAACTTAAATTTAAGAGCTAAAAGGCAAATAGTGTAAATTTTAGGGCAACTTTTAAAGTTTTTAGCTTTATAAATGATATATTTTCTTTTCAAAAATACAAGCAAATAAAATAATAAAATTTATTGGATGCAAGTAGTTTAAATTGAAGAGAAAATACATTACAAAACTAAAAGAAAAAGATGTCTGGAGACAAATGGATCACATTTATGTTTTTTAATTGTTTATAAATTTGTGGAGAAAGTATGCATCTTTCAAAGATTAGACTTGTTATGTTTAGAGATTTCTTAGAATGGTTCAAAACTTCTATTCCAAAATTTTAAGTAAAATATATCTACAAAGCAGGTAAAAACCCACTGTTTTAAAGCATGAAACAGCTTACAGAGACCCCCACTGACTCCTTTAATGGTTAGGAAAAAAAAAAAAGGGGAAATAAATTGGCCACAGTTTGAGTGTTACTGTGTCTAATTTATTTATTCATTTATTTACTTTTTTTTTCTTCTCTTTTGAGACAGAGTCTCTCTCTGTCACCCAGGCTGGAGTGCAGTGGTGGGATGTCAGTTCACTGCCACCTCCACCTCCCAGGCTCAAGCGATTTTCCCACCTCAGCCTCCTGAGTAGCTGGGACTACAGATTCCTACCATGCCCCCAGCTAATTTTTTTGTGTTTTTACTAGTGACAGGGTTTCACCACGTTGGCCTGACTGGTCTCTAACTCCTGACCTCAAGTGATCTGCCCATCTTGGGCCCCCAGAGTGCTGGGATTACAGTGTGAGCCCCCGTGCCCAGCCACTGTGTCTACTTTAAATTGCTGTATTTAATCTTTTTATGTATTTATATATTTGTAGACTAACATAAATAATATCCATCAAACTAAAATATACTGCTTCTTAAAATTTGGGGCTACGTTAGATGCTTCATTATCCCTTTATGACACTACTGTAATAATAATTTTATATTTTCAATTGGGGGACAATTATTCAAAAGGGACAAAAATAATGCAGGAACACAATTTTAAAAAAAGTTTGAAGTAAACATCGTTAATACATGCATAACAGGAAACACATTATTTTGTTTGTTCTCACATTGAACAAGCTGAAACTATAATGCAAAATGACAAAAATAAAAGAAAAATAAGAACGAGGAAGCAAAAATAATATATATGTATATATAATCTTCATATAGTCAGAAACAACAAACAGCAAACCAGATGCTTCAGATCACATATATATGACTGTTTAAATGAGGAATAAAATAATAAATGACAGAAAGCAAAACAAGAAAAGGACAGAGAATTTGTTGCTTATGGTAATATAATATTTAGATAACAAATCTGTATTGTACTAACAAATGAAAATTCTTATTTCCACACCTTACTCCATGGCCATATTTACCTATTCATTTACTCATTCATTCATCTAAGCAACAATTATGTTTCAGACATCATGATAGGTAATATCATTCCCACCTTTTCTGTAGACTTACTTTTCAGTCACTTCACACTGCAATTACTTGAAGCAAAAATTTCTTCATATGTTTATAAACAAATACAAAAAAATTTTGACCTTCTTGATAAGCCAGTCTTTTGTTAATCTCTTAAAATATAGACTTTTTGAAGGGCAAAATCTCAGGCCAGATACTCACCTTTCTATCATTTTTAAGAACAAGTGTTCAAGCATTTGGTTTAAATATTGTAAAAATGATCATATTAAAAATATATTAAATCACATTAAATTATTTTCAATGGTGTTAGTCAAACAAAATAAATCTCATATGATTAAATATGGAATTTTAAATGTCTATGAGAAATGAAAGATATTTAATCAAACTTTATTAGAAACATAAGTAGGCAATTGATTTTTAAAAATACTGGAAAATACTAAGTTCATCAGTAACTTATAGTACATATGTTAACCTTGCTAATGTTGCATGATTTCAGAGCATCCTTATCTTTGATCACAACCTTCATAATCCCAGAAAGTCTTTGAAGATTCATTTCTTTAAGTCTTGCAAGCTTTTGTATGTTCAATATTTTTAATACTATGCTGATAAATCTAAGAAGAGAAAAAGTAGTATGCTTCTGCAAATCAACACCTATTGAGGAATTAGGCAATTGATGTTAATTAAAAATATTTAGTTGGAATTAGAGCATTACTACATTAATAGTACTGAAAATATATTTCACTCTGAGTGCTGCTTTTGATTTCGCAAACTACGACCACATGTGACCTCATCTATTCCTTACACGAAATAAATAACTGGGCAGTGAAGGATAATTAGACTTTGCAAATGTGAAAAGTAAACTTTTTAGAAAGAGAATCAGGGCAGAGAAGGGATTTAGCAAACGCCTAAAATAAAAAAGCCCATTGGATAATTATTTTCAAGACTGGCACTGAAAGTAATCTCTAACTACTTTAATCTTACATACTATTGAATGGCATCATGATACATTGTGTATCAGAAGATGTGGCTTTGTCAAGTTAACAGTAACTGAAATTGTTGTATATGCTTCTACCAGAAGGAAATTAACGATTCCACATTCCTCACTTGTGTCTTAAGTGGTATTTCAACTGATCTGAAAAAGTTAATAAACTTTTACTGTGTGTTTAACTTACTCCCAAAGAGTACTTGACATAAGATAGTAAAGTACCTATCTTATGATATTATGGCTAAAATGTCATTTCTTTTGTGCAAAGCAATGGGTCAGTTCTCAGGTGAGCCTTATTCTCAAAACAAAACAAAATAAAACCTCTTTGATGGTAACTGTTTATAGATCTTTAATAGAACACCATCAAATTATTATATAATTAAGTTTTTCAAGGAGTGAATAGAAACATTTATCTATAGACCTTAATTTCAGTAAATTTCTAATAATTCCATATTATCCAGGAGCAACATTAGTTTCTACTAAATTTAAAATCCTGTTTTAAAAAATTATGTATTCTCACTAAGCAGCATGATTTCTAGTTAGATTTATCACAGTTTTTGGTTAAAATAGCAAATGCATTTACTTTAAAAGGAAAACATTCAAATGCAAAAACTATAGTGCAAATGGGAAAAAAAAAATCCACTATCTGCTTAATGAGCAATGACTTTTATGACTTATAAATATAATGAGAACACCATTAGAAGTTTTTAAATTTTACTTGGTGATAAAAATAAACACCCCTTTGATAAAGGCAGTCTTGTATGTTTGTCTCCCTCTTTATCTTGTATTAAGAACAACATAAAACTCATTCATTCAAAAAATGTGTATTAAATGAATGAAAACATCTTCATATGTCCATGTAGATGCATAGGAATTTGTAGCCTGTGACTGAAAACTGATTAGAGTTTTCATAAATGCGAAATAAATTGCACTTTCTTCTTTCCACTGAAAAAGGTGTATCATAGAGGAGAAATATCTTACAACCATTAAGGCACCTGCACCAAGGATGTTGTTTAGAAGTGAACTAATTTTAACATTAACTCGGTATACTAATTGAATATTGTATTTTAAATAATTTAGCAACATGAAGTTGTTCTCTACAACATTTCCCTAAAAACAAAGGAAACACTATTACCATTGAAAGAAAATATACAGTCTACTTATTAAAAATATCAATTATCCATAGGTGGCCCTTTGTAAAATTAGAGAAATATCATTTTTTATGCAATACTTTTTTCTACAACAATTTTCATTTTTTTAATCTGCTGTTGCTAGTCCTAGGAGTTGGTCCTAGAATAGGGAAAGGCACTGCTGCTATGTCATGCTTTTTCCCTTATCCATTTTATTTATGTTTCCTTCCAGTATACATATACATACATACATATATATAGTTATATATGTGTATATATATATACTGTACCTGAGAAGGTTGATTTATACACAGCATTGGAATTGCAAATTCCAATCTTCTATGTGAGTTCTCAAAATGATTTTTCATGAAAAAGAAATTATAAATTACACAGAGCTTTCCAGTAGTCCCTCAGAATTTGAGAGTTGCCTTTCCACTATGACCATCAGAACAGTCAGACTGAATAAACATCACATTCATAGACATGCTTCTTTTAGGAAACAGTCCACATGTGTTCGGCGAGTTAATATAACAATAGTATTCCTTTAATTCTCCATTGAGGGAGTACTTGTGCCTTGCTCCGGATCTCTCAGCAGGCAAAGTGATAAACTTACTTGGCTTTATATGTGCTCTTTTAGACGTGGGCCCCTCTGTGACAGAATCGGGAGGACGGCTAGCTAACTGCAAGGCAGTTGAGTTGTTCCTGTTAGTGTTTTGGGATTCAACATTTGTGACGGCTTCATTCTGTGGTTCTGTACTTGGCTTTGTGCCAGTCTTTCTTTTCTGCTTTTGGGACACAGAAGTGCTTGAAGTCCAGGAAGGAGGCAAAGCAGAGGTAGTGGTAGAGGAGTCCTGACTCGAACAAGTTTCTGAAGATTGAATCACATTGTCACTGGTAGCTTTACAACACTGGGCATTCTCTTCGTGTCCCACAGCTTGTTTGGACACGGACTGGGGCAGCGTTACACTACAGCCTTGTATTTGAGCCCCGTTAGTTTGGGAATAAACATTGCTAACCTTGGTGACCTTGTGTTGCCCATTATTGTTGCAAACCTTATACCGGATCATCAGAATAATGATGAATACCAGCACAGATGCTACAATGATTCCACCAATAATAATAATCATGGTGCCTCCCAAAAACTGAGACTGCATGAAATGGCAACGCACATAATCCTGTTCCGTAGTAAACTGGATGCAACCCACGACTCTTGTGGCAGTGAGGGAAGTGATGCCATCATCATATATGGCCAAGACACACAAGTCATACATAGTTCCAGCAGCCAGATTATTGACCAGAAAAGTTTTGCTCGTAGGAGGTATCATTCTGAGGGACAATGGAATTTGTGTTAATATTAATAACAAAACAAAACACATACACAGAAAGTCATTATGACTTTAGTTCAGTGTCATTTCAGTATCATTAAGTACATTTATAACATATGAATTATTGAAAAATGATCTAATCTCATATTTACTGAGTTAAAATGGCTAAAAGTCCTTGTCAGCATCTGCACTATATTAATCGTGCCTACCCCAAGCCTTCACAAGCTTACTAATTACATTGCTTAGCAAAGGAGAACTCCTAATAAAAAACACTGCTAAAAAAACATTGATGACAAATTACTTTTGAAAGGTGTGACTGTGACATTATCTGACTGCTAAACAAATCCATTTAGCACTTACAATACCTCTATGACTAAAAGCAAATTTGAAGGAAGGAAAAATGTTGACAATCACATTAGAAATCAAAATAGATACGCATTTTAGAGCATTTATTTTCCATTTCAGAAAAATGAAATGGCACCCAGTAAATATATACTTAATAACTAAGATTATTACTAAGATTAAAGTTTTTTTTTTTTTTTTTGAGACGGAGTCTCGCTCTGTCGCCCAGGCTGGAGTGCAGTGGCGCAATCTCGGCTCAATGAAAGCTCCGCCTCCCGGGTTCACGCCATTCTCCTGCCTCAGCCTGCCGAGTAGCTGGGACTACAGGCGCCCGCCACCACGCCCGGCTAATTTTTTGTATTTTTAGTAGAGGCGGGGTTTCACTGTGTTAGCCAGGATGGTCTCGATCTCCTGACCTCATGATCCGCCCGCCTCTGCCTCCCAAAGTGCTGGGATTACAGGCGTGAGCCACCGCGCCCGGCCTGATTAAAGTATTTTCTTTACAAATATAATCCTTTTTTAATGCAGTCAACACTTGGACTGCGTTATGTTTTTATCTATACATGAGGATAATGAAAATATACAAGTAATATTATCCTAGAAACATGAACAAGGCAAGGCTATTGACCAGAGCATAAATCCCTCATCCCGTTGTATGCTACCGCAAATTTCCATCAGAGCACAATTTATAAAGTGCAAGAGTTTAGACAGTGCCTAAATCTAATATCACCTAATTCCAGTGATACTTTCACTGCGGTGGCTCATGCCTGTAATCCCAGCACTTTGGGAGGCCAAGGCAGGTGGATCAACTGAGGTCAGGAGTTTGAGACCAGCCTGACCGATACGGTGAAACACCGTCTCTAATAAAAATATAAAAATTAGCTGGGAGTGGTGGCGGGCACCTGTAGTCCCAGCTACTGGGCAGGCTGAGACAGGAGAATTGCTTGAACCCAGGAGGCAGAGGTTGCAGTGAGCCGAGATTGTGCCACTTCACTCAAGCCTGGGAGACACAGCAAGACCTTATCTCAAAATAAATAAATAAAGAGTTTATAGACATCTCTGAATCTACTACATTCTAAAAGTTCCTTGTTGATATCTATTTTCTTCTGTTCCTTCAGTTGCAACTGAATATGACCTAATTTATAATTAAATAACAGGCATTACTAAACATTTTGTATACATTAAAATTTAATCTTTACAATGACCTTATGAGACAGGCATTATCACTATTTTACAAATGACAAAAAGGGTCAGGGATTCCAGAAATTTCCTCAAGATTAAACAGAATTTTACTTGTCATTGCAGGATTAAGATCCTGGAATTTGGAAAATAAAATCTGGCTTATTTCACAGAGCTAATGTTTAAAATATATAGAATATCCAATAGCTACAAAAAAGTGTGGGGTGGGGAGGGGTATTTGTCATTGACAGTAGTCCATGAGTTATGTGAAGAGCCTGGTATGACAAGAGCAAATTACTTTAAGTTAATATAGATGTATCATAGTCCATGTCCCCATATATTTAGTGATGAAGGGATATTAGAGACCTTTAGTCTAATTTCTCCCTTGTAATGACGAGGAATTGAAACTCAGCCATATAGAATACTGCTCTGAGCTGATCACATGACTAGATAGGATAGGTTTAATTTTGCCTATTAGTCCATGCTTTAAAAAAAAATTACTCTCATTTCCATACAGGAATGAAAATCAATTATATTGAATAATTCACCTGGGTACATAGGAACTGATCTGATCTGATTTCTGAATATCTTAAACAGAATATATATATATATATAGAGACATATATATATAGACATATATATATATGGCTTTGAAATATCTATATGTGTGTATATATATACACACATGTATATATACATGTGTATATATACACACACATATATATATGTGTATACATACACACATATACATACACACATATGTGTATATATATATATAAAATGCAAAGCCATGGTTTTGCATCATTTCCTAGGGCATAGTAAGCCTCTCACAAAGTGAAATTATATGAAAGGGTAAAAATATGTCTTTTTAACTGAAAATTGGATAAGATGTGACTATAAATCAATGAGGCTGAACTTTAGAAAAACATACCAGAAATTGTTTAGTAGATGCAAATTCTCCATCATCATCCTTACTTGGATATTACATACCTAATTCCAGTGATACTTTCACTGCTCAAATTATTTATAAGGTTTCTTTTTGGAACTGTCTTAGAACCAGTACACATGAGACAACACAACCACACAGACACACGCACACATACCCCTTAATCACTCAAAGAATCAGTCTCATTATTTTATAGTTACATCCTATTTTTGACCAAAAATGGCAATACCCATCTTGATCACCCACCTTATTCACAAGACTTGACTCCAAATGGCTTTTGCTTGTTTCCAAAATTCAAATTCACCCTCAAAAGACGAAGATTTGCCACCACTGAGGATATTCAAAATAGTATGACGAAGGTTCTAAAGATAATTCCAAAAGTGCTTTGAGCAATGGCAGCATCATTGGGATAATGGTATAGCCTCCCAACGTGGCTTCCTTGAAGGAAAGAACACTCATGTGTGTGTAAGTTCTGGTATGTTTTTGAATTTTTATAATAAATCAGTGTTGTTCTCTGATAGTCACATCTCTTAGATGAGGGGGAAAAAAGTAAGTAAGCATAATATTAAATATAAATTGAACTCTCTAAAAAAATACCATTCAAAATATCTCCCCACTTGTATTACCACCTTTTTCAAAGCTTACACTATGCACTTTAAAATATGGAATTACAACACAGAACAGCACTGCCAATTAAAAAAAATCAGTAGTACATTAACAAATTCTACACTAAGATGCATGGTAAGTATACAAATTTGCTCAATTTTTCTTACCTGTAAACAAGGGTGTCATCATAAGTACCATTGTACTGGATTTGAAACATACGTATTCCAGGGATATTTCTTTGAAAATTAAATTTAAGTAGTGCCGTTGATGATGTAGCTTCTGCCACCACAATTTTATCTTGACTCAATTTAGTATCACCATTACTACTGCTTGTATTAGAACCTGACTTGGTAGAAGTTGAGATATCTGAAGAACCAGGATCAGGCTCATGGATATGGTTTGTACTATTTAGTAAGTGAGGGAGCTTAATTATATGAAGATCCACTATTTGTGTTGCTTCCCCAGCAGGATTGGAAGCAATGCAGGTAAAAGCACCTGTATCCTTTACAGTTGTGATAAGAATGTCAAGTGTTCCGTTATCATACACCAGAGATCTTGTTGCATTTGAAATAAGCTTCCCTTCAGGAGAAATCCAGTGAATTGCAGGCTCAGGGTCTCCCCTGGCTTTGCACCTCAGTGTTGCCCTTTGTCCCTCCAGGACTCTCATCTCATGTGTATGACGAGTAATGAGAGGAGGCTCACACAAAAACTCTTCTTCAGGAATTGACCAAAAGTAGCGGCCAGTTAAAAGTGGAGGAGAAGCACAGGTCTCTAAGTCATCTTCTCTGGACAGACGCCTCAACCACAACAATTCACAATTGCAATGCAAGGGGTTTCCACCAAAACTTAATGCAAAAGTAGATGGGCTTATGATTCCTGAGGTTGCTAGTACCTGAGCTCGCTGAAAGAGAGGGTCAGGTGGTAGCTTCTGCAATTTATTTGATGTCACATCTAACCGAGTCATCTTGTGCAAATGGGAGAAGGTCCCCTTAGGAATGTTATCAATCATATTGTGATCCAAACTAAGGGTATGCAAGCTAACCATCTTCTCAACAGCATCCCAAGGAATGGTTTCTAGATTATTATAGGACAGATCCAGCTCCTCAAGGGCGAAGACATCATCAAACGCTGTAGAGGAAATTAAAGTCAGCTGATTGTTGTTCAGTATCAAATGATGAAGATTGGAAAGACCACTGAACATATCATTTGTAATTTTAGTCAATCTGTTGCTATTCAAATGCAAAGCCCTCAAATTTCGTAGGTCAGCGAAAGCATGAGGTGTAATAAAACTTATTGTATTCCTGGATAGAGTCAGGTCCACCAAGCTGGTCATATTGGCAAAATCTTTCCTTTTAATATTTGTAACAAAATTGTCTGCCAACCGCAGTTCCACAGTTCTTCTGTCAATGTTTGGTGGAACAAATAAAAGCCCTTTCTTGGCACAAAGGGTTGCAAGATTAGGAGACAAAATCTGACAGACACAACGCTTTGGACAGATCTGAGCTTTCACTGCTATGCCAATGAGAAACAGATAAAAAAGAATTTTTTCCATTGTAGATCAGGTTTAAGAGCCTGTAACGGAAGACACAAAATAGAATGTTAGCATCCAGTGATTTAATTCATATTCATATTCCTACTAGAATAATATTTGTATGCAATCTAGAATAGAGAAATAATTTCACTTGTTTGCTTAACAAGTATTAATATTTATTCTGTAGTAAAGGCTATAATGGGCACTAGGGAGGAATAACATACCATTGATAGTTTCATGGGATTTAAAATCAAGTAGGAAAAACAAAGCAGTCAAAAGTTTATTATAACTCTGCAAATTAAGCGCCATTTTTTAAGTATGTCCAGGGTACTCCATGGGTGAACCAAAAGAGATATACAGCCGAGATTGTAGGCCTGGGGGTTCAGGAAAACATACCCTAGACCCTGAAGGACATCTTGTTACATAAAGATATTTAAAAAATTAGAGGCATATTTGAAGATTTGTAAGTAGGTCAATTCAGTAGCCTAAACAGAAACAATAAAATACAATATTTGTTAGCTTGCAGCATGACCTTTGAAGATAACAAATTCTTGATTAATTTTTTTCTTCTTTACAAACTATCTTGACATAGATCAACCTTCACTATTTTTTTTTTTTTTTTTTTTTGAGACGAGCCTTGCTTTGTTGCCCAGGCTGCAGTGCAGTGGCGTGATCTTGGCTCACCGTAACTTCCACCTCCCAGGTTCAAGCGATTACTGATGACCATTTGGCCTCCCTGAGTAGCTAGGATTACAGGCGCCCAACACCACGCCCAGCTAATTTTTGTATTTTTAGTAGAGACAGGGTTTGTCATGTTGGGCTGGCTGGTTTCGAACTCCTGACCTCAGGTGATCCGCCCGCTTCAGCCTCCCAAAGTGCTGAGATTACAGGCATGAGCCACTGTGCCCGGCCAATCTTCACATCTTAACTGAAAATACAAAAATCTTATTCTCAAAAAATAACAAGGTTGAATGTTTATCACAATAGCTCCGAGTTCCCTAAATATTAAAATATTTTATTGGTTAAAAATGTGGATTTTTAAAGATAATTTCTGGGAAGCAGCCGTCAGTGCTTTCACTTAACAGTATGTTCAACAAGATATTATATTCTGTTTTCCTTCTTTTACAATCTTAACGAATGTATATTTATCCAAATTTTATTTTAAATAAACACTTTGACAATTTTCATTTTTCTGTTTGATCTTGAGTATATGCTATTGAAATCAATTCTCAAAAATAAAAATAATAGCATATATTTGATTAAAAGCTCTCATATGTTGCATCAGGTTTTCTTTTTTTCTTTCTTTCTTTTTTTTTTTTTTAGACAAAGTTTTTCTCTGTCACCCAAGCTGTGCAGTGCAGTGGTGTGATCATGGCTCACTGCAGTCTCGACCTCCTCAGCTCAAATGATCCTTCCTCTTCAGCCTTCTGAGTAGATGGGACTACAGATAAGTGCCACCACCCTAGGGTAATTTTTTTTTTTTTTTTTTTTGTAGAGACAGGGCTCAAACTCCTGGACTCAGCAATCCTCTTGACTCAGTCTCCCAAAGTGCTGCAAGTACAGGCATGAGCTACCTTACTCAGCCCATTGCATGAAGTTTTAAAAACCATGAGTGAAAATAGCTGCAGAAAATCATACATATTTTCAATTTAATATAAATATGAAATCATCCTGGAAATGTCATGCCTAGTTTTCTAATTAAAGCATATTTTATGACTTTTAATTATTTAATGCCTTTTGTAGGGTAAAAGCCCCTGATAGCAATAACTTAAACATATATTTAGAATGACCCCAGATTGATGATGCACCTGAATGTGTGTCCTGAGCTAGGGAATCCAGGAGTGGCCAATCCGGAGATTCATTCCTTGTCTATGAGAAACATCTGAGCCCCCAACCTGTCCAATGGAACATGGGCTGTACAGGGGATTGATGCCCTGAATTTTGGGTTAAATGGAGGCTGCCAGGTGGAGATCGTTAAGGGGAGGGTGTTAAATGCTATGTAAGTTTCAAGCAGTTGTGGTTTTCCTTACCAGCTTGCTGCCACTGGACTGTGCATAAGGCAGATAAGCAGTCCAGCCTGCGACCACTGGACTCTTCCCTGTGTGTTATCCCCTAATCAAACCCCGTATCTCACTTGCTGGCTCTGGGTCTCTTCTTCCGCCTCTTGAACCTGGATCCTTCCCTACTGAGGTTAAGAGGTGTCCAGCACAACACCTATTTGATGCCATATGAAATGTTGATCTAGTTAATAAAAATGATCATTATCAACAAATAAAGATAGAATCTTCTGTTCATTACTAACTGGTATTAAACTAGCCTTTCCAAAATAAGCATTAACAAATAAAATTACAAAAATATATAAAACAACAAGTTTTGGACATTGGAAGTGAATAAATACAGAACTGTGATCCTTGAGATAGTGAGTTAAAAATTAATTCTACAATTACCCCTGGAGACATCTTCCAAATCACAGCACAAGAAGGGGAAACAAGGCAAAGTATGAACAGTCTTGTTAAACTGAAAAGACAAAGATTGGAGAGCAGAGTCTCAGGTGGCTTGAATTTGTGGGGCAGTGTACTAGCAAAAAGAGAGTTATTGAAAAAGAGCTCTGGTAAACTATGTAAGTGGAGGCAGGGTAATAGGTACAAACCATGCTGTAATACTGATAAAAAGGGATGAAAGGAAAGGGAACAAAAATCCAATGACCTGTGGAATGGTGTTAAGAAGTCAAACATATACGTAATTGCAATATCAGAAGAATGCTGTTAGGCAGAAATATATTTAAAGAACTAAAAGCAAACAATTTGTTGAATGTTATTAAAAAAAATCTATAAATCCAAGCTCAACACAATGAAACCATACCAAGACACATCATCGTCAAATTGCAGCTAACCAAAGGAAAAATAATCTTAAATGTAGGCATAGAAATAAGACGGATTACAATAAGGTAAGGTAAACAAAATAAAAGTAACTGCTGACTCCTCACTGACTTCTCATCGTAAATAAAGTGAGATGGAAGATAATGAAAAACATCTTTAAAGTGCTCCATGAAGAAAGGAAAACCTAGCAACCTAGGCAGGATTATACTTTTATAAAAGATGAAAACAAGGTAAGAAATTTTAAGAGAAACAGTTTCTTCACCAGCAAACCTGCACTTATATGAAAATGTAAAGGATAGTGTCTTTAGGCTGAAGGAAAATTATATATGATGGAAGAAACTTGAAACTTTATAAATGGCTAAAGAACAACAGAAATGATACATCTGTAGATATGTATGCAATATTTTATTGCATTTTAATGTGTTTATAAATAGTATTTCTGGAATAAATATAGAAAGTAATAAGAAACCATCACTGTCACCCTAAACAAACAAAATAAGCTGGATAAGCTATAAATCATATTTTTAAAAATAGTAACATTATAATCTTTGGAATACAAAGAAACTTAAAGAATCTAACTTCCAGAGGTGGCAGTCCTTGATAAAAGGGGGGAAATGGCGGGGGGTGGTGACTCAAGCCTGTAATCCCAGCACTTTGGGAAGCCAGGGTCGGGGGGACAGATTACGTGGTCAGGAGTTCGAGACCATCCTGGCCAATACGGTGAAACCCCGTCTCTACTAAAAATACAAAAATTAGCCGGCTGTGGTGGCGTGCAACTGTAGTCCCAGTTACTGGGGAGGCTGAGGCAGGAGAATGGCGTAAACCCGGGAGGTGGAGATTGCAGTAAGCAGAGATCGCGCCATTACACTCCAGCCTGGGTGACAGAACGAGAATCCATCTCAAAAAAAAAAAAAAAAAAAAGAGGAAATACATAGCTGTTGCTCTACTTCCCCCACCAACAAAAAAGAAACTAGGACATCGTATCTATCTGACATAACTTGGGATAAAACGAATCCTGCCTATATTTTACCAAACTTCTAAGAATGCATTTGTGGTTCAACATAACAAAATAGAATCCACAAGAGCCCCAATAGCAGCAGTGAGAAAATATTAACACCTATGTCATTCTCATACCTTCATTGAGTAACAGGAATATTATCTTAAAAATATGGGAATAGAAAGAGGGTAGAGATCACTTCTCTCAGATACACCTTATTTTCAGACGAGAAAAAAATTGAGGAAGGAAAGGAAAATTGAAAGAAATACTTCAGGCAACCTTGCTTTTCAGCTTGGAAAGAATGGGAAAGATGCAGAGGAACTAGAAGAAAAATACAGTCCCTCAGGGATTTCAGTTATCAGGACTGACAGAGGGGAGGGAGAGCTCAGTCCCCTTCATTTCCATACAGATACCTGTGATTTTAACCACAAAATGCGTAGGGTGACATTTGGCAGCTGAAAAATCCTTCCTAGAGCTTCCTAGAGGATATTTCCACCTTCGTAGACTGTGGGGTAGGTGCAGCCAAAAGAAAAAAAAATGCTAGGGGTGAGATTTGAGATCAATAAATTCTCCTAGGCCACCAACAAATCTGGCCCCAGAGCTGTAAAGCAGGGTGGTGAGACCTCCAGAAATTTGGAAATCAAAAGATTCATCTGTAAAATAGAAATAGAGCTCCAAAACCACCACAGGGCACAGATCTCAGGTCTTACTAAATAGGAAATTCCCAAACATGTAAGAATTCACATAAAAACTTGAAGAAGCAAGAAAAAGTGATGAACATTAAAAAGGAAGTGATTAATAGAAGCAGATCCAGAGACACCCCAGATATTACAATTACCACAGGGAGCATAAAATTACTATAATAAAAATTCTAACGTATCTGCAGGAAAAGATGGACATCATGCATGATTTGATGGGTAATTTTAGCAGAGATGTGAAAAACAATTTTTAAATGTATATGATCTAAAATATAACAATATCTTTGTAACAGAAGATTGGGCACAGCAGAAGAAAGTATAAATGTAATTGAAGACAAATCAATAGAAAAAAACTAAATTCAGATTTTAAAAGCCTGAAAGAACAGAACAAAAAGTATTAGATCTGAGGGAAAAGTATTTGAATGATTAATATTATCATAATTTTAATCCCTCTCAGAAAGAAAGGGAGAATGGGGCAGAATAAATAGTAGAAGTAAAAATATCTGAAAAGATTCCAGAGTTGATGATATTGATAATATAAAAAGACCAATGCAGCAGATAAACACCTAGACACAAAAGAACAAATGGCTGAAAACTAAATATAAAGATAAAGATTTATTAAAAGAGGCAGAGAAAAAGATATTGCATATATGGAGAATAACTATAATTTACAACTGAATTCTCATCATAATTAAGGTCAAAAGAAAATGAAATAATATATTTAAAATTTATAAAGAAAAGAAAAAATCCTATACTCTAGAATTTTATATCTAATAAAAGTATTCTTCAAAATGCATAAAAAGGTATTCACAGCTAGGCAAAATCTAAGAAAAATTTATCTCAGATATTCTGTGCAAGATATAACAACAGCAGTTCACCAGTATAGAAGGAAAAGAGAAATAATGAACCCACTGGGAAAATAGAAAATCACTGCCAAGGTAGTAGACTTAATCCTAAACTACAGCAAAAACTTCAAACACGAATGGGATGTAAGAGTTAAAGGCAAAGGTTTTTATCCTGCCTAAAATAACCAGGCCATCCATGAAGCATTTAGAAAAATACACGTTGAAAATAAAGATATGAACAACTAAAAGTAAAAGGCTGAAAAAGATATGTCATTAAAACACTGAACATAAAAAGTTGATGTGGCTATAAATTAGAAAAAGGCAAACAGTATATGAGAGATAAATATGGGCATTTTATAGAGAAAAAGGATCAATTCATCAAGAAACCACGAAAACACTGAATGCACATGGACTCAGCAGAAGATCTTCAAAACACATGAAATGACACGATAGGAAAAAGGGAATTTTTTTTAAATCCACAGTTACAATTGGAGATACGAACTCTTCTCTTTCACTATTAATTGATATAATAAGCTGACAAAAAAGAGAGAGCAGTAGCTATAAAAGATTTACACAGCACTATCAACCAACCTGACCTAATTTATAATTATAAAATGCAACTTCAATAAATAGAGAATACACATTCTTTCCAGATTCTCATGGAACTTTAGCAAGACTATTAAATTGAAATGAAATTAAAATTAAAGTAATTAATTAAATGAAATTAATTTAATTGAAATTAAAGTATAACAATTTATGGTATAAAAAATAGTGTATTTGAATTGTTATGGTGATTCAGACTAAATATATTATTAGAAAGAAAACATGGTTTAAAATCAGTTATCTAAGCTTGATACCTAAGAAGCTAGAAAATAAATACAAAAGAGAGTAAATAGAAGAAATGAGACTATTAAAATGAGCAGAAATTTATAAAATAGAAATCAGATCAAAAAATAGAAATAATACATAAAGTCAAAAGCTGTTTTTTAGAAAAGATTGAGGGCCGGGCGCGGTGGCTCACACCTGTAATCCCAGCACTTTGGGAGGCCAAGGCGGGCAGATCACGAGGTCAGGAGATCGAGACCATCCTGGCTAATACGGTGAAACCCCATCTCTACTAAAAATACAAAAAATTATCCCGGCGTGATGGTGGGTGCCTGTAGTCCCAGCTACTGGGGATGCTGAGGCAGGAGACTGACGCGAACCCAGGAGGCAGAGCTTGCAGTGAGCCGACATTAGATCTTGCCACTGCACTCCAGCCTGGGCAACAGAGTGAGACTCTGTTAAAAAAAAAAAAAAAAAAAAAAAAAAGGAAAAATTGATCCCTGCAAGATAATTAAGAAAAAATGAGAGAAACCAAAAATTGCCAATGAGAAGAATAAAAAAATACAAAATCCCCTGTCATGCCAATACATATACACAATAACTTAGATGAAATGGACAAATTCATTGAAAAATGCAAATTACCAAACTACTAATAGAAGAAAATGTATAGACAAGAAGATACATAGAAAATATAAACAATATCACATTTGTTAAGGAAACTGAATTCAAAATCAAAATCCTCTCATAAAAGTAATTCCAGATCAAGGTGGAGATCTATATGTCCACATATCTATCATAATATAAATATATAGCATATCAGTTATGTATACAATTTAAACATGTAATATATAATTTTATATATAACAATATAAATACACATATATAGAAAGAGAGAAAAATAGAAAGAAGGAAGACAAGGAGAAGATGAGGAAAGAAAATGTGGTATTTGTGAGTATTTGGGAATCCGGGTAAAGGGTATACGGAAATTCTTCATGCTATTCTTGCCACTTTTTAGTAATTGTGAGTAGGTGATTAATTTTTTTTAAAAAAGGAAATAGTGATTTTTCATTATGTTTCTAAATATTTGCTCCAAAGGAAGAATAATATATAAAAGGGCACTTTATCTGTAGTTAATCAAAACTTAATCATATTTTAGGAACATAAATCTTCTTAACTTTGTCATATATGTTCAAAGAGGTGACCCTATTGCAACTTAAATTATATTTCCTATTTCATAGCTTGATTTACTTTTTATCATCAGGCAACATATATACAGATACGGTAATTTAGAAAGTAAGAGTAAGTGTACAATAAAATCTGGACTACTCCCTAAAGTCTATTTTCTGTGTGAGACCTCTAAGTAATGAAAAAAAAATCATATAAATTGTGATTAATGATTTTTCCCAAGTTATTTGGACAAGATGAAGATTTCAAAGTTTATTTAAAAATACGAGGTAAGATCTCATGTAAAGAAGCATAGTTTTCATTTCCTACAAGTTCACAAACTGATCCTTGACATATTTATTATATTAACACATAACCACTTTTAAAAAATCAATGTAAATGGAAAGTCAGAATGGCTTTCATGCTTTTCTGGAATTAATAATTTAAAAATTCATAAATATAAAACATACTATCTATGTTTTTAATCTAGTTAAGTAAAGCCATTTCAAGCACGATCTGTCTATTTCTCCAAATAGTTAAATGTAAGCAACACAGACAGGTTTTTGTTAAATATTTGAGTGGAACTGTAACTCGGCAAATAGTGATGCATTTAGATAATATTTACGTATCTCTTTATTATATGTTATTTGAAGCAAATTCTGTTCAAAGAAGAGTCTATTACACACAAACTGAAAAATGATTTTCCATTACTACATCCATCTTTCTGTCACGGCTATTACATAACATATGCTCAAGAGTATCAGTACTTATTTGGGAACCAGGATGGAATATAAAAGCAAATTTAGATTTTTACAACCAACTGAGACTAAAGCCTATTCTCTGCAGAAACCAATATGGTAGCAATTTATATGTTGAGTTAAAGGAAAGCTATTGGGCTCCTCCATAGCTACTTTGCCATCATTCAGTAGAATGCTATTAATTCAATTACTGCCCCTTTGTCTCAACTAATGTCTGGGGACAAATGTTAATGTCTGTTGATATTGATGAGTTTTTGCAGGATGTGTTAAACGGCTACAGTATTGTGAAGGATATTTTATAATATAGCTTAGAAACTGAAATGCCTTTAATAGTTTTATTTCAAATATTTTAGGTTTTCTGTCTAACTTTTTTTCTAGAGAGACTATAAATGCTAACATTTTAACTGCATTCTCCGTTAAAATACATACTAATAATATTATTATTGAGCCTCTAAAATTCAGGCCTCAAAATATGATATATATATAACCTGGAACAATTACATTTTGGGATTTGATTATAACAGTCACTAGTAATATGGCTAAGTACATTGAATGTAATAAATTCTTAAAATTCACCCATGCATCAATTTATTTATCCTTTCATTAATATTTTCGGGAAGATGTGTTTAGCAACTGCAACATACACAAAGTGCATTGCAGGAATCTACCAAACTTAGAGAGTTAGGATCTGTGTAAAACGGGTATATAAACAAAATAGATGGCCAACTATGAAAATGTTGACTTATTATACTTTGATATTTAAATTTGCATAGTCCTAATGGGTTTCTGAGTTCTTAATATAGTATCCTGTAATTTTTGTTCTCAACATGTGCGTGTGTATATATATACACACACACATGTATTTTTACCATGAAATAAATTTACATAAACATTATTTACATAAATTAGCTACAGATAAGACACCAATTACTTACACAAAACAAATAATTTTAAAAATAATAATTATCATTTATTGAAGATAGGTAAACACAAAATAAGTAGTAATTTCTTTATTTTATAGATGAGGAAACAAAATTTGTCATGATCATGCCTTCTCTAACTTGTGCCTTCTCTAACTTGTAGATATGCAATATTCCAGATACTCATTGCTTTCTAAAACTGAGGTGAAGCCTGCATAAAAAGATGTTTTATGTCATTTTGAAAATTTATTAGCAGGGCATAGTATTCTGCACCCGTAATCCCAGGTACTCAGGCGCCTGCAGCTGCTGAGCTTGTGCAACTATATTGCACAACTGCATATAGTTAATTTATTCTCATTGTATATGATAAAACTGAATTTAGGAAATGTAAGCGATATTCTCACAGTCGTATAGAAAGTAAACAAAAGGCAGTTTTAAGAGAGAGAGAGACATCTATTTCCCAAAGCCATGTTCTTCCTAGTATGTTAGATTGCTAGTGGTAAATATTATTTATATTGTGTTTTTCTGATTATGTAGCACTTTCATATAAAGGATTTTTAATTCTCACATTGTAAACAATGATACTTTACATTCATCATGTCATTTACTCGTTTATTTTCTTTGTCTCTCTTTACAATTAAATTACATTTTAAAGGTGCTAGCAGATTATTGTGGCTGTTAACCAAAAAGTGATTTCAACAAGTGTCTCAATTGATAGAGGTTTATTTAGCCAAAGTTTGAGGATGCTGCGGGTAAAAACACAAGGCATAGGAGCATCTGTATTGTACACTTTTCCCAAGAGGGTTTTGGAAACTTCAGTATTTAAAGGAGAAAGAGCAAGCAGGAAGGATGAAAGAGAGGGCAGGTAGGTAGTAAGGCAAATGGTCACATTCTTGTGAGACTCTGATTAGTGCTCAGTAAACCTATATTTTACAGGTGAAAGGGAGTAAAAGAAAAAGACAACTGGCTGGGCACAGTGGCTCACGCCTGTAATCCCAACACTTTGGGAGGCCAAGGCGGGTGGATCACGAGGTCAGGAGATTGAGACCATCCTGGCTAACACGGAGAAACCCCATCTCTACTAAAAATACAAGAAAAAGAAAAAAAAAAAAAAAAGCCAGGCATGGTGGTGGGCACCTGTAGTCCCAGCTACTCGGGAGGCTGAGGCAGGAGAAGGGCGTGAACCCGGGAGGCGGAGCTTGCAGTGAGCTGAGATGGCACCACTGCACTCCAGCCTGGGCGACAGAGCGACACTCCGTCTCAAAAAAAAAAAAAAAAAAAAAGAAAGAAAAAGACAATTACGCATTCCTCTGGTGCTCAGTGTATCTACATTTTACATAAAATATAGGAAACATGAACAAATAGAATAGAGAACAATTATATTACGCATTCTTCTCTGGGTAGGTGGAGAAATGATTTCTGGTCTGCTCTTGTCCTGCACCTGTGAAGATAAGCTAGTAATTGACATAGTCGGGGTGAGATTAAACAGAACTTGGATTTAGTGCTAGGTTACAGAGGGGGATATCTCCCTTACATGTATACATATGTATCTTTCAGGTTATATATGTATCCTGAAAGATTTAGGAGCTTACAGGGAATTTCCTCATGAGCAATTTGTGAGGGAGGCCAGCTGGTTAAATACGTGGCCTATAGTGGGAACCTGATTTATGTAAGAAGTCAGGACACAGTGTTGTGAAATAACAACTCTCTTTTGGGGAACAGAAGGAAGACAGTATTACATGACTCAGTTTCCAACCTTAACTTTCCCTTTGGCATTGTGAGTTTGGGATCCTAAAGACTCTATTTTCTTTCACACAGTAAAGACATCAGAACAACTTGGAAGGCAACCAAAATGACACACTTAACTATAGTCATTCATTTTTCTTTGGTAAGTGAAAACATGACTGAAGTCACCCAAATATTTTAATGCAGAATGCTAAGTTTTCTTTTAAGTGTATAAATTCCACCTCATACAAGAGAGAGTGATTTCTGTATGTAAAGAAATCTCAGTATTCTTTAATTGGTATAGCTTGAGTTGTCACCTATCTTGCCTACTCAGAAATCTCCCTACAGAGACTCTATGTGATATTGGGAACCCATGGATCCTACCAGTAAATACTACTAGGAACTGTGAAGGTAAATGTGTTCTTTCTTGCAGAAAATTGTTTGGGGAGAAAAAGCAGCCTAGAAAAGGCTAGTGCTAAGAGGCTGTGAAGATTCCCTACAGTGCTGGAACAGCAGGAGTTTGGAGTTGAGTCAGCTGGCGCAGGTGGCAATGGTTCCCTAAAATGAATTTTTGTTGTTCATGAGCATTTCCTATGCATGTGCAGAAGTAAGTGGGAAATATCTGGGAAAGGGGAGTGATGTGGGTAGAAAAGAGGGAGATAATTCATATATAAAACTTCAATTAATTAAAACAGTAGTACCTCCAGGAGATAAGTACAATTAATCTGGGGAGTAGATGGCTATTTGTTGATATTGTTTGACTTTCTCCCCACCCAAATCTCATCTCAATTTGTAGTTCCTACAATCCCTATGTGTCATGGGAGGGACCCAGTTGGTGGGGGGGTAACTGAATCATAGGGGTGGTTACCCTCATGCTATTCTTGTGACAGTGAGTGAGTTCTCATGAGATCTGCTGATTTTATAAGGGGCTTTTTCTCCTTTTGCTCAGCACTTCTTGCTGCCACCATGTGAAGAAGGACATGTTTGCTTCTCTTTTCACAATGATTGTAAGTTCCCTGAGGCCTTTCCAGCCCCGCTAAACTGTGAGTCAATTAAACCTCTTTTCTTTATAAATTACCCAATCTTGGGTATGTCTTTATTAGGAGTGTGAGAATTGACTAATATATTCATTTAGATAAATAATTTGATTATCCACTTTGTTTGTGAAAGGTACATTCCCCAGGGCATTGCTTTTGTAGGTACAATAAAACAAGGATAGCCAAATTCCTCTACTTGATAAATTAAAGTGCATTATGAGGAAGAGGAGAAAGGACCCAAGAAAGTATAGCAAAGAACAATATTCTATATAAAATGTGGGTAGGCATGTGGCTTCAGATAAATAAGCAGAGTTGTTACCTTTCAGTTACAGAGTATATTGTTGCTGTGATATTGCCCTGTTGCTCCCTATCAATGTCAAACCTGAAGATGTTTGCCTCAACATATCTGTGCCTTTTGGAAAGCATCAGAGTAAAAAGATCTTGAGTTCTACATCATTGATTAATGAGGAATCTGAATCTCAGTGAAGGCCAGAAAACATTATTAGGTATCTAAGATTCCAACCTGAATTTAATGCCCCAGTTCTCTTTCTACTGCATCTCATTGCAGGATAATTAGGCTTCAATGGTCACAGGAATTAGGAAAGACTCACACATTGAACATTGCCACAAATGTGAAATGCAATGAAATCATCATGCTGCTACCTCAGCACAGTAGATGACCCCTGTTTCTTCCAATATAGCAGCCTCTTTCCTGGAATTCACGTTGATTTATGACAACTTGAAAGGACATAAAAAAGGTTATAATACAAATTTGAATGCTATTAACTGGTGTTTCAAATCTAATAAATGATTTATTACTTTATCCAGTTTTTCCTTGAAATTCTGAAAGGTGAATCTCTGAGCCACAGAGATATCAAACTATCCACTGTATTTCAGTTTCCCTAGGGTATTTAACATTTCTTGTAACTGTAGTCCCTGTGGTTATATTGGCTCTGTTGTGCTGTTGCCATAGCAATTAAAGAAACACAGTAGTAAAGCAATGCAGAAAGAATGATCATCAGTATGGAGATGCTCTATGACAGAATTCAGGCATCTAGAAATATGGAAAATTCTTCAGGAAATAATTTCTCTTCATATTATTGTGGGCATTGAGGTAGCCTAGTTATCTCTATCAGAAAATCAAATTGAATAGCTGAGTCTCTGTGAACATGAAAAATGGGAGAAGAAAGGCATACCCACATACAGAAGGACAAAAAATGAATTTACTGAGGGTATAAATACCAAGAATGTGTGTGGGTGGAAAGTTCCGGCAGTACTCCTACAGAAATATTTTGACAAACTAACACCATATGGAAGATTTTATATCACTGAACGCAATGTCTCTCTCCTTCTCTCTCTCTCTCTCTCTCTCTCTCTCTGTCTCTCTCTCTCTTTCTCCTCTCTCTTTCTCTCTCTTCTGTCTTAGGAAAACGGAGCATTAAGAATATTTAGTACATTTTATTGTATTTTGGGAAGTGCACTCTGCTCTTCTACCCCTAAAGAAAAATTTAAAAAAGCTCTGCATTAATTGTGTTTCTGTGATTTGAGTTTGTGTTTCCTTCAAATCCTGCACTATGCCTGAAAATAGGATCAAGATGCAGTTTTATTCACTCATTGTAAATACAAACTGTTTAACAAAATTCTTGGCCCAGGACAGATTCTCCATAAGCAGCAGCTGCAGCAGCCGTCATTACTGCAACAGTGTAGTAAGCAAGAACAATAACAAAGTGGAAACAGCCTATTACCAATTTTAGGGTGAACAATGCTACATCAACTCAGTGAATTTTAAATCAAGCCATTGAAATGTTTATGACTCATAAAGAAGTGGAATTTAGACAAAAGTTTAGTGAAAAAACAGAATAAACTATCATATATACTTTTGTGTATGCAAATCTATACGCATATCTGTGTGCACACATATGTGCCCATGTTATGTGTTTATGAGAAAGTACTAGTTGCGTTTCTAATATCCACTTGTCCCTTCTTTAGAAGAAGAACCTAATTTTTACCCATTGCATTGCCCAGAATGTTTGTTTTGTAAATTGTGCCTTCCAATGATATTAAGCGAAAATGTTGAGAACTTCACAGCAGGCTGCTTACACGGAGATAACTGAGATGGGATCTACCACTTATCCTGTGCTGTTTGCCTTCTTTCAAATTACAGTTCGAATATAATGTGTGGAACCCTAGCACCAAACTGGGACATTAAGGTAATCTTGAAGATGAGAGTCATGAGCAAGGATGATAAGGACTCATTCCTAATTGCCTTGAATTTACTCTTCCAGCCCTGGATTGCTCTCTAACATGTTTAAACTACTACTATTTTGAAAAGTCTGTTATTTATAGCCAAACTAATTTCAATTGGTTACAGTGTGATTTTAAATCATTAAAGCATCAAATATGAATATGCTAAAATGATTAGAAAAAAACATAGCATGCATTCAAGTCTATATGTCTATAGATACTTTAGATACTTTTTGTGTGTAGCTCTTTTCTGTAAATTTTTCAAAAAGTTAAAAGTAACTTGGGTTCTTTCAATAGTAAATCATCCACATTAGTGATTAGTCATAGCCATAAAAGTTATCTACTAATTGAGAAGTTTTTGACAGGTATAGCTGTAAGCTGTAACAAAAATTACTAAAAACAAATATTATATGATGATTAAAGTGAATAAACACATTTAGCCTACATCTGTCATCTATCAGCAGGTAGGCACTGTTCATTCAGTCTCTGAAGCATTTCTTGATAGTAACTTAGATAGGAGAGATTATTATTTCAAACCAGCTAAAGAAATTCTTATTTTAAAAAAGCCATTGAGCCCACATTCCCTAACTATAAGAATGTAAAATAATAATTAAAAAAAGCTTACCAACATGGTTATTGGTTAAATATGTGGAGTAAGTACAAGTGTTGGCTAATGTCCTCAACTTTAGCTTGGGTAAAAGAGCAGGTAGAGTAATATTAATTAGAATTAGTAAAAAAAGTTGGACTGTGATAAGAGATAATAAATTAATTAGGGTAATCTATTTTTGAAGGTAACTTTCTGGTTTAAATCAGGGTGGGAGAGATGTTGAAATAAACAGGATACTGTGAGTAGAAAACCTTGGAGGATATAATGGATAGATACGGCTGCTTTGCAAACAATAAGTATGTGCTATTTGAAATTTCTTGACAGCATCCTATTGTATAAATTTGGGATTTTTTTTTTTTTAACAGATTTTTGCTCTTGTTGCCTAGGATGGAGTGCAATGGTGAAATCTCAGCTCACTACAACCTCCGCCTCCCGGGTTCAAGAAATTATCCTGACTCAGACTCCCAAATAGCTGGGATTACAGGTGCCCACCACCATGCCCAACTAATTTTTGAATTTTTTAGTAGAGATGGGGTTTCGCCATGTTGACCAGTCTGGTCTTGAACTCCTGACCTCAGGTAATCTACCTGCCTTGGCCTCCCAAGTTGCTGGGCTTATAGGCATGAGCCACTGTGCCTGGCCTAAATCTGGGAGTATGTTTTTACTGTTATTTGTTATTACACAAAATAATAATTACTTTTGATTTGATGATTATTTTTAATTTTTCAATTGGCAAAGCTATTGATGCAAGCATTTTTTTTAATGAGATAAATCTAGTATCTACTTTTGTCCCTAGGATTTTAAAAATAGAATTGGATGATTTTTAAATAAGACCCCATTTCTCATTTTTTTCTAGTTTTTAAAAGCACTTATTTCTAGCTGAGAATATCAAGGCCTAAATATTTATCAGATATGATTGGAATTTTTCAAACCTTAAAAACTGACATATGCAACCTAATATGTACTGATAATCTAGTATTTAGATGAATTATAATATACCTGGTCGGTTGTAATATAAGACAGTCATAAAAAATTTTTGAGAGTTAAAAATAATAATAAAACATGTGCTACAATGTATGTTGGCATAATTCTAAAATGTCCCTGTTATTGCTACTCCCTGGTGTATACACTTTTGTGTAATCTTATTCCATTGAGTGTAGTTAAAAGCTAAAACTTCTAATCAATATTAAATGTCAGTAAAAAAAGGCAGTTTGTATTGTATGTACAACTCCCAATTATTTGACTTTGAGTTAATAAAAAGAGAGTTATTGATATGGTTTGGCTCTGTGCACCCACTCAAATATTACCTTGAATTGTAATAATTGCCATGTGTTGTGGGATAGACCCATTGGGGGTGGATTTTCCCAGTGCTGTTTTCATGATAGTGAATAAGTCTCAAGAAACCTGATGGTTTTATAAAGGGGAGTTCCCCTGCACATGCTTTCTTGCCTGCTGCCATGTAAGACATGACTTTGCTCCTCATTTACTTTCTGCCGTGATTATGAGGCCTCCCTAGCCGTGTGGAACTGTGAGTCAATTAAACCTCTTTCCTTTTAAATTACCCAATCTGGAGTATATCTTTATTAGCAGCAGGAAAACAGATTAATACAGTTATTTTGAGGGATGTCATATTGGGCAAATCGTTTGAAGGAAGGTATTTTTCCTGAAGTTAGAGACTCCAAACAGCAGCTTCCCTCTCTTAATTGCTGGCTTTGAAAAATCAAACTGTCATAATTCTACAGCAGTGAGAAAATGAATTTTACCAACAACCTGAAGGAGCTTGGAAGTGAGTTCTTCCCTAGTTAAGCCTCCAAATGAAAACTCAACCAGGCCAATACATTTATCATAGCCTTGAACAGAAGACCCAGCTAAGATGTGTTTAGATTCCTACTCCATGACAACTGGAGATAATACATGTGTACTGTTTTAAGCCCTCAGTCTTTATTCATTTCACAGCCATAGTAAACTAATAAAAAATATTTAGATTAAAAATTGAGCTAAAAGTAAAATGTGCACCATGGTCACAATTATTGATATGGTTTGGCTGTGTCCCCACCCAAATCTCATGTTGAATTGTAGCTCCCACAATTCCCATGTGTCATGCGAGGGACCCAGTGTGAGATAACTGAATCATGGGGATGGGTCTTTCTCTTGCTGTTCTCATGATAGTGAACACGTCTCACAAGATCTGATGGTTTTATAAGGGGGAGTTTCCCTGCACAAGCTCTCTCTTGTCTGCCACCATGTAAGATGTGCCTTTAGCCTTCCAACATGATTGTGAGGCCTCCCCAGCCATGTGGGACAGTGAGTCCATTAAACCTCTTTTTCTTTATAAATTATCCAGTCTTGGGTACATCTTTATCAGCAGCATGAAAACAGACTAATACAACTATGTAAAAAACTAAAACTAAAATAGTACTCGATATAATTTTTATTTCAACAACGCCAGGCTAGATAATTTGGATACCTCTTTAAGCTGAATGAAATACTAATAAAAACCTTTTTTTAAAAAAAAAAAAGCTGCATAAAGTTAACACAATGAGGAATAGCAGACTGACATTTAGGAAACGTAAGATGCCATAGAGGTAAACTTACTTCTTAAAGACAATTTTGTTCTGAGAGCTTTTTCTGATGATGAAAATAGGGACTTCCTAACAGACCTGTGGTGTTGTACAGGTGCTCAGGAGACATGCAAAAAGTGTTTTCCTTTCAGCAGTGTCATTTGTGATAATGTCAAACTGGAAACAACCAAGTTGCCCACTCAGAGTAGAACAGAAATATAAATTGGAGAGAACAAGAAAATACTACAAAGCAATGGAAATGAATAACTACCACTCCAGCAGTAACATGTTGCTTGTAAGCATAATGTTGACAAAATAAAGACACAAATGAGTGAATACTCTGGATTTTATTTATATATAAATTTCAAAACCAAGGACATATTTAAATGGTGATGGAATCATAACTAAATGCAAATTAAGTGATTAGCGTAAACGTGTGCACTATGTTTATTTGCCAGTGATTGGAGGGAATGTAGTTTCCATGGGACATATAGGATTTGAAGGTACTGGCATGTTCAATTTCTACACCGAAAAGCAGGCTGCATGGCAGTCATTTTATAATTACTCATTGTACTACACATGTATGTTTTATGCACTTTTCGGTATGAATAATGCATTTCACAAAAATGTTTTAAATGGCTTAAAATATTGAAAAGTATTCAATGTGTCCTAAGACTAGTAATGGCCTCTATTCAAATGCTTCTCATTTTGGCAAATTAGATACTGCTAACGCAGTGGAAGGAGTCAGGGAGCAAAGAGATGTCTTCTAAAGACATTTCATGGCCTACATTCCATTCATACCATGCATCAGTAGGTGGTGGATAGTTGGAGAACAGGGACTCATATTTATGTGCCCTCTGGAGAGGCCAATTTTTAAGCACTTATTCAGGATTTTTTAGATAAGTAAATGACTACCAACACTATTATCACTAATAAAATTAGAACTAGAAATAGTCTGGCTACCACCGTGCATTCAATTGGTTTCTTTGTGTTGGTGCTAAGCTTGAAGGAGCATGATAATTAAAATACTACTCAATACGGTAACTTTTTGTCCTAAAGTTCTAGTTCCTTTACATATTCCATTGTTCATTCTTTCCACTAGCCAAATATTTAGAACCTTGTCATCTGCTATTCAATAGGTAGTCAAAATCTAAATAAAATACAAAAAAAGTAAAGAAAAGTTAATTTTTATGAGCTTTTGAAGGGCTATGTCTTGGAGAAAACTTTTTTACTGTATTGCATCCCAACTAGTTTGCTGCTGCTTTTTGTTTGATTTTCTCTGTCACAGAGGAATGTGATTAAAAAATTGTGGCCTGGAGAAAAAAGTACAAAAACAAAAACATACATATGGATAGCAACTCCATGGTGAATATAAGTGAAATATATTTATAAATATAAAGTGAAAACATTAATGCTTTCTAGGAGTCAGGAGATCTGTCCTACACTTTCTATCTGATTTCCTGGAAGATCTCTCCCCTACAAAAGTTCTTTTTGCAATTATGGCAAACAGAGACAAAGAAGAAATGAAAAAAATATTCCCAGTTAGCATAAGACAAAGAGGGAGGATATGAGGGAAGCCAGCAAGGAAGTGAGAAAAGGTGAGCAAGGAAGTGAAAAAAGGTGAGAAGTGACAAAAAATAAAAAGTCTGAATGAGGAGATTTTTTCAGCCAATTCTTCACTGAACAAAATGGCAGAGATCTGATGGAGATAAAATACATAAGGAGAATGTAATATGGAGATCTGCTGTGAACTGAGAATCAGCTGGGATGATGTACACATGAAGCATCAACACCAGTGTAAATTCACATTTAATACATGCCACCCATCCTAACCAAAACAAAACTTAATTGGCAGTCTGGAAAAATGAGTGGAAAGAATTAAAAATCAGGTGGAAGTAAGTTGAAATATAGAGATTTGCTTTATGTAAAACATAAATCTCTTTTCATAAGCCAGAGATTTGGATTAAAACCAGGGCATTAGGATTTTCACCATGTGCACCCATGCACACACATAACCCTCCACACACACACACAGATGTGTGCATATGTATAATACACCAACTAACATTTAACATGACACTCTTATGTAGGTATTATAATACCTTTAAAATATAGGTTCCAAGAGTCTAAGTAAATCATCAAGAGTCAAAGAACTATTAAAAATCACAGCTTCCATTCCAAATATACATATTTAAATCTAAAGTCTATATTCCTATCCAGTATGTTTTATCACCTTCATTGAAAATATTCTCATACCATACTTGTACTGCCTTATGGATTTAAGGAGGCTGGTCTTAAAGTAATGTATATAATTAAAGGTTATGTCAATAACCTTTTCAGTGTAGTTTTGGAAGACAGTTCTTCGTGATTTGTAGACTGTGTATCTCACTATGTAAGATAAATTACATTGACAACTACATAAATAAGAGCATGTGGTCCATATAATAATATGATCCAATATTATGTAGCTAATAATATAATCTAGGTCATATTCTGGATTCACTAATCAAAATTACTTGTGGGAGACAACACTGATATGTGTCTATGTTATTGTTTAGAGATTAAGTCATATGTGTGTTAAAATCAGGTATATTTGATTTGTCTCTTAAATGCAACTTGTTAATTATGTGATGATTTTAAATTCTGTGATTTTTCTCTATAAAGGAGCTTGCCTGTTTGGCTGTTCTACATAAGTGATATAAAGATAAAAACCAAACAAAAACATAGAAGGCTTTTCTCCTTTCTTATATAATAATATAAAATGGCACGGGGTTATCAGGGTGAGTTGAAGGAAAGGCAACTAAGCAATAAGACCAGGTTCGAGGGAGTTTACATAGTTTATTTGCACATTTTGGAGATCCTTGGCCTCCTTGGTTCGGATATACCATAACTCGGGGTGAAACTTCTTCTCTGCCAGTGATTTTATCTCATGCTAAGAGACCCAAGAGTAGAGGATTTAATAGTGGCAGTGTATCTGCAGCTCTTTTAATGGTAACCTAGACTTGCTCCTCAGCTGTAACTGCCCTGAGCCTACAGAAGATGAGAAAATTCTTTAAAGGTGTTTTCTCTCTGATCTCTTTTTTAGTGTAAGAAACCCTGTTAACACAATCTATAATTGTCAGAATTCCCAGGAAGAAAGAAAAATGAATGATGGAGAATGAACCCACTTCCTTTACCAAACTTAACTAATGGATCCAAATGTAATATCTAACCCCATAAAACTTCTAGATAAAAACAGAGGTGTAAATTGTTGTGGCCTTGAAATTGGGAGTAGTTTTTTAGATGTGTCATCAAATCCCAAATAATAAATGAAGCAAAATTGGTCATCAAAATTTAAACCTTTTGTGCATCAAATGATTCCATAAAGAAAATGAAATGACAACTTGCAAGATCAGAAAAAGTAGTTGAAAATCATACTTATGATAAGGGTCTGGTATTCAAGAACATATAAATGACTTTTACAACTTAATAATAGGAAGACCAACAGATTATAATTGGGCAAAGAATTTTCAATAGACATTTCTCAAAATAAGATATACAAATCATCTATAAATACATGAAAATATGTCAAATATCAAGGGAATGTAAAACAAAACAATAATGAGATACCACTTTGCACACATTAGAATGGTTATAGCCAAAGAGAAAGATGAAAGCAAGTGTTGGTGAACATGTAATGAAATTGATATCCTCATACATTGATTTTGCAAATGCAAATATGTGTAGCCACTTTGCAAGCAGTTAAATATAATTGCTTAAAATGTTAAATATATGGTTACCATATGACTTAACATTTCCATTCCTAATTACACACCAGAGAAATGAAAATATGGTGACAAAAAAACTTGTACAAAAATTGTGAGAGCAATATTACTCATTATGGCAAAAATGTGGAAACAATTCAAATGTCTATCGGCTGATGAATGGATTAATAAAACCTGGCATATTCACACAATGCTATATTATTTGGCAATAAAAATAATGCAGTACTGATATACGCAATACCATAAATGAACCTTGAAATCATGCTACATAAAAACAGCCTGTCAAAAAATACTGCATATAATACAATTCCATTTATATGTGATATCCAAAATCAATAGATTCAGAGATGGAAAGTAGAGTGGTGGTTATATGGAGTTGGGGATGGGGCATGGGGAGTGGTTCTGATGAGTATGGTTTTTTTGTGGGATGACAAAAGTGTTCTTAAATGTGATTATGGTAATGGTGGCACAACTTTGTAAATACACTAAAAAACACTAGATTGCACAGCTTTAATGAGGAGATTGAATGGCACATGAATTATATCTCAATACAACTGTTCTAAAATAATGATACACAAATTTTTTTAAAAATAGAAAAGTAAAATTCTATAAAAACCAAGAAGCTATTTTTAATGTGATGTGGTTTGCTGCCTAAAAAGTGGCAAAGTAATTAACTAAGTCATCTTGTAATAAATTAAGAATATATATTATAAAATCATATAAAATAAGGTACAATGTAATAGCTGATAGAGGAGAGGAATGAGAATGATAGTAAAAGCTTTTCATTATCCCAAGGGAAAAATAATCAACCAAAAAAGGAGAGAAAAGAAAATAAAGTATAATAGGTCAGAGAAAGGGAATGTAAACACTAATGTAGTATATGTAAACAAAAATACATCAATAAAAATATAGATGGGCTATCTACCCACTGTTATGGGTTGAATTGTGTTCATCCTAAAATTTATATATTGAAGTCCTAAACTCCCAGTACCTCAGAATGTGACCTTATTTGGTGATAAGGTTACTGCAGATGTAAATGGTTAAGATAAAGTCACACTGGAGTAGGGTGGGCTTCTAATCCCACATAACTCATGTCGCTATAAAAGGGGATATTTGAAGACAGACAAACAGGGAGAACAAACACTTCTCAAAGAAGACATTTATGTAGCCAACAAACATATGAAAAAATGCTCATCATCACTTGTCATTAGAGAAATGCAAATCAAAACCACAATGAGATACCATCTCACGCCAGTTAGAATGGCAATCATTAAAAAGTCAGGAAACAACAGATGCTGGAGAGGATTTGGAGAAATAGGAACACTTTGACACGGTTGGCGGGAGTGTAAATTAGTTCAACCATTGGGGAAGACAGTGTAGCAATTCCTCAAAGATCTAGAACCAGAAATACCATGTGACCCAGCAATTCCATTACTGGGTTATACCCAAAGGATTATAAATCATTCCACTATAAAGACACACGCACATGTGTGTTTATTGTAGCACTATTCACAATAGCAAAGACTTGAAACCAACCCAAATGCCCATCAATGACAGACTGGATAAAGCAAATGTGGATATATACCATGGAATACTATGAAGCCTTAAAGAAAAGGATGAGTTCATGTCCTCTGCATGAAGCTGGAAACCATCATTCTCAGCAAACTAACACAGGAACAGAAAGCCAAACACTGCATGTTTTCACTCATAAGTGGGAGTTGAACAATGATAACACAAGGACACAGGGAGAGGGAGATCACATAACCGGGGCCTGTTGGGGGTTGGGGGCTAGGGGAGGGATGGCATTAGGAGAAATACCTAATGTAGATGACAGTTTGATGGGTGCAGAAAACGACAATGCGACGTGTATACCTATGTAACAAACCTGCACGTTCTCCAAGTCTATCCCAGAACTTAAAGTATAATAATAAAACAAATCATTCTTTAAATTAAAACTAGCCTACAAAATTTCAAAGAATTGTATTTATTCAGAATAATTTATACTGCAGTGCAATTAAACTAGAAATTCATAAGGAAAACGTCTATAAAATATGCATTTGTGTAGAAATTGGCCAGTGCACTCTAAATAACCCATGGGTCAAAAGAGAAATCATAAAATAGATTAGAAAACATTCTGAATTAAATGATGATTAAAATCTCTATATATCAAATCTTGTGGGATATAACTATAATCACCAATAGGTCAATGTATAATCTTAAAGACATTTTTTGGAAAATAAGGAAGGTTGAAAGGCAATGACTACTCATCAATCTTCAAATGTTTTAAAGAGAACAACAAATTAATCCTAAGCAAGTAAAATAGTATAATAAAGACAAGAGGAGAAATTATTGAAGTAGAAAGCAAATATAAGATAGGAAAGATCACAAACAAAAATATTATTTAAGATATCTATTAGAATTTACTACCCACTAGTAAGACTGATTAAGAAGAGACTTAGGCTGGGCGTGGTGGCTCACGCCTATAATCCCAGTACTTTGGGGAGGCTGAGGCGGGCGGATCACAAGGTCAGGAGATCGAGACCATCCTGGCTAATACGGTGAAACTCCGTCTCACTAAAAAATACAAAAAATTAGCCGGGCATCATGGCGGGCGCCTGTAGTCCCACCTACTCGGGAGGCTGAGGCAGGAGAATGGCGTGAACCTGGGAGGCGGAGCTTGCAGTGAGCTGAGATTGCGCCACTGCACTCCAGCCTTGACCACAGAGCAAGACTCCGTATCAAAAAAAAAAAAAAAAAAAAAGAGAGACTTAAATAAGCACTTCATGAAAAGTGATTATTAAAAGCCAATATACATATGAAGAGGTAGTCAACCTTACTAGTCATCAAGAAAATACAGAATAAAATAACACTGTGTTACTACTACATATATACACATCCACCAATGACCCCTCATAAAAAATAAAGTTGTCAATTATAGATAGAGCAACATCTACTCTCATACTCTGTCTGTAATTTGCACAATCATAACTTGGCATTTTCTACTTAATGTTGTATGTGCATGTATAAATTATGATCCAGCCTTTTCACAAATGGCATATATCCAACACGAGTGCATGCTCATAGGCACTAAAAGATATGTATGGGAATGTTCCTATCAGCATTATATGCAATCACGAAAAAAAAGAAGGAATTCAAATGTCCATAAATGTTGGAATTAATATAATTGAACAATATAAAAGAAAAAATTAATTAACCCCCCTTTAATATACAAAAATACAAATGAATGTCACAAGAGTAACACTAGGTAAATAAAATCACATAAAGTACTGGGTGATTCTACAAGATGTAAAAACAGGCTAAAATAATTAATAATGTAGAACTCAAGATAGTGGGTTTTATTTTGTTTGTTTGGGTTTGGTTTGCTTATTTGGAAGAGAAAACATGAGTGTATTAGTCCATTCATACTGCTATAAAGAACTACCTAAGACTTGGTAATTTATAACGAAAAGAGGTTTAATTGACTCACAGTTCTGCATGGCTGGAGAGGTCTCAGAAAACACTGTGGAAGGTAAAGCATGGCACGTCTTACATGACAATAGGAGAGAGAAGGTGAGTGAAGTAGGCGGAGGGGTACTGCCAAATATTTTTAAACCATCAGATCTCGTGAAAACAGCATGGAACAAACCGCCCGCATGATCTGATCACCTCACACCAGGTCCCTCCCTCAACACATGAGGATGACGATTTGAGATGAGATTTGGGTGGGGACACAGAGCCAAACCACATCAATAGGCAGGGTATGAGGGGAATGTCTAGGCTGTTGGCAATAGTCTTTTTCTTGACCAAGGTGGTGTTTACATAAAGATTCAGTTTGTAATAATTAATAGAGCTGTACATTTACTTTTTGCACCATTCTGCATATTACAATCTACTTCAATAAAACCTTTAAAATTAACGTATCTCACATGAGAGCTATTGCAGCCTTCTATTCACCCAACAAACGTTTGCTGATCACTACTACTATGCAAGCATTCTGTCAGACATTGGAAATACAGAGATAAATAACACAAGGTCTCTCTGCCCAGACAGTTCAGTAAAGATGGAAAACATGTAGACACTCATTAAAAATGCAGCATAATATTTGCTAAAATGAAGCTTTTAAAACCGGGATGCTTAAAGTGAGTTACATCCAATTTTAACATCAAAATACATGATAGCAATGTATTAACCTGTTGAATAACATAGGAATTCATCAGTCAATATGATATAATAAGCATATAAACAAGTAGTAGGGAAGGAAATGGTCTTCTTTATAGTAATAGAATGGCAATGAATAAGCAAAGAAACAACGAATAAGCAAAGAAACAATAATCGAGCTAGTAAAAACCACCATTTGGCAAAGATCATAGTAATAATTGATTCAGGCATAAGTCAATGTTAAAATAGTGGGTCTAATTTTGATGAAAAATAGGGTGTTTTTACAGTCTCAAAATATCTCCTCACAATTGCTAACTCCTAAGAGAAATGTGCTTTCTTTATAGCAAGGAAACCTGGGAGATAACATATTAAATTAAAAATGTATAAACATTAATGACATTCTGAAGAAGTGTTCCAGATAGAGACTAATAAACTCCATGAAATAAATGCAACAAGTAATCCTGCACTGGACTCTGAGCAGAATTACTTTTCTTATAAGGACAACCTTGGAATAGTTGGCTTTAGAGTATTCTTTCAAAGTGCATTATTCTTTAAATGTATTTCATTTTGTTTAAATTTGCAGAGGTTTCATTTTGTAGTGGATGTCTGTAGCTTTCGTTTTCCAAGTATTTCTTCCTCCTTCATCTGCTAAAGAAGTCCTATGTCTGCAGAACTGCCTCTGGCACTCCAGGGAGTTCTGGAGAAATGACTTGTTACAATTCTCTGTCTTTCTGTCCTGAACACCAGGGCAGTCATGTAAGCCAAGGGAGGCAAATCAGAGTCATTTGCTTACTTATCCAAACTTGATGAAAATGTAAAGAAAACATTCTTTTTCCTGTTTTAATTTTTAAATAGCAGTTTCAGCAACTTGGTTAAATATAACATAGAAGTATGCTATGAGACAGTAGAAATAATATATATTGTGTGTACAATGTAATTATGTCCATGGTAAGGTGTTAAATTAAAAATGATTAGCTTCAGAATAGTCTATTTTGATGAACTGACGTATATTAAAATATTGTATATTTGGTTATATTTATTTTTGTTTATATAAGAAGATATCAAAAAGAATATAAATCTAAAACAAAACTAAGATTGGATTAAAAAGGAGAAACACTTTTACTTTCTAAAATCCTTTAGTGTTTGAAATAACTATCTTATAAATAAAGCAAATGAAATAAAAGCAACATTTTCTTCTTGTTTATTGCTGTGTGCATAAAGTATGAAAAGATTTTTATTTTGTATGCTGAGTACCTTATTATGCCTTTAAATTTCCTGGGGTGTTTTTGTTTGTTTTATTTTGTTTGTTCTCTGGACTATAGTAGGAATTCTGAACTTCACTTTTCTTCTGGATAGCTGGAATTGTGTTAAAGTAATGGCAGCGATAACTGTCTGTACCCACGGTCCTTGGAACCAAGTCCAGAATATTTGGAAAAAAGTTAAGCACAGGAATGCATGATGGCCACACCATCTCCAAGTATACTCCACATGTCTTTGCCTGTGAACCACACTAACTGCCTCCAAAACCCAGTGTAGAAAGAAGGGTATAGTGATTGATGTGATAAATGGTTGATTATTATGTATAAGAAACCTGGCACAAATAAGGGGAAAATGATACTTTCAGTGTGATGACAACTATGAGAGAGTATTAAGGTATAACATTAATTTTTAAAAAGGTATAATATTAAAATATTCAAGAGAAGCAAAAAGAAATGTTAAAACTGCATCTTTTCTCTTAATCTGTGCCAGAATGTTCATGAATTTCTATATATTTGGAGAATGTTTGAGTGTTTTCTGTCCTGAGTTAGAAAACTTCTGTTAAATAAAGCTTCTTCCTGCATTTGAACTCATTTATAGCACTACCTAAATATGGCTATAAGTAGGCACAGTGACCGCTGAAAGCTTCCCCCTCTGGGTTACACAATAGATATTTGTAATGTTTGGCATGAGGCAAGAAAGAGTTTAGTCACTGCCTACTTGTTACAATAAAGAAGGTGTTAGGACCTCACCAAACATTAGGGTTAATGGTCTTTCCTCGTGAGGTTACTTCCTCTCAAACAGGTGCAAATGGCTATGGTTTTACCTGCAGAATTGTATTTGGAGATAGCTGAATTTGTAGACAGGGAACATAGAAAGTGAATAAAAGTCTGGGACTAATGAAATCATTTAGAATTGCTCTCTATGTCAAATTAGTCATAAATATAGTCTGATTTTTCATGACATGTAGCTAGAAAGTTTCTGAATCCAGTGGTATGCTGGAGATGGCTCTCAGTGGCACATGGAAGACTGTTAAATTTTCAGGAATGATGTCAGCTTGTTCACCTGACAAAGGTAGCTTGAAGTTGGCCCTGGTGAGAATAATTTCACCATAGAAATTCATAAATGCTACAAGTCAGGATTTCTCCCTCAATGACCAGCCAGCTATTAATATACATTTTCCAAAACACTACTGTGTATTATCCTGCCAGCTAAATGATCTTTCTCTCAATTCACATAATCAGTAAGACCACATAGACCATTACTCCAGGGCAGGATTTGTATGGGAACCATTTGGAAGGAAAACTAAAGAACAATGCTACAAAGTAGGGATAGTGGGGAGTTCTAGAGTAAACCAGATGAAATGCCTGGAGAGCCCAAATAAGATTGTGACTGAGGAATATACACTGAAGTTCAGGGTTAATCATGATTTTTTTTGTGTAGTGGTGGAGACAAAGCAATGTGCACTGGAATGAGTAAAACCATGGGAGGATAAAGAGTGGTGAAAGTGAGTTTCTTTGGAGTACTCTGAAGATTCTGCTTTGAAGATAAGACTCAGAGGACAAAGATAAGAAAAGCACGTGACATTGAAGGAAGAGTTTTACTTTGTTGTCTTGCTTGGTTTAGTTTTTAGCATTGTCCAGTCCCATGCAAGGCTGAGGAAAAGTCCCAAAAGAGAAAAAATAAGCCTATGGCGGAAAAAAAAAACTTACTAGAGCAATGCCTCTGTGAGGCCAAGAGCTGAGACATTGAGAACATAATCCTTATTGGCAGGGAGGGAAAAAAAGGGATGTATTATGGGTAGAATCAGAGAAATTTTTTACTGGAAATAGGCATTTGAGAGAATGCGTGTCTAAAGGCCTTTTTATCTTGGAGAAAGGGGTACTTGTTCTGCAGAACTGCCACCTTTACACGAAGGTGGCAATAACTGGGTGGTGCTTGGAGAGAGTGGTAAAGGGTTACGATAGGCCCTGGGTTAGTGAGCATGGACGCTGCCTTGCTCACTAACAGGTGAAGATAATATTTCTGAATGTGTATTAATTTGCCTTTTGCTCCTTCTCCTCCAGTTTGTTCTTCCTACAGCTGGCTCCATACGTTAATGTTTGAAATTAAAAACCCACAATGTCATCTCTTAATATAATAACATTTGCAAATGTATATTTATAAGATAAAATTAAACTTTCTCCAATTTAGCTCTAATGTATTATATTCCCCTTATCTTTCAACATTCCCTGTTGGAACTCTACATTCCATTCACCCTGGCCTGCTTAATCTTTGCCCAATCATTTCAGCTCTTGTATTTCACATCCAATGGAACTATCTCTTTTCTCTTCTCCTCTTATTTTCAAACTTCAAGTTTCAGCATAAATGTTCTCATGTCTATGAGGTCTTCACTGGCATTTTTGCTGAGCATAAATTGCTATCTTCTTATCGTCTAATAACATTTTTTGAGACTTCTAGTAAAGAACTTGGAAGACTGAACAGTAATTTGTTTTCAGATTTGTGTCTCCAAATTGTGTGATGAACAAGTCCAGAGTATGTGTATTATGCATGTTTTTATCACCACACAGGTAGTACAGGTTCGACCACAGTGTTTAGTATGTGGGACTTAAGAATGAACGAACAAATACATAAAACGATGAGTTGCACGCAGTAGAAAAATCAGAATTATAAACAGCAGTATCACCAACTGTAAATAACCTTGCTTACTTGAAGGTAGAAAAAATAAGTAGCATATATACTATAGAGACAAACCACGAGGAGATAGATTCTGGGAATTATATTATTCCATCTATTTATTTCCTAAATATTTTATCGCATAAATAACAAAATGAATGGTATCTGTCTCTTTTCTGTTTCCAGGGAAACAGTATTATTAAATAAGTTAAAATTGTGAGATCTGGGCCAAATTATTTGGGCTCCATCAAAGCATGGCTCTACCACTGAAAGCTAAGGGACCTTGAATATGTCACAAAATGATTTTTTCTTGAGTTTTATCTATAAAACAATAATATGAAGATTAACTTCCACTTAAATTAATTGTGAAAATAAAACAACACTTATAAGGTTCTTAGATAAGGACTTTATACATAGCAAGTGTTATTATTGGCCATTAATAATTAGGAAAGAAAGAATTGCAAAATACTGAATTTTGTTGTGAAAATAAAACAACACTTAAAAGGTTCTTAGATAAGGACTTTATGCATAGTAAGTGTTATTATTGGCCATTAATAATTAGGAAAGAGGCCGGACGCGGTGGCTCACGCCTGTAATCCCAGCACTTTGGGAGGCCGAGGCGGGCGGATCACGAGGTCAGGAGATCGAGACCACGGTGAAACCCCGTCTCTACTAAAAATACAAAAAATTAGCCGGGCGCAGTGGCGGGCGCCTGTAGTCCCAGCTACTCGGGAGGCTGAGGCAGGAGAATGGCGTGAACCCGGAAGGCGGAGCTTGCAGTGAGCGGAGATCGCGCCACAGCACTCCTGCCTGGGCGACAGAACGAGACTCCGTCTCAAAAAAAAAAAAAAAAAAATAATAATAATAATAATTAGGAAAGAAAGAATTACAAAAGACTCACTAACAAAACTCGGCAAGTTCAGATTCCTTACATGCATTGGGTGATCAAAACATGTTCAATAAATGGTTCAGAGAGTGAAAGTTTGAAATGCTCACATTCAAGGGGGTGAACACACCCCATAAGTTTTTTCTTCCATTACTGCCTCCACCAGGGCTTTAACTCCTTGACGGAAACGGCCATGCACTATTTAAATGTCTTTCTCTATTAGAGATAGAAGCCCCTTGAAGCTCCTTGAATGAAAAGGCTATGCACTATTTACATTTCTATGTGTAGAACATACCACGAGGTCTAATGGATAATATATATTCAAGGACTATCTGCTAAATGCATGAATTAATTAGGTTAAAATCACACATTTAGTATCTAAATTTTGATCATGTGTTTATAGAAGATGATTCCCTTTGTTTACTGTCTGGATCATTAAGCATGGTCAGTAATTTCACAATGACAGTACATTTGCTATATTTGCTGAAAGAAAAAGCTAGATAAGAGAGACAGTGTCTTTGTACATGTCACATTCCTCTCATGAAAGGACTACTGAAATTCGACTACGCATTGATGTTAAACTTAACTCCTTTACAACACAAAATTAACTGTCTGAAAGGCCTAGATATTAGGGTACTAAAAGAGAAAACAAAAAAGGTAACAGGTTGATTTCTTAAATACTTTAAAATAAAGAATTATTGATGATTCTCTAAGTTGTATTTAAAAGGTCTCTATACACTAATATATGTATACTAACGTAGACATATATCACCATGTCTACAGTGATACATAGTTTCACAAAATAAATATTTTATTTGGTTAGATCCTAAGAGGTAAAACAGTTTTGCAGTGAAAACATCTGTTTTACTGAAATTTATGTTTGGATTGTTATAGGTGAATCAAAAATATATTTTAAGCCAGTGGGACTCGTTAAACATTTATTCAAATGTTTATTCAGCTTGCTAGCATAGTCATCAAGAGTTTCCTTAGTAGGCAAGAACACTTTTGTCGTTATATTTTTCAGAGTGGAAATGTGCCATGGATGCTAAATGGCTAAAATATTTAGTTATATTTTAACAGACAAAAATACACCCCAGTACCTACGACATTCTTGTCCAACTGTATAAAACAGCAGTGTCCTCCAGTGTTGCCCTAGGCTTGGAATAGAAAAGATAATAGAAGGAAAAAAGTGTCAACCTAAAGTGTAGCTAGATATGTTCAGTGGTATTAAAATATCATACATTCCAAATTACAAAACAGTAAGGCTCATTATCTACTTCCAAATATATTTGTCTCATCACTCTACTGCTAAAACCCTCCCCTGTCTCCAGGTTTATTACATAATAAATCTATACACAGTGTGATATTAAAGGCTATCCACAATCTGTCCCTAATATCTATGTGAGTTATATCCCACTATTATAACTTTATTCACCCTACGTTTAAGCCAATTCAGCTTTATTACTTCTGATCATGCCGTTTCTCACCCTGCTACATCCATCTGGATTACTCTTCACTCAAAATTTTGCCCATGAAAATCCCACTCATTCTACAAGTGTCCACTGAAATGTGTTTTCCTCCATGAAACCTTTTAAGATCACTGGGTTTAAATGCAGACGTTTTTAAGTTTGATAGAATTTTATCTTTCACCTGGAGAATTTAACTAATTCATGTCTTACCCTGCTTTCTGCAGTCACGGTTCCTTGCCAACAGATGACTCATGCCATAGATACATATAAGTGCATACTATTTATGAAGCTTTTGTTTTATCGATCAGAGATGTGAATTTGTAAGTGTATTGAGTTTAAAACCTACAAGATAATTAGGCTCTCCTCCACAAATCAATCTCCTTTGATTCTCTTTTAAAACACAACAAAAACAAACAGAAGCAATCAAAAGGGAGCTCCTCATCTTCACATGCACAAGCTGCACATTCTCAATGCACTGTACATTTGCTCAATTTCTTCTTTCCTCCAATTACACTAACTACTTAAAGACCAACCTATTTTCTTGAGCTTTGGATTCTGAATTTTCTTTCCTTCAAATTCTCAAGGGCATAGCTTCAGTGTTAATTCTGTTTCTTTCCTACTTCAGCAATTTCTCATTCTCTCTACCAGGTCATTTCTTTTTTTCTTTTCTTTTTTTAAGTTCTAGGGTACATGTGCACAATGTGCAGGTCTGTTACATATGTATACATGTGTCATGTTGGTGTGCTGCACCTGTTAACTCGTCATTTACATTAGGTATATCTCCTAATGCTATCCCTCCCCCTCCCCACCCCACGACAGGCCCCTGGATTAAGTGGCACATATACACCATGGAATACTATGCAGCCATAAAAAAGGATGAGTTCATGTCCTTTGTAGGGACACAGATGAAGCTGGAAACCATAATTCTGAGCAAACTATCAAAAGGAAAGAAAACCAAACACTGCATGTTCTCACTCATAGGTGGGAATTGAACAATGAGAACACTTGGACACAGGGTGGGGAACATCACATACCAGATCATTTCTAATAGCACACAAATGTGTTCTGGTGCTCTCTTATTAAACAAATATGCAAGGAAAAATAACCTCTTCAACCCAGACAAGTCACTTTACTCTTTTGTACCTTACCTGCCCCTTATGCCAAATGAAAGTGATAATAGTGCACACAGCATATGGCTGTCATGACAATTAAACGAGTTTTCTAAAGTAGTGTAAAGTGCTTAGAATACTGATTGGTTTAGAATAAGAAACCAGTAAATCATAGTTGTTGCTATGACTGCTGTTGTTACTGCTACCAACACTATCCTCAGTCATCAAATCCTCTAGCTGGTATCTAAACATTGCTATACCACTAGAATCCAGTACTTCTTCCAGCTTCTATTCCTCTTTACCTATATTCTTATTCAAAGTAATCTCACCATTCCCCATGGTTTTAAATAATTCCTATAATGTTATTTTTTCCAAATATATCCTGTGTCCTGATTTCCCCTCTGAGTTCCAGAACCTTATATCTATCTGCTTCTTGATATCTATATTTAGATGTTTAATAATATCTCAAATATAATATATCCAAAATGGAAACCTAATGTAACCCAAGGAAACTACTCCCTACAACCTTATTTTCCCCATCTCAGGGACTAAAAAGTTCGCTTAAGAGTTACTACTGTGGCATTACTTTTCCCATGCTGCAATATCCAATTCACTGGTAAGTCTATAGTCAAATATATCCTGAAAATACACGCTTAACTTGATCTCCATTGTCAGTTCCCTAGACCAAGACTCTATTACCTTTTGCTTGAAATGCTTAATTTCCCACTACCTGGTATCTTTGTTGTCTACAACAATGTTCCACTTATTGTATCCAGAACAGAGCTGAGAACTATTAGCTCTAAGGTGGCACTTGTTGTATAAATTAATGAATAAAATATGCATTGATCTCTCACACATAGCGAACAATTTATTTGAAAAATTCAGGTGGATTCTAAATTTCGAAAATATTTAATGGATCCATCTTCATTCTTAAATTTGGAGACAGTAAATTCAAGAACGCTGTGATAATAGCTTTATAAACAAATTAGCTACTACTTTTTATGCCTACGAGTTCCGTGTCTTTCTTCTAAGACTAAGTTTGCATTAAAGATAGTGTCTGTAGATAAGAGATACATTAATGTGTTTTAATTATCTTATAATGGGACAACTTGGCAGCAAGAAAACACAAAAAAATTATTTTAGTTATAAAGAAAAAATACCCTCCATTTGAAGCATCTTGGTGGAATATGACAAGGTATAAGATCAGGCAGAAGATTCATGGTACCTGTCACAATGTGACATTTCATTGGTGAAAAAGAAAACATGCAGATAGTTTCATGATTTAGGTAGTTTTATTCAATGGAGCAATAATCTCTGAAAGAAGGATAGCATAGACGTTTTTGAAGCCCTGTGAGCTAAAGAGAATAAAGTTTTGGCAAGGGGCTTAAAACTTAATGGGTAAATTTAGTGCAAAGCTGAAATGCTGGCTTTCAAAAAAAGATAAAATAACTACAGAGCTCAGGAAAAAAGCTATGTCAAAAAAGAAGATAGGCAGCAGAAATGGGAGAAACAAAACTTTATGTCAATATGTAGTATCTGAAAGTCTGAATGTCTTTCATAATTAGCTTTAGATATTTTGATGTTCTTTAGATCAAGGAAAGAGAACAAATCTAATTTTGAACTACCTGCGAGCCAGTGAAAAGAAATCAATATATAAAAGGAAAATGTGAGTGACATGCTGAAAATTCATTTTTCATAGATTATCAATTATTTCGCTTTAATGTTGATGGTAGTGATAAATTAGAAGGTTGTCTTCCTTTACATATGTATCTTTGATTCAAAATGCAAAAAAAGAAGTATAGATTCATTTAATTATGTTATTTGCCAACTTCTGAGAGTGAATTAACATAATTTGATCTTGTTCATAGAGTACTTTCTAACAGGATTGCATTAACAACTTTTTTCTTTTTAACATCTTAAAAGAAGACTGAAAATGGTAAATTAATTATGATCATTTATAGTAAATAAGCAATTTAAGGGAGTATAGTTATATCCACAATTTTCATTAGGAAAGAAAATGCCATGTGAACTAAGCTGGACAAAAAAGGATGTTGTGGGTTCCACAAAGATTCTCTTTTTTTTTCTGCATTACTTTAGAGCAAGGATTACCACTGCCAGAGGATACACATCAAATTAGGTATGGTTTCTATACCAAAGCTTGATCATTAATAAAACGGCCTAATTTCTGATTTTTCTCAAGTGCCACAGACCAAACAGACCCATTAATATTGGTTTATTAATTATGAGCAAAGGCCTGAGACTGTTAATGCTTAGACTGAAACATGCAATACTAATAAACTGCCTGTGTAATGCAAACTGATGTTTTAAAATATGCTCTTCTATGGCATTTGGTACTTTAAGCCACCCAACCTGTTTATGAAAATTAAACTTAAAATTACATTTACAGCATTTATATTAAATAACCTTGTTTTGAACAGCTTCAGAAAAAATTAAACAACCACCATAAGTTTCCACACTGAACAGATGTACATGTTTAATTTAAATTAATTTATGTAAAAAAGTACCTGTAGACATATTTTTAATTTTTCAAAGAATTGTGGTTCCATATTGGGGAACTTTTACATAAGTATTTTATGCAAATATTGAAACATCATATGTAACATAATCAAAAGCTCAGCTTTTTACTCATTAGCTCTTATATTTGAAGTGAGAATTAGCTTTGAAATCAGTATATTATAATATTACTCTAATAATAATATTCAAAATGCTTTGCATGTAAACTGAGTAGTAAATATACCAGAATGTAATTCATGTTAGTATTGTAAGTCTGAAAAGTCCCCAAGAATTGTTTTCTAGTTTCATTGTTTTATGTAATATACATAGCATGTGTTTTCAGATGCCAATTTCCACAGTTTAATTACAGGCAGAAGGGACACCAAAGTAGAATGCATTATTATAACTTCTGCTTGGAGTAGTAAATATGGTGTACTACAATATTGCTACCAATGAAACTGTTATCTATTTGAAATTAAATTAATTGTATTGAAGCAAGGAAGGCAAATGCATAAGATACTATGTTACACACATTTCAATAGTTTATTCGTTATTACTAACCCTTTGGGCAAAAATGGTGGACATTTTTCTTACCCACTTGTTAACTGCAAAGACATTTGGATATTGTCATTCAGGAATCCTTCAGTAACACATATTTTTTTTTCTGAAATACTACAATTACATTTGGATAACAAAGTTATAAATTGTTTTGCTAAGATGTAACTTTCAGGAAATAGTCTCTAGCATGGAGGGGGTGCTGTGTAAGACAGAGGACTGTTGTACTGTACTGGAATGTACTGCAAAAATAATGGCCAACTGGTGATCCTATAACAGACTGAGATCATATAAAGGTAATGAAATTGAAATTGCTCATGGAAATTAATTCAGCAAGTAAAGAAAGAAAATATATCTATAATTATCAAAGAGACATTAAACTGTTATTCTTTTTAATGTGCTATTTACCTTTTTATCTCTTTTTGTTCTCACTTTAATGAGAGTAAATGCATTGGTGTGGTATGTAGTCCCATAATATTCACAGTTCTATGATATTTTAATAACTTGGTAGTAATAATAAGTAAGAGGCCTCAATATTGGGTGTTAAATATAGATTTTTTTTTCTTTTTGGAAAGTGACTATGTTTCTTAGATGCAGAAGTTATTCAAACAATTCATTCATTTTTGAAGCAGATTTATGTGACTGGATTTAACTTCTCTACACCTCAGCCTTGTCCTTATTCTACCTCAATCACTTTTATTAATCACTCATTAGTCAGATCTTTCATGAGCATGTATTGTGTACGTGTCAGACATATATCATGTAAGTACTTGCATTACCTATGTGTATTCTACTTGTTACATGTATTTAAATATACTATACATGTTCAGCTCCAAGTAGTATACATGTACATAATACATGCACTATACATGCATGTACTATATTATACATGCACTATACATACATGTACTATATTATACATGCACATATTATTACATGTATAGTACTTGGAGGTGAAGACCAAAACCTAAGTAGGTCATTGTTTCTATTCTAACCCTTGAAAAGCTCACCATCTAATTTGGGGCAGTGGTAGAGATGTCATAAAAATAACTGCAAATTTAGTATGATAAAATATTTTTTATAAACAAGTTTTCTTTTAACAAAGTTGACTAATCACTATAAAAAATCTCAAGTCTCAAGTATATAGAATATAATATTTACTTATTAATGGTAAATAATGACAGTGATTTAGAATTTCAGAGGGGAGGATTGACAGGAAACTATTTTAAAATTTATAAAAGTTACAACATTACTTCCCTTTGAGCCGACGCATTAACTGAATTTACACCATGCATGCAGTAAACCACCCCACAAGGGCAAGAGCATATGATTCCACATAAAAGAGACAGAGAAATCTTCACAGATATGGTGATGTTTGAGGTAGTTCTTAAAAATTAAATAATCATTTGGAACAGAGGGAGTAGGAGAATATATAGAAAGGCAAGGAGGTGTGAAGAAGCAGGTGAGCAAATGGATGTTCACAAGGAGGTGTCCCAGTAATTGCAGTGCAGTCTGGCAGAGTCTGAAAAGAGCCTCCCACTTTTGTTTTTTTTTTTAACCACACTAAGAAAATCTGATGCTACCTTATAAAAATGTGTTGAAATGTTTTAAACAAGAAAGTCAAAACTGTGTTTTGGATTCAAAATTTCACCATAGAGTGGAAGACAGTTTGGGAAGATAAAGATGAAGACCTAGGGATGGGTTAAGATCTTCTTCTCAAAAGTAGAGCAATATTTTAGAAAATAAGTAGCTAGATTTTTGGGGAATAATAGCATTGGATTACCTCATTCTATGCAAGAGGGGTTAATAACATAAGGTTTTGTAATAGCTAATGGAAGTAAAATTTGTTACTTTATAGTGTAAGAATGTATAGAATTTCATGCCACCATTTCTTAATACTGACTCTTTAGGGGCATAAATGGAGATCACATCAGCGCAAGTTGATTCTCATGTGTCAAACATATGTGAGTTCAGCTGTTAAATTAGTCAATATTTATCTTAACATTGCTGAGAGGGACCTACTGTAAATGTGACATCCTCACACTTCCCAAATCTTTAACTCTGAAAAAATCTCAAAAACTTGAAGCCTAGAAGTATTCCAAAGCAAGGGTTACAGAAGTCTTTATTCTCAGGGTCACTGAATTAAACTCAGGACTAATTTCACAATACAGGCACAAGAAGCCTGTTGTATGGTATACTCTGCCAGTGTCTTGGTTGAGGGGCTCCATGGGGAACTGAATAAAGCAGAAAAGATATGATTTGAAGCCAGTCAGTCCTGGTAATCTATGAAATGCTCACTTACAGCCAGGTTTCATAAGCTTCCAATTCTACAGAAAAACCAGGCTCTAAGTGTTTTAGAATTTCCCAATTCATAGTGTTTCTTGTCCTGATCCCATGACCAACAGTTGGAGGTTGGTAAGGACTTTCCTACAGTCTAAACACAACCTGAAGCCCTCTTCATTGTTCACACTCTAACTCCTACTTCTGACGAATACGAAAAAAAAATAATGCAGAAGAGATTTATGTCTTAGCCATAACTCCCGCTGTACAACTCAATTGCCCCATTCTCTTTTACGGTTCAAAATGTACTGCTGACCTTGGGTTTGTTTTACTTTTTTCTTTTTCCTGTTAGGTTTTATTTGGGGACTTTTGGTAGTTTAAACTTTCTAACTTTTTCCTTGCTGTGTATGAGGAAAGCTAAAGCTGTTATCAGCTTCTTATTCTACGATACCAAGACAGGTTTTCAATGTTTGTTTGTTTTTATTATTATTATTTATTTTGCGTGATGTGAATACCCTCTTCCATCAATATTTGTATTATGGTGCTATATATTGGTAATGATCCTTTAATATTGGGAAGGGATTTTTAAAATACTCTGATTAAACTGGGGTTCTTCCTTTGATTTTCATATTTTAAATAAAGCCACAGTCATTTATATAAAAGAAAAGCATCTGCCCCTGGGCAAATCTTTTGAGGACAGAAGTGAAAGTAAACTGAATAAGGTTTTCACATCATTTCTGCATGTGTTTGATATGTAGATCAATATCTATATAAATTTGATCTTTTATTTTCTTGGTAACTTGTGGTCATTGAGAAAGTGTTTGAAACTTCCTCATGACGTGTTTATATAATGGCGTGAAAAATTCCTTTGGAGAATTTTATGTTCCTTTCATTGTTATCTAATTGCAAATGTACAGTATGTATGTGAAAAGCATTAAAATTATAACTTTTGTGCAAGATAAAAATAATTCATAAATTTACCCTTTATAAAATGTTAAAATGAACAAAATATATATTCCTCCACCAATTACTAACTCTGGAAATTTGGAAACATTTCTTCACTTTGATTTTCTCATCGGAAAGAAGGGTAATAATTCTGAAAAAAAACACATATCAAACGATTAAAATATAGTGAGAGCATAATCAAAAGTATTATTTGTAATAAAGCAGGAGAAAGGAAGATACTAACCATGGTGATGTAATTTTAAAAATTTGAGAAGTATTAAGGAGTTATGTTCAATTTTAAGACCAAGAAAAAACATTTCTTATGCATGATGTTAGGAACTTTTTCAGGATATTTTTGAAAAATTCCAACTATATTTTGGTAACACTGGGTTAATGCAGGCAAGTAAATTAAGTAAATTTCTTTACCGGAGAATATCTCAGTCTTGCTATACTAATGCATACTATTACTCCCCATGAAGGAATATAGAAGTCAGGTTTCTCAAGTTTAATTAGACATTTTTAAAGGAGGACTAGCTCACTTTTAACAGAAATCTTGAATGATCTCAGGTAGTTTACTAACCTCATGGAGCAGAAGGGCAAAGAGTGTGGGCCCCAATGAAGGCTCTAAAAAAAAATAATTACTCTTGAATTAGTCCTGTCTTGATATGTTTTTAAAAACACTTTCATGAAAATGTTTTATCTTGAAGGTTAATATCATGGTAGGCAGAAAAATTGTACCTCCAAAGATGTCCAAGCCCTAATCCCTGGAATCTATGAATGTTACTTTACACAGCAAAAAGAAGCTTGAAGATGGAAGTAAAGTTAATAGAAAACATGAGGGGACGGGGCCCAACTTTGTCGCTTTGAAGTTGAAGGAAGGGGCCATAGACCAAGAATATGGGTGACATGAGAAGTTAGGAATGGTCCTGACCTGACAGCCAGCAAGGAAATGAGGCTCACAGTCCTTACAACCTCAATAAGTTGATTCTTACCAACAATCAGAATAAACAGAAGACAGATTCTGCTCTACATCCTACAGAAAGGAACACAGCATTGCTCACACCTGGGGTTTAGCTAAGTGAGATCCAAAGCAGACTTCTATGCTACAGAAACATACATATAGGAAAGTGCAGAAAATATAAACATGACAAATCAAATTTCCACATAAACATAGTTATATAACTAGCATCCAGATTAAGAAACAGAAATTCCAGTTTTAACACCATCTAACATTATTTTGCTAGTTTTTGAATGGTATGTATATGGAATCATACAGTATTTTTTTGCATGTGACCTCTTTCCCTCAATAGTTTGTGAGGTTAATCCCTGCTGTATTGTTTTCACTTTCATTGCTATACATTATTACATTATACGATTATAGCAAAATGTATTTTTGATTCTATTGTTGGAGTCTTTTTCTAGTTTTTGATTATTTCAAATAGTGCTATTATAATCATTCTTCTCATTTTGTAAATATATGCAAATATATGTTGAGTTCATACCTAGGAGTAAAATTGCCAGATGGGAAAGTGTGTGTGTGCGTGTGTGTGTGTGTGTGTCTGTGTAAACATATACACATCTCTGGTAAATTCTGGAAATAGTTCTCCAATACTGTTGTACCAACTGAGATACACACTAGCAGTGTATGGACACAGTTTTGAGTTTGCTGGATTTCAAGATTTCAAGATTGCATTCACCGCCATGCAACCAGACACATGGTCATCTGTACAGTTTTTTAGTTTTATAACAGTTATGGAAGGGGCTCTGAAATGGCTACAAATACTGTTGGTTTTCTTTCTGAAACAAATACTTTAACAAGTGTTAAGCCCTTGAGATTCAAACTTTCCTATTAGTTTTAGCTCTGGAATGCAGGGAAAATGTCCCTCTTATTCATTACTTAATTAACTAACTTTCAGAAGTAGCTGGCAATAATAGGCACTAAATGCTTTGGCTTTATATAAGAATGCATGCATTTACAGCGGTTAGCTATATGCATATGAGCTATTTTAATACTCTTATTGTTGGGTAGTATTCAACTTTTTTTTTGTTGACAACTAATGAAATTATTATCTGTTGCTAGTTGCACCTAATAATCTTGAAATTTAAAATTACATTATATGATATCCTAGAAAAGAACTAGGTTCTCTCTTCACATTTATATATGTCAGAATTAGATGTCAGATTTAAAATCACAGAATACCTTGCAGTTTCCAAGGAGATGTAGACTACTGAGAGAACAGAGAAAAACAAGAACAAAGAAAGAAAAAAATTTACAAACTTCACATAGGATGAAAAATGCTTTTGTTTAGATACACCATGCAAATATGTAAATATACATGCATATGGCAGACGACATATAGCATTTACATAGTATGTGTATATTATATACACATGGTTGTATAACTATATATGAATAACACAATAAATGCAGATATAGTCTATTAAATGTATACAATCTTTTCTAATAAAAGACTATACATGCTGTCTGGTTGCCTCCTTTTCCAATATGTATTCTGCAATAATTTTGTCGTGTCCTTTAAATAGTATTTCAAAATATTTTATATAATGCATGCTTATTAATCTATCTTCTAGCTAAACCGTAACTGGATTAAAATATTTATTATCTACTCATGTTTTCCCCCAGCAGTTGCTCAAAAAAGGTAATACTTCAGTGAGCCTAGTGTTAGATAAAATTGTGCACGTTCATTTTAATTTTCTTAGGATAATCTAGAGGTAGAATTTCTGTATTAAAATACGATCATGTTTCTATATTTGATACTTATTTATAAATTGGCCTCCATGAAGCCAAAATCTTTTAATTTTACATTTTACATGAGGAAAATAAGTCATATTCAAATCCATTTCTTCTTAAAATAATTAATTATATCTGATATATTTCTAATTTAATCTCTTGTTTAACAATTCACAGCTATATGAAAATGATACAAAAAAAGACTATATGTAGTGGAATTCTTGTTCTGGCTTGAATTTTCTTGCAAAGAGATAACTGTGAAATTCTGTGAATGAATTGTTAAACTGTTAATAGCTTGAAACTGACCATGTTGGGAGTACTTATATCATAAACATTGGCAAATGCTACAAATCAAGGCTTTACTTTTTCCAGAGAGTCAAATTAATAGCATACCATGGTTATGTGTATTAGAAATCAGTGTCAGTGTAAAGTGGTAAAAGATGTGATATTTATATAACTAAACTGTCCTTTAAAATGTTGGAATGCTTTTTAAACTCACCAGGAGGTTGTAGAAATTCCCATCTTACCGCAACTCCAAAATCAGTGTAAATTATACATATAAATATACATATTTTTTTTTTTTTTGAGACGGAGTCTTGCTCTGTCACCCAGGCTGGAGTGTGGTGGCAAGATCTCCGCTCACTGCAAGCTCTGCCTCCTGGGTTCACGCCATTCTCCTGCCTCAGCCTCCCGAGTAGCTGGGACTACAGGTGCCCACCACCACGCCTGGCTAATTTTTTGTATTTTTAGTAGAGACGGGGTTTCACCATGTTAGCCAGGATGGTCTCGATCTCCTGACCTCGTGATCCGCCCACCTTGGCCTCCCAAAGTGTTAGGATTACAGGCGTGAGCCACTGCACCCGGCCGAATTTTACATTTTTAAAATATTCATTCATTTCAGTTGAACTGTGACATTGTTATCTTTTCCATTTCTCTAATAATTAGCATAACCAAAAATTGTTCATGAGTTTGTTATCTGTTTTTTCCTCTGTTATGAAGTATCTATTCACCTCCATTGTTCTTTTAGCTATTGGCCCCTTCATGTATTTTTATTATTTTGCATAAGCTATTTCTATAACAGTGACCATTAAAATTTTATTTTTAAGTGCCAGTTGTTGCAAATATCTTTCCATATCTTATTTTCTATATTGTTACTTGTTTATGAACATGTGTGTTTATCTTCTTTATCTTTCCTTTGTGATTAATTCCATTTCTTTCAGGTTTGTAAAATCCATGCTCATGAAGTGATTACTTACATGGACCATATATTCAGATGTAGGTGCATTTTGTGTTGACATATATGTATACGTAGGCAAGAAAGTATTAGTACAATTTATTAGTAAAAAGAAGGCCTTTTTGGTAAATGGTGCTGGAGCAACAGTATATCCCTATGGTAAAAAAAGGAATCTCGAATGCTACTCTCAGCATACACAAAGACTGATTTGAATTGGATCATTCACTAAAATGAGAAGCTTCTACAAAGTTTTTAGAATAAAACACAGAAGACGATTTTTATAACAGAGGGGTAGGCAAAGATATGAACAGGACACAAAAAGTCAGTAACCATTAAATAAATAATTGATAAATATAATTTTATCACAGTTAAAGTTCTGCTTATGAAGGATATCATTAAGAATGTTTTTCTCACGTATGAAATCCCAGCACTTCGAGAGCCTAAGGCCAGAGGATCACTTGAGGCCAGGAGTTCACGACCACCATGGGAAACATAGTGAGACCTCATCTCTACAAAACAAATTTAGAATATAGCTGGGCATGATGGTATGCATACAGTACCAGCTAGCTAGCTACTTGGGAGTGTGAGATGGGAGGATCACTTGAGCCCAGTAATTCAAGGTTGCAGTGAGCTGTCATTTTATCACTACACTCCATCCTGGGAGACAGAGTGAGACTCAGTATTAAAAAAAAAAAAAAAAAGAAAAGACAAAAAGAAAAACGAAAATTTTTAACAAACTATAGAGTGGGAGAAAATTTACATACACCTATATCTCAAAAAGAAATGATATGAATAACATATAAAACATTGATATAAATTAACTAAATATAAAATATGTTTGAATGGCAAAGATCTTGATCAAATACTTCATTCGAGAAGTATTGCCAATAAAATGCAAATAGGCGTTCAGCATAATTTCCATTAGGTAATGTTGAAATCACAGGGAATGTACTTAAAACCACATCAAAATGCCAAAAACACCAAAATGACTAAAATTTTACAGCACTGACAATATTAAATGTTAGATAAGATGTAGATTAATTAAAACATTCATACACTTCTCATGGTAAAAAAATGTTATACATCCACTGAAGAAAAGCCTTCAGTAATTTGTTTAAAATTAACTATTTTTTAAAGTTTTGTGTTGTGTGGGAAATATTTAACAAACAGCACTCTGAAAATAAATGTATCAGTGTATTTAATGCTTATAATCCATATAAGCCCATATACAACTATTATAAATTTTAATGATATAATGGAAGTGTAACCCTTAATGTACAAATACTAATAGACTACAAAATTCTATTTGTTGTAAATTATATACAACTAACATGTTTTAACAGAACATTTTTTAAATACCTGCAGCCAACCTATGGTTGCAGTTAATCAAGTGTAGTTTTGACATAACTATTTGTTGATATTTGGGTTTACATTAATCAGCAAGACAAAAGTTAACCTACAATGATGCTTGTCACTGTCTATTTAACGATGTATCCAATTTGTTTGCTGACTTAGATAATAGTTTTTGAATACTGAAAGAATATTAGTTAATTTTTGTGATAATCTCAATGCAATATCTACAAATGCAACAGATGTTTAGGTTTAACCTGCATAAGTAATATCATCTCCATCATTTTCTTAAGCCTGGAAAAGCCAAAAACAACAAACCCAGCTATTATTTATAGCATATATCAAATTGTGTGGTATAATTAGTCCCACCATATTCATTGTGACATCACTGAATGGAAAGCTGGGGGGAATATGTACTATAGCACATATTTACACAGCATTTCCACCATCCACATATAAAAGACATAAATTACCTCAATAGCATATATAATAGAAAATTATAATAGAGTAATTAGGGCATAGTGAGTTTTGAGAATTTTTTAACTTTAGTTTTAATATAATTTATTTAAGTGTAAATTTATATAATTTATTTTTTATAATGTCCATGCATAAAAACTAACCCACAAAACAACTAAACATTTAATAAGATCTGATGGGCTGATATGAGATTATTCCAGCATGCCCATCTACCCTGTGAACAGAAAGTCTACACTTAGTATACTCATAAAAAATGAGTGTACAAATCTACAAAAACATAAGAATGTTCAAAGGACTTTATTCATAATAGCCCAAAACTGGAAAAAAAACATGTGAGACCATCAAGAAGAGGATTCGTCAAGAAATTCTGATACACTCATGCAATGGAACAGTACATAAATATAAAAATAATAAATTACTGACATGTACAAATCATGAACTAAAATATTTCATTGAGTAGAAGAAACCAGACACAAAATGGTATAACCATCTAATGTCATCTGTGAGCATTTATGTAACACATACACATACAAACATACTTAAACCAATGAGATTTATAAAATAATTCAAAGGGGAAAACAAGGCAATTTATCTCTACAGCCCTAAATTTCGAACTAGCTATTTCCATCCAGTGAAGCCATTTTACTTTTCTCTTACATGAAGTATAATTCTAGAAATTTCTTTTTCATGTTCAGGTTTTCTAATTAGGATAGTAACAGATAATGTCCTTATATAATTTCTATAATTGCCTGTAAAAATTATTAAAATGTGATACTAGAATCACTGGTTTATTTTTAGCCTATTTATTGATTTAGTTACATATTTATGTATAATTTATACAGTTAAATGATTGCTATTGTAGAAGAAAAGTGGTTTTTTTTTTCCATATTGCTACAGACACATACCATACTATTGTTGATTGTGGGTTTGGATTACACACAGATCTCTTGAATAGTAACATTTTTAAACAAATTCAAATACTGACTACTAAAATACGTAATACATACATTGATTCTGTGCATTTGTATAACCAAAAAATAAAATATTACAACCCCTGTGTAGATTCATATTTGAATCCAAATCCATAGTTGAATCCAAAAATAATTCTATCTCAGGTTTATACAACAAATAGATACCACATTATTAAATCATTTAATATCAACAGGAGCTAACTGGATAAAAATTAAAGAACAATGTTTAGAATTATTTTAGTTGCCTTCCAGTCCTCTGAAGAATATGGCTCTTTTGGCTCTCTCAGCTGGCCTATAAAATAATATAATGGCAAGGTTACAATTTTCCCTACTTAAGGGATGAGGGGAAAAAGAATATTAACTATTGATGTACACAGAAAATATTTATGCCTAGGAGAGGTACACCAGAGTTCTTATCATTGTCAATGGCTACTTTAAATTGCACTTAAGCATCAATAAAACATTTTACATTCTACTTCTGTAATTTTGATGTTTTGTGCATATTATGATACTAAAATATTTAACAGATGTGATTAAATAATAACAGAAGTCATTCCATGGCACTGTTGCCTAAATAGCCTTCAGGAATTGCTGCTTTGAAAATAACCACAAAATACATTTCACTAATAGTATTTATATTAATTTATTTTATAAGAGAACAAAGAGTTTTAGAGATGTGAAGTTATTAGTCTACGTATTTGCTGCTTGAATTCCTTTTTAACACTGATAGTTTTACATTGGTGAGAAAAAAACTCATAAAGAAATATTTTGCAACTTTTGAAGGTCATATAATCAGCGTACCAGACTAATTTTTCTACATCTTTTAGGACATTGTGGATTATTTATTAAGTGACTGGATAATTCTGTCTAACAAGAATGATCTTCTTTAATTAACGAAAATTTCCAAGTTGCCTTCCACAGTTATTGCACACATCCAAATTATCCTTCCAAATAATCATTAAATTAAATTTACAGATTGGGGTTATATGGATGAACAAAAGAGAGGAAGAATTAAGAAGAAACAGAATGCCAGGATAATGTGACTATTTATAGTACAAACAGCATGCCTGTCTTGATTTGGTGATTCTTTGGCTGTTCCCCTCTGTATTATCAAAGCTATGAATATGTGCACACAGCATGCTTTAGCAATACCCGCTGGTTAGAAATTGAATTAGCTAAAGCCAGGGAAGTTCAATCGAAAGACCTCAGCAAGGGTATAGCAATAGCTTCACAGGTATTTAGATCAGGAAGAGAAAGCTGATCATTTTCAAGGTCCCTCCACAGAAATAGCTTTGGTGAGTTGAGCTGTCTTTCTCACAAATTTTACAGCTATTATTCTTATAAAGAAAATCAATGGCTCACATTTAGCTTGAGCATGTAGTCCTTCCTCCCAGAATGCATATTATTTGATAAAATACCTAGGCTTGCTTGTATGGAAAGCATCAGGCAAAAAATAAGATAGCTGCTACCAGGTTGCAAGGACTGGCAATAAGTATAATTAGGTGAATGTAAAAACAGAGATATTGTACAGACTGATCATGCAGTCATCATTATTGAAATTATTGTTATTGTTATTATACTATCTTAAGGATCAAATATACATTTCTGAATACCAACAATGTTTGAAACCATTTCATCTTTCATTAAGAAGTTCCTTCTTTTTTTAAAAAAAATCTACTCTTATGGTTATTCAAAAGCAACTTGACTAGGACACCACATCTGCTGAAGTATTCAGTAAATTTGTTCACTTCGATTTCTACTCTGAGAATTATTTTGTTTATACATGCAAAGAGGAGATAGCTGTAATTAATAGAACTGTCTAAATCGTAGAAATTATAAAAATATATGACATTCCAAGTAATTTATGAAATTAAAACTCTGTTCAGTAGTAGGTAGAATACACTATCTCAGGCTACCAAAGACCTTGAGAGGAGACAGACACAATTTAATATTGTAACCTGAAGCAATAGAAAAGCATATAACATAAGCAACAACAAAAAGACATTCTCCAATAGCCAATCCCTGTCTCCATAAGGGAGAAAAAAATAGAGGCTGCAATATTTTAAAATTGCTTTCCTTTAACTCTCCTTAAAATAAATAATGATTTTGGTCATATGTGTAGAGGCAATGAGCCAAGAAAATAACCACACATTCATGGCCACCAATAATTTTAGCGCTATCTATTTTCTAGTCAACATTCCCACATCAGTCTAAGACAGGCTAAGTTTAATTTTTTTGGAAACATGTTAAATATTCATTCATATCTAAGACACTCATTATTTAATGACTTTTGCAAAATATTGCTATAGTATTTCTGGAAATAATTGTTTCATTTAATTATTTTTGCCTTTATTTCTTTACTCCCTGCACCCCCATCTGAGTTTCTTTCAAAACCTCAAGGAGAACAGGGAGAGACATAAGACATATCTGCCAGGAAGATGATAAACATATTGTTCCTACTCTTCTTATGTCTGCTTAAGGTTCATCTGTTCATAGCTCTAAATGCAGAAATTAGAAACAACTTCATAACTAGGTTGTATGGTGCGGGCAGATACTGCAGAAGGGTGCTGGAGGAAAGAAAAGCATAGAACCTCTCTTCCAGGATTGCAGCTCTTATCCAAGTCCACGGAGTCCTACTTCATTAGCATCTCCCTTGGGTATGTGATACCAAGTATTGCCTATGCCATAATCATAGACTTCCCAAAATGAAATGTTTAGCATTAAAATCTCATAATAGTTTATATATTATGTGAAGGATCATCAAAGGAGAAAAATAATATGTCAGAACCAATATGGATGTAGTCTTAGTAATAAATAATACAAAATAGAATAACATAGTGCATATCCGTGTTTTTGTAGATGTTAAAAAATAGTATTACATTGATATTACACTAACGATAAGCACACATTTCCTTTTTACAACATTCACTGTGCTTTAACGATGTAAAAACCACACAAATCAGGTCTACATCCTTTTTAGATGATGCACAATTTTTCCAGATACTAAATATAGTCTCATGTGGATATGTTAATGTTGTATATGTTCATAAGCAAAAGCACACACAATTCCTACATTTACAATGAGTATATTTGTGAAAAATTGGTCCATAAAAGAGAATTAAATTAGAATTGTCAGCGGTTAGCTTGCCTTGGTTTGCATTACAAGCTTCGAAGCTGAATATCATTTTACAAACTCCCAGATAAATTATTTTAGCTATTTTAAAGCAGCAGCTCTTTAAACAGAATAATTCTTCCACATGACAGAGAGCTTGCACATGCAGGAAATACATTTTTTAAAGTGTCTCTAGAAGAACAACTGAAAAAAAAAATGATCCCTTTTCCCCTTGCTGGCCTACCTTCTCCATCTTTATACAGCAAATATCATTCCCTATTTACTACTTTATGTAAATTTATATTTGTCTCTAAAGTGGGTTGTTATTTTGGCCAGATTGTACAGCTGAGAGGTTGCTTTTAGTTAATAAAATTTAGTTCTTACACTTTAATACTACAAATTCATTTCTGATTCAGAGGTCTCTCCATGCACCATCTCAGGACAGAGTAAGGAGACTAAGAAGCCAATGGAAGTAGATTCTGTCCTTCTATGTCTTTCTCCACTGCCCTGTACTAAGTCTAGCATTTCACCACAGGGGCAGAGCAGTGGGCAGGGAAAACAAATGCCGATTTGTCTTTAATTGCAGGTGTGGTTGTTCCTCTAACACTAACCTGACTGTTGATGCTCTTGATTTAACTGAGATTTATTCAAACGCTAGCTTTTTTTTTTTTTTTTTTTTTTTTGTGGAGTGTGTGAGAGAGATAATTCTTCAAATTCCCTTTAGTGCCTCCAACTTCTCAGTCCGCTGATTTGGGAAACAAACTGGACTCAACATTTTTCACCTTCCAATTCTCTAGAGGTTCTGGCTTGACCTTCTTTCCTTTGGAGCAATCTTCCTGTGTGGGGAGGAAGAAACTGGCAAAACCACCCAAGCTTAGTTAACTTCCCAAGTAACCACTAGGCTCAAAGAAATTTCACCTGTCCCAGCCCTGTCAAACAGGGGACTACACACTGCTCCTCTGTCATTCCCTCTCTGTGTCCTGCTGCTACTATCTTCCTCACTCCTTAGGAAAGCACAGGCTGAACAGGAAAATTTCTATTAAGATACCCAACAAGGAGGCTACCAATGAGAAGGAATAAAATGCCACTCTTGGAGGCATCCCTATCTCTCTGAATGAACCTGTTTAGGTGCAGTCATACACTCATACTGAAGAAAAGGAACTGCCTCGCAGAATAAGCACTACAAATTCCACAAGGCCAAAGATCGTGTCAATTAGCAAAAATTGGGTAATATTTGATCCAGTTGTTGCTGGATCACTACAGAACATGAATATATTTAGCTTCTTTTTGTCCTCAGCTTTGGGCCCCACTCCCCAAATCAAAAGCAACAAAAAGTTACTTATAGCGTCCTATAACAAATACAAACATGCATGTATTATAACAAATATATACGTGCATATTAACAGACACATAAGTACACATGCATATATTATACATGCATATGCCCAAACATACACATGTCTACTTATATGTATATACATGTATATCAAGTATGTGCAATTCATGCATTTTAAATGAGTTTGTTTTGTTGGTAAATATATAATCTTTATTTGCTAAGATTGTTAAAGTAAAAAGTGTCTCCTTTTTAGCAGCACATATTTGAAAACTTTGTCAAAGAATACTTGCCCATTTTTCCAGAGATATTCATGTTCTCAGAATAGTGGAAGCGTGACAATTTACACTTTAAATAGGATGCAAAAGCTGAAACTAAAGTCTGAGTTCATAGAAACATACACTATTCCTCTTTCCCCCAAGTCCAAGTAAGCAGCATTTATTTGTAAAGGATTTTTATATCTTTGTGATTCTTTTAAAGGTGGAAGATCATATAATTTCTGAGCTCATTTTGAGATTTCTCTCTTTAAGAGATGGGATTATTATAGTATTTGTATTATAGTGAATTCTGAGGATAATTGAAAGCCACATTTTCAAAGGTTTTTTTTTTTTAAAAAAAAAGAAAAAGAAAAGAAAAACTTTTTATCCTGATTAAAATCATTTTTGGTTTGCATGCTCTTTGTTTATGAACCACTACTTTCATCTAGAATGATTACTTTAAAATAAACTCCAAAGATTTTTATCTGCATTTCCAAAATCTGTTTCTCTCTACCTCATTTATTAACTCATTAGTTTGTTTTGTTTTGTTTTGTTTTGCTTGAGACGTGGTCCCACTCTGTCATGCCAGGCTGGAGTGCAGTAGCGTGACCGTGGTTTACTGCAGCCTCGACCTCCCAGGCTCAAGCGACCCTCCCACCTCAGCATCCCAGGTAGCTGGTACTGTGGGTGCATGCCACCATGCCCAACTAAGTTTTGTACTTTTTGTAGATACAGAGTTTCACCATATTATCCAGGCTTACTCATTAATTTTTAATGCTACCTTGACTACATTTAACCCTACTGGAAGTTATGAGGTCTATTTGACTTCAAAGTAATTGGCAGGTGTTTGGAAATCCAAACATAAGCATCTGCTCAAATTGTTCAGACCAAAGGTTTATTTGAACCCTTGTTTACTGCACAATTTTGTGTCCTTAGGCAAGAGAGAGCATTCCATGTTTTTAGCCTATAGCCAAAGAAGCACAGACAAGCAGTGAAATACAGCAGTAAGCATTTATTTATCATGACCATCCCATCTGGTTTGCAAAAATGATGTCCTGTATGTTTAATAATCCTGGACTCAATTATCTTTTTTTTCTAAGCAGGACATTTGAAAATGGAAACTGCTAAATAATTTTCTGTTTAAATTTACACCTCACTTTGTTTTTGCTTTTAAAGTCATTATATTCAAGAAATAAGAATATATAATGATGAAAAAACTTTGCTTTCATTCTTTGGGCTTCTAAGATTCTCTTCTATTTCATGTTTTTTTTTTTTTTAATTTGTTCTGAAATTCACTGGAGACTAACATTCAAATGTCAGTCCCAGGCTGGGTGTGGTGGCTCATGACTGTAATCCTAGCACTTTGGGAGGCTAAGGTAGGTGGATTGCTTGAGCGCAGAAGTGCAAGAGCAGCCTGGGCAACAGAGCGAAACCTCATCTCCACAAAAAATACGAAAATTAGCCAGGTATGGTGGTGCATGCCTGTAGTACCAGCTACTCAGGTGGCTGAGGTGGGAGGATCACTTGAGCCCAGGGAAGTTAAGGCTGCAGTAAGCCTTGATTGTGCCACTGCACTCCAGCCTGGGCAACAGAGTGAGAACCTGTCTCACAAACACAACAAAACAAAACAAACAAACAACAAAAAAAATCCACCCACAAATATTAGTCCCTTTATAATATTTAACATGATTATCAAGTAATTAGATGAAGATATAGAGAGTGTACTTTATCGAATGTTAAGGTGAAATAAAAATATAATTAAAACATGTTATGTAATTAGCATACAGCAGATTTTGCTGGACTGTGAGCAGAGGTGAATGTTAATAGGATTAAATGCCCTAAGTGTAGTTGGGTTCAAAAAGTAAATACAGATCTCATTCAATATGGTGATTTGAGCCTTGAGTTTAGCTCTAAAAAACCAAATGAAATGACCAAAGTGCAAGTAAGTAAGTGAGTAAATGAATAAACCAACACATATAAATAAAACATAAGAATAAACTTAGAAGATAACAGAACACTTTGCAAAAGATATTTAAGATTTTCAGCTAATTATTATGCAGATTGAGACCAAAATGAGATCTAAAAATACTGAGGTTCCCTGAATGCAAAATAATTTTTTTTTCCTAGGGAAAAAGTGGCACATACCTTCACTGGAATCTTACTGACAGCTTTAGCTCACAATGTAGATCTGGAAGCAAGTATAGGCCATGCTGACACACAAATAAAAATGTTCTCTAGTTCTTCCTTGCTTTCCCTGGAAAGCAGGACACCACTGCACTAAAATAGGCAATTTATAAACTCATTCAAAACATCATGCCCTCACATATCTGGGGCATAGACTGCTGTACAAAAATCACTTCAGCTATCAGATTCACAATAATAAGTAAATACTGAACTTCACCCTGTTAAGTGTTCTCAGAGATTCAGTAGTTCAAAAGAAAGAGACTAATTTGGAGAATCTGAGCAACTCTCTCCCTACCAAGAGATTTATGCCAAGGAAAGGGAGAAACTAGGAGATGGTTATCATATGAAAAAATAATTTGACAAAGTTAAGAAAGTAGAAAAAGTAAATAATAAATTGGATGTTGCCCAAAAGCCAATACTGAATACACACATCCTGTTCAGAGAGGTACACTAAATGTTCTTTGCACAAATATGAATAACAGCAGCTGTAGCATTAAAACATCACATAAAAGTGACATTGAAAGACAATGACGAAGGAAACTCTGCTCAGCAGGCAGGACTTTGAGAAGTGTACCTGGTTGTAACTTTGCCTTGAAAGAGATAAACCGAGGTGTGAATTTTCTGTAACTCATGTGTAGTGGCTAATATTTTGGCTGGATGGTTAAAGATTTGAAATAATATAATTGGAAAATTGGTATCAAGAGATTCTATAGAAGGCGGATGTGGCTAGACCTCTCTGATTGAATCCAGAGAACGAAGAAATTTGTGCCCTCTCTGAATGCTCATCACATAGCCACCTCAGCAGAGGATCCTAACAATCAGGTGGATAAGCTGACTTTTCCTGCGGATCGCTAATCATTTTCTTTCTGTGGCTACTTCTGTTCTTATCAATGGGCTCGTAAAAACATTGTCATAATGGTTGTAATCCAGTTGTGATTGAGCTTATCAGGATAAATTTCTACTTATCAAGGCTTATCTGTCTAGAGAAATTACTGAATGGGTAAACTGCCAACTGCAGAGATTAATACTGAACCCCTAATATGGCATGATTCCCTGATAGGGAGGAGCCAGCTACCTGGTCACAGGTTGAATATATAGGACCATTGGACCACATCTAAAACAGAAAAGGCCGCATGTTGTTCTCCAGATATATATATTTATTATGGATGCAGATTTGACTTCCCTTCCCACAATGTTTCTGTTAAAACTAACATCTTACATAAAAGAAAAGAATGTATGACAATGGGCTCACAAACTAGGAATTTACTGGTATTATATTTACCATTATCCTGAAACAGCTCACACAAGAGAAAAGTAGAACGGCATTTTGAAAAATCGGTAATGGTATTATCGGAGTGATAACACATTGTGGGACTGGGGCAATGCTTTACAGTATGTGAGAGGTCCAGATATATGTTCTGAGAAAGGGACCAATATATGGTGAACCCATAGCGAATATAAGGTTAATGCACCACAACTAGCATTAAGTCCAGGAGTCATGTTGTGCAAAGGTGAACAGCTCCTCTCATGATTACCCCTAATGACCCTCTAGTGAAAATTTTGCTTCTCATTACTGCAAATCTGATAGTGCTGCTAGTATAATAATCTTAGTTCCGAAGGGAGGAATATTTCCACTTAGGGGCACAACAATGTTTTTATTAAATTAAAAAATGAAATTGCCATTGGTCGCTTTGTGCCCCTTATGCCAGTGACCGAATATTGTATTGCTACTATAATTATATAAAAGGTATTCTGGAAATGGGGGGAACTCTTGGGAACCTCTTACTACTTTTACATCCTGTGATTAACCAATGGAAAATGTTAACAACCCAATACAGGCAACACTAGCCATGTCACAGACAATTCAGAAATAAAAATTTGTTCCAGAATAATGTTCTGGGTCACCACACTAGGCAAGAAACCCTGACTAGCTGAGATGCTTGATGAGGACTGCCATGGACTGAATTGTGCCTCCCCACAAAATTCATATATTGAATCCCTAACCTCCAAAGTGATAGTATTTGAAGATGGGGTTTGGAGAGGTAATTAGAGTTTGATGAGATCATGAGGGTGGGACACTTGTGATGTAATTAGTGGCTTTATAAGAAGTGGAAGAGAAAGAAGTTAAAAATTTTTTTCTCTCTGCTAGGTGAGGACAAGGAGAAGGTGGACATCTGTAAGCCAGTAAGAGGGCTGTCACCGGGAACTGAACTTGTGGGCACCTTGATCTTGAACTTCCTAGCCTCCAGAATTGTAATATATAAAAGCATATTGTTGAAGTCACCTAGTCTTTGGTATTTCATGAGGCAGTCTGAGCTAAGACAAGAGCAAAGGGAAATGGAATATATAAGGTAAGAAGGAAGAGGCAAATACTACCTTGAGCCATATGAACTAGTTACAGAGAAAAAGGACAGTGGTAGTTGTAAATGTATAAAATGTAATAATATATTAATATTTGTTTATGTGTGTATTCAGTTTAAGGAAGAAATACTCATAAGGTAACAGTCCTTTTTACTCTAACTAGCATGTACCAAGCATATATATAGAGATATGTGTATATACTTACAAACATAAACACACACACACATACATCTATGTAAGTATAGCATACGCTGTGTGTATATTTTACATATTGCATACATTGAGTGTTTATATTATATATCTGTGGCATGTATATATGTGTATAGTGTATATTTATGGTATGTATAGAATGTGTGTTTATGTCTATGTATGTATAAGCAAACATTACACATACAAAATTATTATACTTTACTCATTCTCCTATTCATAAAATGTGTTAGTAGTGATTAAGTTATATCTCAGTATTTAAGTTACAAGCTATCAAAGAAGAATGGTGTGACTCAGCTAGTAAAAAAATAAACATTATTAAAAGACGGGTAATGTAACACATATCCTCTTTGTATTCTTTTTTGGAGAGAAGGTTAGCATGTTTTCAATTGTATAAGGTACAGCTACATGGGCTTTCTAACTCACTTTATTCAAAATAAACAGATGATTAAGAAAATGAAATATAAATACTGAGTTTTTAAGAGTGACAAGAGTGGTGATAGACTGTATAAAGTTGTAAGCTGGAGCAATGTTTCCCAGAATTTCTAGTATAAACAGTGGTTGCCTAAAGATAAATTTCTGTGAGATGTAGAAGAAAGAAATGACGCAACAGCTACTAATCTCTGAAGGCTGTTGCAGTCAGATGAGAGAAGAGGCAACTCAGAGGAGCTGGCAGGTTGCAGCTTGTCCTGGCTTCCCTTGTTCCATGGCCAGTTCTTTCCAACTGCTGACACTGCTGACCAACAGGCCCACCAGGAGACAGAGCAGGAGCAGCCTTTCACACACATCTCTATCAACTTCCCTTTATGGTTCCCCTCTGGCAAGTCAGCATCCCCAGCTTCCCTGCAGCTCAGGTTTATCTACCTGAGCCAGCACTGCAGGAGTGCTAGTTTCTGACTCTTCTCTGACTCTCCAAGTGCTATTTCTGGACTTCATCTCCTATAATTCATTCTTTATTCTTCAAAATTTATAGTAGCTCTGCTTTCCTGATCAACACTGACTGATATAGAAGGGTGTATTTATGAAAATATGAGGTACTCTAAAGATAAATCTTTCACAATATTCAATATATCAAACAGCAGTATTGAAATCAAAGATAAAGCTGATGGGAAACATTAATAAAACCCTTTAAATATTTTATTAACAGTATTTAATAGATTGAGCTTTGACTTTTAAGGATCATATTTTTGAAAGCTAAGTTAGAATTCAAAATATATGAGTATTATTACATATGAGTATTGATCATGAAATAAGCCAGAAAGAGAAATTTTGCAATATCAAAAACAACAATAAAAAACATGAAAAGTTGTATGGGCTACATAACACTACTACAATTGAAAAAAGACAGATATAAACACAAGAAATATAAACCACAGATTTATAAGTTTATAATACAAGTTAAAATTTATAAGATTTATAATACAAGTTAAAATAATTGTATGATCTGAAATAAAATGAAATCCATAATTTAAAAATATAAGATAAATAAAGCCAAAAGTTAATTATGTATTAAGATACAATTAGAGATAAATCCAAAGCTCTAAATAGTAAGTTTATTTATGTATTAAGTAATACAATTAGAGATAAATCCAAAGCTCTAAATAGTTTCATAGTTAATAATGAACAAAATATAGATGAACTAAGCATTCAAGTAAATACATTTTAAAAAGAGACAAAGAAAATAATTTGAGAAAAGAATAAAAAGGTTGTATAAATGTTACAGCAGAAATTTAAAAAAAAAGTATTACTAAAAAAAGGTGTGGAATCAGAAAGTTCAAAAAATATTGACTTAGCAAAAAAAAGCAAATAGTTTAATTAATAAAAAGGTAAGCACACACACAAATATATAATATTTGAAATGAACAAAGGAATATAACCACTTAATGAAAGGGAATTTTATAAACAAAGATATATTTGAAGTCATTAAGAAAATAACCAGATTAATTCAGAAAAAAAAGATAAAAATCAAGAGGAACACAACCATTAATAGACCTGGATAATATGGTTTATAATTTACCTCATTCAAGATAAGGTCAATCAGATAAACAGACCACCAGACAGTGTCGACAATTTGTCTGAAATTGCTCATCTCATCATAAATTCTATTTAAAAAACTAATGTTTTCATGAAATATACTTTTAAAAATAAATCAAAAGGAAGATATGAGTTTTTTGTGGATTTGAGTACTCATGATCTCTGTGGCTCTTTTGTTAATATTGACATTTAATGTAATTATCTTCAAAAATTCATTCATGGGTTGTGGTTTTATGTTATCTGTAAGGAAATGTAACAAAATCAGTTCTATGTTCACAGAACTAATCTCTGTCTTCATAGAATGCAGAGTATAGTGGAGGTGGAGGTGACAAATATTAAACATGTAATTATGCAAATGACATATAAAGAAGAAGCAGTGTACTCTAGGATTGTGAAACTAGGAGTGATTTTATCATCAGAGAAGTAAGAAGAAGGTTTTCTGAGGAAATAAAAATTAAGCTAATAAATGAGTAATGGTTAAGTCATAAAATGTGGGAGAAGGATAAATGAAGAGAGAGGGAAGATTATTATAAGAAAAGACATTATGTGTAATATCTCATATTAGGAAAGACAGCTTTAGAACAACTGAAAAAGGATCATGAATCTGATGCCTGTTGTAAGGAAATTGCATCAGGTAAGTCTAGAGAGGTCATAAAATAAAGTCCATTGTAAGCATTTTCAACTTTAAGAAAAATGATCTAGTAGTTAATTTGAGATTGGAGAAAGTTATAACATTATTACTCAAAGTGAGAAATAGTAGTGTCCCTGACTATCACAGTGTTGACAATAGAAGCTTGAGATTTAGTGAAGAGATTTGGGAGTTAATTTTGCTGGAGAATCAATAGGACTTATTTTCTTATTAGGTTTGAATAGGTAAACAAATGGACAGTTGCCATAAAGGACTTCCAGATTTCTGACTTGAGGAATACTACATGGAGAAAAGTGGGAAAAAAGGAATAGGTTTCAGAAAACGATCATGAGTTTGGTATTAAACATGTTGATTTGGATGTGCTTGTTAAAGAAGCATTTGTTTAGTATGTAACATTTCTTCATCAACTACTTGATCTGTTTGCTTTAGGGTAGAAGTTGTGAAGAATGCAAATAAACTTGATTCTACTAGCACTACTACCCTCTCTAGCTAATCTGATGCCTACAAAATAGATGATTTGTTTGAATTTCAAATCTTGATCTGTGAATATTATTTTTTTGAGAAAACACACGTTATTAGGTTAATTAATATCCTATAATAACAGCAATAACTTAAGAAGAAGTTGTATTTAGATAATAAATGAAAGAAACTATTTTGAGTTTGAAAGGTTTTCTTCAAATCTAAAATCTAAAACGTACAGTCTGTTCTACTGACATAAAGTTTATGACTAGAAAAAGCTGAAAAAAGCTGACCTATTTCCCTTTAACTTACTTCAGTTTCATGATATAACAATACATACTTATTTTTACTGTGAACAGATATAGTCCCCTTGTGACATGAACCAAATGCTCAACATTAAGGACAACCTTGAAGCAAGTGCAAATTTGAAGGGTAATAGTTGAAACTTTTGAGAATAAAAGCACATAATCAAGGCAACTGGCAAGGAAGATCATGTATGTTACATTTCTTTTTACTGCTAAAATAAAGTAGGAGAACAGAAAGATGTAAATGAGAACTAGTTCCCAAATTTAGAAACATATAAGCAATGAAATGTGTTGGTATTTCAGGCAATTATAAACAAATAAAAAATTGTTAAAACAAATGGTTCTAAATTTTAAGTTTGGAAAGATATAGTAATCTTATTCAAATATAATTAATTTTGCTTTAATTGGTTAACGAGTAGCAGGTCTATGGTTTTGTTTTCATAGTTTTTGGAATTTATGTCAAGGAAAAATTAATATCAGATGGTGCCCAGAATTTCAGGGAATGGCTAATGAATGTGCCATTCATTTTTTTCATTTTTAAAAAATTTTCCTTTGATACATTTTGCCTCGATTATTTTTCAGTGTATGTGGCTTGATATTTCCTCTAGCAAATAAAAATATATACTTACCAAATATATATTTTTCAAAGTAATTGAAGCAATAACTTTTGAAATATGATTCTATCTTTATTCTTATGCATTCAAATTTATATTCCAGCATTGCCTATAATTTACTTCTTCTTGAAAATTAGAAATAAATGTACAGATCTTTTTAAGCAGCTGAGAAATGCAATTGCCATCATAAGCTTACATTTTAATAGCTATGCTTTTATGTTTTGTAAAGTGCCAGTAGGTTGATATAAAAAAGAAAGCTCTAAATGACCCTCAGCTTCATGACTGTGAAAGGAAACAAAGTATATGCCACTCAACACTAATTCACTTGATATTAATCTTAATTAATTTCTATCCTTCAGGTATAGGTAATTTGTTCTAATTATATGTGTTGTAATTTCAGATTTTTGAATTAGGTAAGGTTAATTCATATTTCTGAAGTTACTTATGAGATGATGGAAAATTACCTTTGCAAAGTTGGATTGTTTTGATCTGTTTTACTCAATGTGAATCAAAATAATTACTTATTTTGTGAATCAAAATAATTACTTATTTTGTGAATCAAAATAATTACTTATTTTGTGAATCAAAATAATTACTTATTTTGTGAATCAAAATAATTACTTATTAAAACAACATTTACACAATTCTTACAACATATCATATATATTATTTTCCCATATTATAGATGAAGATACTTATATATTTATTTAAATAACATGTCCAGAGGCATGTGAGTAGGCACTGGCAGAGCTGGTATTCAAACCCAAGCAATCTGGCCTCTGGTTTCATGCTTCTAGTCAATAATCCACACTGCTTTATGATTTATGTGACAAGAATAAACCTACAATAATGACATATATATTCAACATCGAAACATTTCTTAGTTATTATTGAGTATATATTGGACCAACAGAGAGACTGGGCATTTTCTATAATATCCCTAGGTAGGTGGTGAAACTAACAGCTGAGATAGTTATGGTAAATGACTTTTCAGACGAAATGACATCTAAAATTTGATAAGAATGAAGACAGAGTATTAATGGAGAAAAGAAGATCATTTCAAATTAAAAGTACAGCATGAGAAAGGATGAAATATAAGAAAGGCATAGATGACATTTGAAGAGCTAAAGGAAGTTAACCATGATTGGAACTTCATGTGTAAGGAAAGTATGGTACAAGGCTAGTTTAAAAAGCAGAAAGTCACTTTTAAAGTATCTACATAATCTTCATAATGTAATGAGCAACCTCTGAAGAGTTGTAAACTATAAGTGAGTTAGTGTGACTTCTCAAGAGAATTTCCTCTCTCCACACTCCACCTCACAAAATCCTTTTAAAATGATGGCAGTGAGATCATTTCAAGATTGATGACTAGACCTATCTGAGGCCAGTTCTCAGAAAGAATAATCAACGTTATAGATGAACATCACAACTTGAACTAAATGTTGAAAGTAGAATGCTGGAGCCTAACAGAAGACTCACAGGAAGAAAATGGGGTGCTGAGAAAGAAGAAAGCAGAGAAGGAACACTGAAGAACTTGAAGTCCTATGGAAAAGGTAGGTGGAGTTATTGTTAGTTCACCAAATCCCTGCAGCAGGCTGCTGGTTTCCAAACTGCTGGAGGGCTCCTCTGCCCTCATAAACCCAAGCACTGGTGTGGGTGGCGATTTGAGAGCTTCTTGAGGGCATTGCACTGAGCTGCCAGCTGGCAAAGGGTAACTCACCCTCCCCCCAAACCAAGGCTGAGGTGGCAGGCACTATACTGAGTATGCATCCATTATGGACCACTGTCATGCCCAGGAAATCTCAGCCCTAATGTATTCATATCCCTTGATCCCTGGAAATATACACCAACAACTGCTCAGACTACAGCGGCCACAAAGGGCCAACGAGAGCCAAGGGAGCTGCATAATTACTGGTAGTCTGAACCTCAAGGCAGACAGTTCTTGGGGAAAGAGAGTGAGTGCAGCATTCCAAGAGAATGCCCCTCGGGACAAAGGAAACCAAAATCCAGAATGCATGTTCTCCCGTACCAAGAGCTCCCTGAATGTGAGCTGAAGGTGACTGTTCTCCTTCCAGCAGAGACATGAGCATCGCTCTGGGCTCTGAAAGGGAGGAGTGTGGTTCTGTCCCAGCAGCCAGGCAGTACCAGCACTTTCACATAAACATGGAGAGGGGGACTTCTCCCCCTCCCAACCCTCTAGGGTTCCTCTCCCAGGGGCTTGGCGCAAAAGCGTCTGTGGATGGCCATTCCAGGTCTATTAAGGGTGACAGGACCCACAGTGGCAGTGTGCCCATTGGGCCAGGGCTTGAACAGAGGGCACGGTCCTTCCCCCTTTCTACATGGAGCGGCAGAGTTCCTGCAACAGGGAATAGGTGAGCTGCAGAGCTATCTGTTCTGGGCTAACAAAAGAACTTCTGCCCAGAGGCCATTGCAGCAGATAGCTGTGGCTAAGCATTTTCCACAGCCATTAACTACGGTGCAGCATGGAAATAAACGACAATATCTCTCTGAACAGAGAGTCAGGAATCCCAGGACAGGGATATGATAGGGAGGTGGACATTGTTTTTGCTTGCCCGGGACTTGGAGCTAGTGCAGTCCCCTCTCCCCTTGCAGAGACCACAGTGCATTTCACCACAGGTTCCATCTCCCACTTCCATAAGGGGCAGTGCTAGTAATTATGACATCTGAGAGCAGCTTTGTCCCTCTCTCCAAGGCTAAGAAGGAAACTCAGGGCATCAGGCATGCATTCCACAGAACACCCCACTGCCTGAGACAACAGAGAGGTCCTTCTCATAAACAAAGATGGAACAGTATACCGATTTGCTTCTGCTACAGCTTTTACCCATAAACACCACCTACTGGCCTGGAGGTAGAACTACATAACCCAATAAAAAACCTGCTAACAAAAGTGCACAGCACTGGGTGTAAGATAAGCTTCCTGAGCTCCGCAATCTCAGTCTTGTGGAAGGTAGTCAGTCTGCTCATACAACCAGTGCATCACTACTACAACTGAGATTTGAGAAGGTCACTATACAAAAGCTTCTACAACCAAGGAACTCATAATGAGCCTCAGCACCCTGAAAGCACCTGGAATAAAAGCTAAATGGTAATATACAACCTACACACCCTTTGGGAGGGAAGAGGAACCAACTGACCAAAAGTAAATTCAAACCTAACAAGTGATAGCTTCTCCAGATGATAAAACACAGTGTAATAATTCTGGCAGTGTGACAAAACAAGATGTTACAACACCTCTAAATAACCATAACAGCTCTCTAACAATGAATTCTATCAGAAATGGAAATTCTGAAATGCCAAATAAATAATTCAAACTACGGCTTGTAAGGGAACTCAATTAGATCAGAGAGAAAGTTGAAAACCAACACAAAGAAATCAGAAAAAACAATTCAATATATAAATGAAAAATTTACTAAAATGACTTAAAAAAATGAACAGAGTTTCTGGAAATAAAACATTCATTGAAGGAATTACAAAATACAGTTGAAAGCTTTAATAATAGCCTAGACCAAATAAAATAAATTATTTCAGAACTTAAAGACAGGTCTTTTGAATTAATTCAGTTAGATAAAATAAGGAAAAGATAATTTTTAAAAATGAACAAAGTCTTTGAGAAAGAATCATGTAAAGTGTTCAAAACTATGAGTCATGGGTATTTCTGAGAGAGAAGAAGAAAAAGTAAAATGTCTGGAAAACCTATTTGAGATTTTCCTCAAATATTTCCTATTTGAGGGAATAACTGAAGAAAAATTCACTAGTGCTGCCAGAGATTTAAATATCAAGATACAAGAAACTCAAAAACCTACTGAAAAATACATTGCAAGACAAACTTCACCAAGGCACATAGTCATCAGGCTTTCTAAACTGAATGTGAAAGAAAAAGTCCTGAACCAGCAACACATGAGGATGTAATTACCTATAAAATAAATCCCAAAAGACTAACAGTGCACTTCTCTGCAGAAACCTTACAAATCTGAAGAAATTAGGATCCTATTTTCAGTCCTTTAAAATCAAATATAGATATAGATATAGATAAGCCAAGAATTTTGTATCCTTCTAAACTAAGCTTCATAAATGGAGGATAAATAGTCTTCCAAACAAGCGAATGCTAAGGGAATTCATCACCGCTAGATCAGCCCTACAATAAATGATCAAAGGACGTCTAAACATGGAAACGGAAGGTTAATAGTCACTGTCATAAAAAAAAATGAAAGTAGAAAACTCACAGGTCTTATATAGCACATACACGTATACAGTACAAAACAACTAGGTAACACTTAACATTATGACAGAAACAATAAGTCACATATAAATATTAACCTTGATCACAAATGGGCTAAATCCTACACTATAGATGAGCAGAATGGATTTTTTTTTAAAAAAGATTCAACCATATGCTGCTTACAAGAAGCCCGCATAACTAGTAATGACACTTATAGACTCGGGTGGAAAAAAATATATCATACATATGGGAACCAAAAGTGAGCAGGAGTAGCTACACTGATAATAGACAAAACAGACTTTAAATCAACAACATTAAAACAAGACACAGAAGATAATTATATAATGAGAAAGAGATCAATGCAGCAAAAAAAAAAAAAAACAACCCTAAATATATATGCAACCAATACCAGAGCACCTGGATTCATAAAGAAATGTTACTAGACCTAATAAAATATATGGAGAGCAACACAATAATAGTGGTGGACTTCAACACCCCACTGATGCACTAGAGAGACCGTCAAGGCAAAAAACTAACAAGGAAACAGAGTACTTAAATTGGATGCTAGACCAAATGAACCTAACAGACATTTACAGAACATTGTTCCCAACAACAGAATATACATTTTTCTCATCAGCATATAGAACATTTTCCAAAATAGACCATATATTCAGCCAAAAACAAGTATCAACACATTTTACAAAATAAAAATCATATCAACTATCTTCTTCAACCACAGTGGAATAATACTTAGAAATCAATACCAAGAGAAACAATCAAAACTACAAAAACACTTAGAAATTAAACAACCTGCTCTTGAATGATCTTTGGGTCAATGACAAAATTAAGAAGAAAATTTTAAAAACTGAAACAAATGAAAATAGAAACACAACCAAAACCTTTGGGGTATGGCAAAAACAGTGCTAAGAGTTTATAGTAATAAATGCCTACATTGAAAGGATAGAAAAGATCACAAGACAACAAGTTCACATTACACCTCAAGGAAATAGAAAAATAAGAACATAACAAGCCCAAAATTTGCGGAAGAAAAGATATAACAAAGAACAGAGAAAAATTCAATAAAATTGAGATGAAAAATACAAATAATCAACAAAATGATAAGTATGTTACTTAAAAAGATAAACAAATTTGCTAGGATGCTTGCTAGATTAACCAAGAAAAAAAGGGAGAAGATTCAAATAAGCACAATCAAAGTTGAAAAACAAGACATTACAACTTATACAACAGAAACAAAAAAGATCATCAGAGACTGCTATGAGCATTTCTACATGCACAAACAAGAAAACCTAGAGGAATTTGATAAATTCCTGGAAACATCCAACCTCCCAGGACTGAACCAGAAAGAAATAGAAAACTTGAGTAGACAAATAATGAGTAGTAAGATGGAAACAGTAATTAAAAAACAAATCTCCCCCCACCCCAATTAAAAAAAAAAATCCCTCCCCCACCCCACGCCCAGGAACAGATGGATTCACAGCCAATTTCTATAGATGTACAACCAACTGGTACAAATCCTACTGAAACTGTTTCAAAAAAATCAAAAAAGAGGAAATCCTCCATACCCCATTCTACAAAGCTCATATCATCTTGATATTAAAGCCAGGCAATGACACAACAAAAATAAAATACTACAGGCTGGTATCCCTGATGAACACAGGCACAAAAATTCTGAACAGAATACTAGAAAACCAAATCCAACAGCACATCAAAAAGTTATTATATTATAATCAAGTAGGTTTTATTGCAGGATAATTCAATATATGCAAATCAATAAATGTGATTCAACCCATAAACATAATTAAAAACAAGCATCATATAATCATTTCAATAGATGCAAAGAAAGTATTCAGTTAGATTTAGCACTCCTTCCTGATTAAAAAAATAATAAAATTAAATAAAATTTAAAAAACTTTCAACAAACTAGGAATGGAAGAAACATACTTCAGAATAATAAGAGCCATGTCTAACAAACCACAGCCAATATCATACTGAACAGGGAAAAGTTGAAAGCTTTCCCTCTAAGAACTGGAATAAGACAAAGATGCCCACTTTCATACTTCTATTATACATTGTACTGGAAAACCTAGCAAGAACAATCAGGCAAGAAAAAAATTAAAAATATCCAAATTGGAAAGGAGGAACTCAATTTGTCTCTATTTATTCATGATATAATTGTATACCTTGAAAACCCTGAAGATTCTTCTCAAAGACTTTGACATTTGAAAATTGACTTAATTAAGTTCTATAATGCAAAGCAACATACAAAATTCAGTAGCATGTCTATACACCAATGACAATCAAACTGAGAACTAAATCAATAACTCTGCTCCATTTATAATAGCTACAAAAAATAAAATATCTCAGGATATATTTAACCCAGGAGGTGAAGATCTGTACAATTAAAACTATAAAATGCTTGAAGGAAATTGTAGATGATACAAACAAGTCAAAAAGCATTCCATGATCATGGAATGGAAGAATCAGTATTGTTAAGATGAATATGCTAACCAAAGCAATCTACAGATCCAATGAAATTACTCTGAAATGACCAATATGAATGCTCACAGAATTAAAAACAAACAAACAGAAAACTAAAATTCACAAGGAAATAAAAAAGAGCCTAAATAGCCAAAGCAATTCTAAGCAAAAAGAGCAAAGCTGGGGGCATGATGTTACCTAACTTCAAATTATACTATAGACTACAGTAACCAAAACAGTATGGTACTGGTATAAAAATAGACACATGGATCAATAGAACAGAATAAGGAACTCAGAAATGAAGCCAATATCTACAACTAACTGGTTATCAATAAAGTCAATACAAATACACCATGGAAATGGGAATCTATTTGATAAATGGTGCTAGAATAATAGGATAGCCACATGCAGAAGAATAAAACTGGATCCATATCTCTCACCATATTTAAAATTTAATTCAAGATAGATTAAATATTTAAATATAAGACCTGAAACTATAAAAATTCTAGAAGAAAACCTAGAAAAAAAACTCTGGGATTTGGCCTACGAAAATAATTTATGACTAAGACCTCAAAAGCAAATGCAACAAAAACAAAAATAGACAAATGGGTCTTAGTTAAACTAAAAATCTTCTGCATAGCAAAACACACAATCAACAGTATCAGACAACCTACAGAATGGGAGAACATATTTGGAAACTATGCATTCAACAAAGGACTAATTTCCAGCATCTAAAAGAATGCCAAAGAAATCAGCATGAAAAATAAAAAAAAAAACAAATAACCCTATCAAAAAGTGGACATTTTTCAATAACATACAGGTGGTCAGTGAACATATGAAAAAAGGCTCAACATCAGTAGTTGATATGTTTCAGATATGTGTCTCCACCCAAACCTCATGTAGAATTGTAATTCCTAATCTTGGAGGAGGGGCCTGGTGGAAGGTGATTGGATCATGAAGGCTATCTCTCCTGGTTTAACACCATCGTTCTTGGCACTCTAGTGACCATAATGAGTTCTCATGAGATCTGGTTGTTTAAAAGTGTGTGGAATCTCACCTCTCTCTCTCTCTTTCTCCTGCTCTGGCCATGAGATGCCTGCTCTCACTTTGCCTTCTGCCATGAGTAAAAGCTCCCTGAGACCTCCCCAGAAGATGATGCCATGCTTCCTGGACAGTCTGCAGAACTGTGACCAATTAAACCTATTTTCTATAAAAATTATCCAGTCTCAGGTATTTCTTTATAGCAATGCAAGAATGAACTAATACACTAGTCATCGGAGAAATGCAAATTAAAACCACAATGAGATAACATCTTTCGTGAATCAGAATGGTTATTAAAAAATCAAAATCAATAGATGTTAATATGAATGTAAAGGGAACACTTATACATTATTGGTTATACAATTTAGTATAACCTCTAAGGAAAAGAATACAAAGATTTCTCAAACAGCTAAAAATGGAACTACCATTTGATCCAACAATCCCACTACTGGATATCTACCCAAGGGAAAATCAATAATCATATAAAAGTGACACCTGCACTGGTATGTTTATCACAGCACTATTTACTATAGCAAAGTCAAACTAAGTGTCCACCAATGGATAATTCGATTAAAATGTGATGCATTTATACTATGGAATACTATATGGATATACAAAAGAATAAAACCTTGCCTTTTGCAGCAATATGGACAGAACTGGAGGCTATTATCTTAAGTAAAATAACTCAAAAACACAGCCAAGTACCACATATTCTCACTTAAAAGTTGGAGCTAAATAATGTGTGCTCATGGACATACAGAGTGGAATAATAGATACTGTACACTTAAAAATATAGGAGGTTTAGGAGGGGCATGAGGGATGAGAAATTATCTACTGAGTACAATGTACACTATTCAGGTGATAGATACACTAAAAGACCAGACTTCACCACTTTGCAATATATCCATGTAACAAAACTGCAGTGTGCCCACAAATCTATTTTTTAAATTATGGTAAAGAGATGAAACAAAGAATCAACACAAAAAGACAAAAATATTTGGAGAGATAACAGTAGCTATTCCAACACATTAGTTACAATTGAAACAAGAGAAGTAGCCACAACAAACTTGAAAGATCACAAGAATATAGCCAATTAGCCCACATACTACTTAAGAAATATTGGAAATGTGATGGCATATATCACTTGAAGGGAAGGAATGTAAATGGGATGTGTATGTGTGTGTGTGTGTTTGTGTGTGTGTATATCATATGTATATGATATATATATGTAAATGATATATTTAGTTATTAAACATAAATAAAGTTTGGTTAATGGTCTCTATATAAAACAGTGAGATATTTTAGTCCCCCATTAAAAGCCAAGGTAATTAAGAATTTTGTTCCCTGTTTAAATTGATTCACAAATCAAAAATTGAAATATATATAAAAAGCAAACTGGAAAAAATAGTACCATGAATTACAATAGATGAAATTAAAAGAAGAGTTGAAGATACAGTTAAGTATTTATCCAGGAAATAGAATGAAATGGCAATGAATGCTAAACAGGAAGGGAAGAATAAAAAAGGAAAAGGCTAAGACCCAGATAATTAACATGCAGTTAGCATGATTTTTTGAAATAGAAAATAAGTATATAAGTAATAATTTAACATTTCCAGAATTAAAGGAAATAAAATAAAGTATATGTGAATATTCCAAAATACATAGAGGAAATACATTAAAATACATTAAGTCATAGAAAAGGATTTAGAATCAAAATGTCATTGAATTTCTGGTTTCATGATGGGATGCAGAGAATCACAGCTTGCTAGAGCAGAAACCAAGCCCACAAACCTCAGAAGGAACCACTATCTATATAGGAAAACCTCAGTTATGACTGATAAATTGCTGGAGGCTCAGCATGAAGTTTGAGAGTTAAAAACTCCAAAGGAACCTAGTCATCAGGGGCCCTTACCCTTTTGTATTTTACCCCCCGGAGTTTATCTAGGTTCTCATAGTAAACACTAGAGAAAACTCTTGGTGCTTCCAGCAGGAGAAAGATGAAAATAAACATTTTGAAATGTGTCAGAGCATCTGGCTCTTCTAATAAGGTCTTCTCTCAGAAGAAGGAATTTAGCCAAATCCTAACCTCTAAGTTTCATCAGAGTCTAAGTGACCTGGAGGAAGAGAAATACCCAACTGTGGACCCCTCTAGTCATCCTGTCTTATAGAGTGGCAGAAGTGAACTAAGAAGCATGTGAGAAGCTCTCAGTTCAGAGGTACAAGCTCGTAAAATACAGTTCTACTCCTAGGATTATAGAAGGCTTCTCCACTCCTATCCATTGCCACCATGTCACTAACAGTCTATTCATAGCATTTCTATTTACCTAGCACATCATGTCCAGTTATCAAGTACAAAGTACAAAGCTAACTAAAAGGGAAGAAAAAAAAATACCTATGAAGAGACAGAGCAAGCAGCAGAATGCGACTCAATTGTCAGGTATGTTGGAATTCTCAGGCTGGGAAATTAAAACAACTATGATTAAGATGCTCAGAGCTCTAATGGACAGGCAACATGCAAGAACAGAGACAATGTAAGCAGAGATATAAAAATTTTAATAAAGAAACAAACATAAATGCTAGAGATTCAAAACATTGTAACAGAAATAAAGAATTACCTTCATGGGCTTACCCATAGACTGGACACAGCGGAGGAAAGAATCTGAGCTTGAGGCTATCTCAAAAAAAAAAAAAAAAAACTTCCCACATTAAAAAGCTTAGACAAAAATAATACTTTTAAAAAGAACAAAACAACCCCAAACTGAGAAATAATTACAAATGGTATAACATGTGTGTCACAGGAATTCTAGAAAAAGAATAAAAAAGAGAAAGAAAGATAGTAAATATTTGAAACCACAATCACTGAGATTTTTCCCAAATTATGTTTAGACACCAAATCACAGATCCAGGAAGCTCAGAAAAAACCAAGCAGTACATATGTCAAAAACACCATACTTAGGTGTATCATTTTCAAGCTACAGAATAAAGAGACAAAGTTTGGAAAATACCAGAGGATAAAAAACATCTTACCTCTAGAAGAGGAAAGATAAGAAATTACATTTAGCTTCTCAGAAAACATGCAAGCAAGAAGAAATTAAAGAGAAATATGTATAGTGTTGACAGAGAAAGAAAAAAACATAGAATACTGTACTCTATGAAATTATCCTTCAAAAATGAAGCAGAAATAAGGACTCCCTCAGACAAACAAACATTGAGGAAATTTGTTGCCAGTAGACTTTCCATAAAAGAAATGTTAAAAATAAATTCTTTAGAGAGAAAGAAAATAATAAAGGCCAGAAATGCACCTCTCCATAAAGAAGGAAATAAAACAGAAGATAAAATAAAAATTTTAATTTTTCTTGTTCTTAATTGATCTAACAGATAACTTTTAAAAATAATAATAGCAAAAATCTGTTCAATAATCTATGCATATATATATGTGTGTGAAATGAATGACAGCAATGATGTAAGGAACAGGAGAGAAGAATTAGAATTATTTTGTCATTATAAAAAACTCACAAGGGAGAGAAAATAGAGGGAAGGGAGGGGAGGAAGAATAGGAACATGGGGGAGACGGAGGAAGGGAAAAGAGAAGGGGGTATAAAATAGAAATATAAAACTCACACTACTTGTGAAGTTGGTACAGTGTTCTGTGAAACACTACAACATCTTGGAGTAGTTGTAAAAGTATATCGCACACTCTAGAGAAAACTCTAAAAAATGAAATTAAAAGAGTATAATAAGGGCAACAAATAGAAAACACTAACAAATATGATAGATATTAATCCAACTATAACAATACTCACACTGGACATCAATGATCTACATGTAACCATTAGAAAACAGAAATTAACAAAGTGGATCAAGAAACAAGATCCAATTACGTGTTGTCTACAAGACATCCACTTCATTTTATTTATTTATTTATTTATTTATATTTATTTTTATTTATGAGACAAGGTCTCACTCTGTCACCCAGGCTGGAGTGCAGTGGCACTCAGTGGCACTCAGGCTGGAGTGCAGCTTTGATCTCTTGCATTCAAGGGATCCTCCCACCTCAGCCTCCAGAGTAGCTGGGGCCACAGGCATGCACCGCCACACCTGGCTAAGTATTTTTATTTTTAGTAGAGATGAGGTCTCCCTATGTTGCCCAACCGCTCTCAAACTCCTTATTTCAAGTGATCTTCCTGCCTCAACTTCCCAAAGCACTGTGATTATAGATTCCAGTGAGCCACCGCATCTAGACAAGAAACCCACTTTAAATACAAAACCAGGTGAAGATTAAAAGTAAATAAGTGGAGATCCATACATCATGTTAGTACTAATCCAAAGAAAGCAAGAGTAGCTATATTGATTTCAAAGAGTAAACTTCAGACCAAGGATATTAATTACATATAAAGAGGGGCATTACACAATAATAAAGGGCAAATTCTCCATGAAAAATATAACAATTATTAACATGCATGTACCTGAAAACAGAGCATCTGTTTTGCAGAAACAAAAACTGATAGGATGGCAAGAAGAAATATATTAATTCATTATTATAGTTGGAGACTTCAACACCTGTTTATCAGAAATAAACAGATCCAGAAGGCAGAAAATCAGTAAGGACCTAGTTGAACTCAACAACACTATTAATCAACTGGATATAATGGACATCTGTAGACTACTTTGTTATTATTGGAATAGACTTTTTTTTAGTTCTTCAAGTGCCATCCATGCTTTTTTCGATGGATGTTTTTCCATGCTGTTCTTCTAATCTAAAATGCTCTTCTGCCCTCTCTTAACCAGCAATACTCTTTCTCTTTCTTCATACCAAAGCTTAAATGTTATTCCGTCTCAGAAGTGTTTCACAGTAAGTGTCCCAACTATTAGATTCACCACCCACCACCCAACACTAAAGATGCCGTCCAATTTGTCCATTTGTCTAACATATACCCAACAATGAAAAAGACATGTTTTGATGTTGACTGAATATGGCATTTCTGTAGGTTAGTTGTGACAAAATACAAAGTGGGGGGAGCAGTAATTAGAAGCACGAATTGTCAAGACAGGCCCAAGAAGACAAAGATTCTCTTAACCTAACAAGGCCAGGCCAGAACTAATACTCAAGAAATAAGGCCAACAGTTTATTAATAAAATAAATTGATGCTTCTTTCTACAGAATATGATTTAAGAAATAAATTCAAACTCTCTATGTCAAGAAATTAAGGAGAAAACTGGGTACTACCAGTAAATCTTTGTAAATAGGGTACACAGGAATCAAAGCACCTGCCTTCCTAATTAAACCTTAATTAAACCTATTGTTCAATTAGTATTTATTGATTGCCAGTAAAAAAGACCTTTTATAGTGAAGTGTAGCCCCTTTAAGACCAGAATAATAAGGTCATAATAAGAAAGGATTAGAAAAGTTGCTCTAAACATTGGCTTTCTAAATCCAATACCATTCAGGACATAGGCATAAGCAAAGAATTCATGACTAAAATACCAAAAGCAATTGCAACAAAAGCCAAAATTGACAAATGGGATCTAAAGAACTGAAGAGCTTCTGCACAGCAAAAGAAACTATCATCAGAGTGAACAGGCAATCTACAGAATGGAAGAAAAATTTTGCAATCTGTCCATCTGACAAAGGGCTAATATGCAGAATCTCAAGGAACTTAAACACATTTACAAGAAAAAAACAAACAGCCCCATCAAAAAGCGGGCAAAGGATATGAACAGACACTTTTCAGAAGAAGACATTTATGTGGCCAGCAAATATATGAAAAAAAGCTCATCATCACTGGTCATTAGAGAAATGCAAATCAAAACCACAATTAGATTAAAAAGTCAGGAAGCAACAGACGCTGGAGAGGTTGTGGAGAAATAGGAATGCTTTTACACTGTTGGTGGGGATGTAAATTAGTTCAACCATTGTGGAAGACAGTGTAGCGATTCCTCAAGGATCTAGAACTAGAAATATCATTTGACCCAGCCATCCCATTACTGGGTATATAGCCAAGGTTTTATAAATCATTCTACTGTAAAGACACACGCACACATATGTTTATTGTGGCACTATTCACAATAGCAAGGACTTGGAACCAACTTAAATGTCCATCAATGATAGATGGATAAGAAAATGTGGCACATATACACCATGGAATACTATGCAGCCATAAAAAAGAGTGAGTTCATGTCCTTTGTAGGGACATGGATGAAGCTGGAAACCATTGTTCTCAGCAAACTAACACAGGAACAGAAAACTAAACACCATTTGTTCTCACTCATAAGTGGGAGTTGAACAATGAGAACATATGGGCACAGGGAGGGGAACATCACACACCAGGGCCACAGGGGGTTGGGGGAAAGGGGAAGGATACCATTAGGAGAAATACCTAATGTAGATGGTGGGTTGATGGGTGTAGCATATCATCATGGCACATGTATACCTATGTGACAAGCCTGTACCCTCTGCACATGCATCCCAGAACTTAAACTGTAATAAAAAGAAAAATCAAAGGGATGAAATTGTTAATGTAATTGTTCTCTGTAGTTAGTTGAAAACAGATTTGAGTGGACTATTAACAAATGTAGTTTAGTATTCACAGTCATCTTCAAATTATCTCTGCATAATCAGTATTAGGAATACAGCCACTTCAAAGGGTGGGAAACAACTTTCCTATCTATTTCTCATCACTTTCAACCTATATTTTCTATGCAGTTAGCATCTTTTACTTATTTTCCTCAGTTGAAAGCTACCTGTGTGTGTCTTTTCTCTAGTCTGGAACGTGATGACTTCTTCAAATCACCACCCCATTCCTGGATCTAGCACAATCTAAGTTTCTTCATGAAACTTTCCATCATTACTTACACTGCCTTGTTCTCTCCTGAAATAATTTTGGTCTATACTAAATAAAATATTGCTCAGAAGGCAATCATTTAAAACATTGTTTCATCATCAATTTTATTTTTCATCATCAATTTTATTTAACAAATTTTATTGTATTAAAATCATTTTGTTCAAGCAAAGAAAAATACAAAATTTTAATTACAATCTCTTTCAAACAGATCTTTTTGAATGTTGACTCAATAATTTATATATATATATTTATTTCTACTTCTGACATGTGGCTGAAGTTACAAAAATAAAACTGCAAGTTTTCTGTGTGCCTTTGTATATATAATTGAGAATAATCTTTGTCCATCGTTGCCCAAGTATACTAAGAAGGTACTAAGGAATCAGTACCCCCAGAAGGTACTAAGAAATTAAAAATGAATGTCTTAAAACAAAGGAGCTCTGTTCTGATTAGTTTATCACAATTCCCAGGAAATAAGGGAGCTAAAATTATAATATTATTAAGATGCTAGTCTTTAAAAAAAACTCATAGAAATTCCTAGTTAAAAATCATTTTAATATATAATAAATCCAAATTCTGTAAAAAATGAAGACCTGTTTTGATCATTTTGTTTTAAAACAATCTATGTATTATTTCTCTGATATCATTTTGGAATATATACAAGTACATATGGATTTGTGTAAGGTAATAACTCAGTTTAATTTCTGTTAAATGAAAAATTGGTTCAGAGTATTTAATTAGTTTATAATAAGGTTACCTTCTGTGTAATGTCCTAGATAGTAGATATTCCATATTCACCAGAATAACTTTTCACGCTTTGTGCTGACTTTTTAAAAGATGTTATGCTATAAAGAATTACTTTGAATTATCTTATACTCCATATTTATTTCTGTAATTATTTTAAATAGATTTATTGAAATATAAATCAATAACCATACAATGTACCCTTTTAAAGTATATAATTCAAAGGGTTCTAGTGTGTTAATGTAGTTGTACAATAACCACCACAATCGATTGTTGAACATTTTCATCACGCCAAAAATGAAACCCCCAGTCCATCAGCACTCACTCCCTACTTCTCCCAAGCCTTCCCACCTGACCCAAGTCCTAAGTAAGCACTAGTTCTTCTTTCTCTGTAGATTTTTCTATTCTGGACATTTCATACCAATGGAATCTTATAATATGGAGTCTCTCTGACTGGCTCCTTTCATTAGTGTGATGAAGATTCATGCACTTTGTAGTACATATCATTACTTTATTCCTTTTTATTAATAAACAATAGTTCACTGTGTATATACCATGTTTATTTATGGATTTATCAGTTGATAGTTCCCTGGGTTGTTTCCATTTTTGGGCTATTATGAATTATGCTGCTATAAACAGTTGTGTACAAGTATTTATGTGGATATATGTTTTCACCTCTCTTGAGTATGTATACCCAAGGCAAGGATTGCTGGGTCATATCTAGTCATATATTTAAGAGTTTGGGAAACTACCAACTGTTATCCAAAGTAGCTTCAATATTTTACACTCCCATCAGCAATATATGAGAATCCTAATTTCTCGACATGCTCACTAACACTTGTTATTGTCTGTCTTTTTTATTGTAGTCATCTTAGAGGATGAGAAATGCTATTTTATTGTAGTTATAATCTGCATGTCTCTAATGGCTAATAATTTTGAATGCCATTTCATATGCTTATTGACTATTTTTATACCTTCTTTGGAGAAATGTCTGTTCAGATTATTTGCACCTTTTAAAATTGAGAAATTTATCTTTTTATTATTAAGCCCTTACTGTCCATATTATGCTCATCCTCAGGAAAAACACCAATAAAATCCTTGTGAAATAATTCTGTATTTTAAACTAATAGATGGCTTTATTGTCCTTTATTCAGATATCATTTTTATTTTCATAAAAAAACCACAACCATCAAGTCTTGTCATCAACATGTAGTTTCTGCTTTTCCTTGTGCTTGCCTGAAGGCTTTTCTAATAGCTGCATACTAGAAAGAGTGTTTTCAACTAAGAAAGACAGTACAGAAAAGACAGCATTAAGGTTGGCAGGTTGTTTGGGTGTGTTATTGATATCTTAATTTTGTTTTTATTTTCTGATGAGAATGGGATGAAATATTCTTACTTTCTTCATAATACAACTTAATGATAAATATAATGCATTTGGAAAGTAAAATACAACCTTTAAAATAGTATTTCATTTTCACTCTACCTCAGAATTTAGGAAAATAATTTTAACCTGTATCTTTCTTTTTAATGGCCATGTAAATATTGCGTAAGTCAATGAAAAACTATTCTCCTATTTTATCTGGATCTGATAGGAAAATGAGACAGTCAACAATACCTTGGCTGTCATATTGAGGGTAATTCTGATTTTACTATGGATGATAAGCCCAAAATTACTAGCAAGGCTTTTAGAACAGACATGAAACTAATGCCTACAAAGCTCTGACCAAAAAACTGGCACCTCTTTGGTGTCTTAACAAGCATCCAGCCTCACAAGTAGCTATGGTCTTCCTGGGAGGCCAGGAAAATTAACAAAATTTGTGGATCTCAATGAGGCAGTAATGTATTGTTACCTATAGCTCTTCAGGCAAAAACTGGTGGAGATGAACTTCTTAGGTTTGGTTTTCTAAATTCTCTAGAGTAATAAAAGTCACTGAAGTAAACTACAATAGAATGTCTGTTAATCTGTGTATTGGTCTACAATTATGTCATAAATCTCAATCAACTCAGTGAATTCACAGCTTTAAAAACACTAATTATAATGTTAATTTTTATTATTAAAGAGAAATTTCATATTATTTGAAAGCTGAGTTTCACATTAGTATAGATTTGAAGTGACTTATTCTGCTATCCACACTTTCTGGTCATAGTTTTGGTAAACTTGGCTTCCCTTAGATGCTAAATAAACAGATTGTCAGTAATTGTCTGACATACTTACCTTTCATTCCTCTTGTATTCATTACCTCTTATCTGGAAAGGACTCAAATCAGGAGTGTACAGTATTTTTAGATAGTATTTTTACACTAAATAAATCATAAATGTGTGTATGTATATCTCCTATAAATCTATATGCTATCACTTTGTTGATTTATATTTAAATATCTTTCTTTGTTTGCCATAATTTAAAAAAGAATAAATATTAAATATAAAAATATGTAAATATGATACAAAAATACATAAACATATATTTAAAATATTAGACAAAGGTAAATATAAAACATAATGCTACCATCCAGAGGTAATATTGTTAATAATTAATAAACACTCTTAACATCCTTACTTGACTTATATATTTTAATTAAAATTTTGAAGAGTTTTATAAAATTAGACTTTTTCAGGTCACATCCTAGCTCTGTCACTTGGAGAAATGTAATGATTGGGTTGCTATACCTGTATCATTTTTTGCCACCCTCTCAATATTTCAGTGTTGCATTAAGAATTAAAAAAAATAAAAGAGTTTAGTAAGGTGCCTGACTACTATTTTAGATATAATACAAATAATCAATTATGTTATTTTAAACTGCTTTTTAAAACAAATTGTTATAGTCACTTTTCATGAAAACACACTAGACTCATTTTTATTCCATTTTATATTCACTTCATGACTATTTCATAATTTGTTTAATCACTTTCCTACTAATGGGCATTACCTAGTTGAATTAGCCACTTAAAACACTACTTTCTAAAACAGAATAATTGTGCTTCGTTAGACTAAAAAATCCAGATAACTATAGCCATATGGCACTTTGTACTACAAAGGAAGAACAGTCTGAGGATAGGAAATGTCCTCCTGCTTCACATAACTAAAGTTCAACAGCAGGCATATTTCTGCTAAAGCTGATGGTACTTATAGTGCCAGATGAATAGAGGACTTTGTGTTTTAGAATGAATAACTGATCAAGTAAAGTGCCTAGAAACCTATACTTTGGGACAATATTATAATCAAATGCACAATGCAGGGTCGTGATTAGGAGCTGGAGTGGATTTCTTCCTGACCTAATAAGCAATCAATTGACACTCAAAGCCTGAAAGTTATCTTACCTTTAGCTTATCCTAATAGTGAATTATGTTAAATGACACACATCTAATTCATTATTGAAATGTTAGAAGGAGTTTTACTTATTTTGATTTATCTTGTTTTAGTGTTTTTACATCTGCTTTAGTCAGGATTAATAGGTCTGGCCACAATTGGGTACACTATTTCTGAAACTAATTTCATAGGTCCCTTCCTTCCTTCGTTCCTTCCTTCCTTCCTTCCTTCCTTCCTTCCTTCCTTCCTTCCTTCATCCCTCCCTTCCTTCCTCCATCCCTCCCTTCCTTCCTCCCTTCCTTCCTTGTCTGGCCACAATTGGGTATACTTTTTCCAGAACTAATCTTATAGGTCCTCCCTCCCTCCCTCGATTCTTCCTTCCTTCCTTCCTTCCTTTCTTCCTTTCTTCCTTTCCTTCCTTCCTTCTTTCCCTTCCTTCCTTCCTTCCTTCCTTCATCCCTCCCTTCCTTCCTTCCTCCCTCCCTTCCTTCCTTGTCTGGCCACAATTGGGTATACTATTTCCAGAAGTAATCTCATAGGTCCTTCCTCTCTCCCTCCCTCCCTCAATTCCTTCCTTCCTTCCTTCCTTCCTTCCTTCCTTCCTTCCCTCTACTTCCTCTTCTTCCTCCCTCCCTCCACTTTCTTTATGCTTCTTAACATATAACATATAATTATACAGGCTCAAGACACAGGCATTGTCTTAACATCCTACAGTGCAAATATGTAGACAAGCTAATCCTGGGGGTTAGCTTGTCTACATATTTGCACTGTAGGATATTAAGGTATCAAACTTTAAACAGCACATTTTAAATCACCAAATAGCTCATCTTGGTCTTACTTTGACTGAGGGTCAGGACTAGACTACAAGGAGTCCTGGAGATAAACATCGTGAAAATTATTCACTTCGATGGCGTCAGCCTCAAAATTATTTTTTACATTTCCAATATCTAACTTCCCAAATTACCCAGTACAGGAGGCCAATTATTAAAAATAAAAGGGGTGGGGGCTCATGGTAATTTCTATCTTCATTCAAATCTATGTAACAAGGAAAATTCTTATTAATCTACTGCTACCTATACTTTCTTTTCATCACATGCTGTTCCTATTAGTATACATTAATTTAAAAATACACCAAAAATATTCTCATTGTCCCTCCCAGCAGACAGGGTGGTCTGTGCTTTCTAACTTTCAAACTTTCACACATAGTGCTCAGGATCTTCTTGCAAAGAGCATTCAAATCTCATTTACTCAGATTTCAGTGCCTAGATCATGGTATAGATTCAGTAGATGTGTATGAAATAGCTTTTCATCAGATGTTTTCCATATTCCTCAAATGGCTAAGATAATTCTAGAACTATTGTTTACTTTATTAAAAGTGTATTACACATAAATATAGATGCTGTCATTCTGATAACATATCATCTGCAGTTGTAGTTTTGGCTAACAGGTTTTAACAAGTGATTTCTATACTTTAATGTGTCCCCTATTCAATGGATACAAAACGATCATATTATGTTGAGCTAAAAAAAAAGTTTTACTTTTAAACTAACTGGCAATTCTAACCAGTTCATATTTCTTCAATAGGTAGAAAATCAAGTCTATAGACATCCTTTAACTTCTGGATTATACCTAAAAATACCAGCAAATTATTCTGGATGTTTGCATTACACATCCTTCTTACAGAATGTATCTTATTTCTTTACTTCTTATATTAATTTTTTGACTCGTTAGATGGTATGAATTCCTTCAACAGCCATGCAAGTTAGTCTTTTCTGGAAGGTGCTAGGTAAGTAGTAAAAGGTAGTAGTGTAGTTACTTCTCTAGAGTAGCACATAGGCGTTCAGACTTAGGCCATTTAGTTTAGTAGTTTAGGGGTAGGGCTTCAGAAAGGCTCTAGATTCCCAGGCTGCTGCAATTTTGACTGTTAAAGGTTTAGTCTCCATAAAAAAGGAGCTGTCCAGGCCAGCAGTAAGCTGATGAGACGTCTTCATCAGTGAGATCAGTGTGCTTCTTCAGATCTGTCTGTGTACGGTAAGCAGGCAGGTGTACTTCCTGTTTGTGTGTGGAGGGTATCTGCTTAGCTGGATTATCCCCAGAATTCAGTTTATTTGAAATGAATCCCCAGTCCTAATCCATAGCCAAACTTCAATCATACCGTGTTCCAATTTCATCATCACCAACATCTGGGCTCATTTTCCCAGTATAAAGGATGTGGCTTTGGCCCTGGTTTATTATTTAGAAGTACTCAGAATACTTAGTATTATCACACGTAATCACAGCAAAGCTTTTAGTTACTCAAGATCTATCTTAAGTGCTATCACTTCTAGGAATATCATTCTGCTTACTCTAGCAAACAAAACTTCCTTTTCTCTAATGGTAAAGTACAATAAAATAGCAATTGACTATCCATCTAGTACATTTTTCACTTTATGTTTTTTAGCCCTTTTCCCTAAGAAAGCAATAAAGCCTTTGGCTGGACAGATAGCTCATATGTCTGTATTCCCTGAATGCTGAGCACAATGAAGGCAGTCAATCCTAAGTTGCCTAGAATGATCTAGATATGTAGCTATCTAATTTAGCAAGGTTAATGTTAAAGATTATCTTACAGTTTAATTGAAGTATCATTAGGCTTATTTCTCAGACTCCTGAACGTCTAATCCTGACCCTCAGTCAAAGTAAGGCCAAGATGAGCTAGTGAAAGGAATAAAAATATTTTACACCAAAATATATTTCTTTGACATATTTGGAGATGGCTGCCAGGGGCTAGCAAACAGAACTGGCACTGCAAGTTTGTCTTTTGTGGGGGAAATTTGCAACTGCAGATCTGTAGGTCTGTCTGCAAGACCAGTGGGCAGAGTCCACTGAAAACTTATGCCTCAGTCGTGTGACCAAGATTCCTCATACATACCCTAATGATTCATGATATGATGAAAAAGGTATGCTGTGCAACAACCAAAAAGAAAACCACTCTGAGGAGTTGCACCAGGAAGTCACTCAGCTCCTACGTTTGTTTTCACTTTCATCTTCCTGTTCTAACGTATCCTCTACTTAAATAAAACTTATACGGTGTTTGGTTTTTTGTTCTTGCGATAGTTTACTGAGAATGATGATTTCCAATTTCATCCATGTCCCTACAAAGGACATGAACTCATCATTATATTCTCACTCATAGGTGGGAATTGAACAATGAGAACACATGGACACAGGAAGGGGAACATCACACTCTGGGTACTGCTGTGGGGTGGGGGGGGTGGAGGGATAGCATTGGGAGATATACCTAATGCTAGATGACGAGTTAGTGGGTGCAGCACACCAACATGGCACATGTATACATATGTAACTAACGTGCACATTTACCCTAAAACTTAAAGTATAATAATAATAAATAAATAAATAAATAAATAAATAAATAAAATAAAACTTATGTAAGTATGCCCTGAGGAGTTTTGTGAGAACTTCCAATTATCCAAATCTGCATAATTGATATACTTGTTCTTCTATATTTTATTCTATAATATATAAAAATAAAAATCTAATATTCCTGATATTTTTCACTTTCATAATAACCAGTCTGGCCAATATTTTTTCTGATAAAAATGTTCAGACATTTGCTGACATCCAAACCTTTGCTTCAAAAGCAAAGAAGCCACATAATTTTGCTGTAATCAAATTTTTATTTAAATTGAAAATACAGATGCTATTTATTACTTTTCTTCTGTAGCTAATTTTAGTAATGTTATCCTCCATCTGCTTTTTGATTCACATTGATTTTTCATTCTCATTCCTTCTGCAGTAAAACCATTACCATCACTAATGGCCTAAAGATATTTACAATTAATAGCTAATATAACAATAATTTCTAGAATTAATGAGCTGACATTTCAAAAAAAAGGAAATGCACATTTCTATTCTGGAGGTTTATTGGTATTAGAGGTAATATCAGTTTCCATTCAAAACATTATAAGGCAATTAAAAAGTAGAAAAGAAAATAAGAGAATAAATCAATTATTTATTCATTTAACAAATATGTTTTTGAAACTGCCTTTGCCAAAATTATAACTGAGAAAATTGTGACAGTGAAAGAGATCTGATCTAACCAACCTCCATCTTGCCTTTAACCTCTAAAATTCTCTTAGTCTTTCCAGGGCTTGGGTCAAGCTAACTTTAGGATAAATTTAGTTTATAGTTTAAATGATAATAGTCCTTCTCCAAAACTGAACCACCTTTGTAAAACTAATGAAAGACCACCAGGTTAGGAGGATGAGAGGAGGCTGAATTCTGCCAAGATGTAGACATAAATGATTACCAGTCATTATTCCGGAGGTCACAAGATTTGCAACTTCCCCAGTTACTCCTGCAGGTAATATCACTATTGTAGAAATTAAGATTAGCCTTTGAGATGTCTTTTCAGGCTTTTGCATTTCTGATGACCAAATGGCTCCACCCAGATCTGCCAACTTGTCCTGTGGGCCCTACCCAGAAGTGAACTTGGTACACTAGGACCATTTTCTACACCCCTATGATTGCATCCCCAACCAATCATCAATACTCATTCACTAGGCATCTCCCTCTCTGCCAAACTCTTTGAAAAACTCTAGTCTCCAAATTTTCAGGGAGGCTGATTTGAGTAGTAATAAAACTCTGGGCCAGGCACGGTGGCTCACGACTGCAACCCCAGCACTTTCAGAGGCTTTGGGCGGATCACTTGAGGTCAGGAGTTCGAGAGCAGCCTAGCCAACATGGTGAAACCCCGCCTCTACCAAAAATACAAAAATTAGCCAGGTGTGGTGGCATGCACCTGTAATCCCAACTACTCAGAAGGCTGAGACACAAGAATCACCTGAACCTGGGAGGCAGAGGTTGCAGTGAGCCTAGATCGTGCCACTGCACTCCAGCCTGGGTGACAGAGTGAGACTCTGTCTCAAAACAAACAAACAAATGAAAAAAACTCTGGCTTTCTGTTTAGCTGGCTCTACCTGTGTAAAGCTCTTTCTCCATTGCATTTCCTCTGTCTTGATAAATCAGCTCTATCTGGGCAACAGGCAAGAAGAATCCAGTAGGGAGTTACATTTTGAGAACTCACTATGTTCTAGTTACTGTTATAAGCATATAATGACAAAAATGTTCTAAAACAACAACATAACTAAAAGTGTATTTGGGCTAGGTATGGTGGCTCATCCCTGTAATCCCATCATTTTGAGAGACCCAGGCAGGAAAATTGCTTGAGTTCAAAATTAGCATGGGCAACAAAGTGAGGACCCACCTCAACAAAATTAAAAAAAAAAACTATCCTGGCACAAAGGGGTGCACTTGTAGTCCTAGCTACTCAGGAGGCTGAGACTGAAGGATTGTTTGAGCCCAGGAGTTTGAGGCGGCAGCGAGGTATGATCATACCACTGCCTTCTAACCTGGGTGACAGAGTGTGACCCTGTCTCAAAAAGAAAAAAAAAAGCTATATGCACATAAATGCACTGCTCAATGAGTTGAATTAGCTTTTTAAAACCAATTACTGTAGGTACGGTATGTAGTTTTGGAAAAGAATGTACATAAAACTTAAAAACTGCACATCCATTGGCTATCAAAAGAATCTTAATGACAAATACTGAAATATATTATTTGTTCTGGGGATAATTCATACCTGCTATGATTTATTAACTTATCTGATTTTTACACATAAATAATTACATACTTGAAAACCACTAATATCTTTATAGTACTCTATTTTGTTTGTTTGTTTTGGGAGGTATAGGTCAAGAGCTTCACTTTGACTTGATACCAACACTAAGGCAACTTGCATTATTATATAGGACACAAGAGACTCTTAAATTTATTTTCCATTTACAGAAGAACATAAGCAGAAAAGGATTATGCCGAATAAAAGGTCTTACAATTTGTCTTCAGTAATATACAATTCCCTTTCATTTCTGTTTTCTGCCACAATCTCATTGTCAAGTAATTCTTCAACCTTCTTAGATATATTCTTCCCACTTCCTACCTTCTATTAAACAATTTAAACTCTGAGTAAGTGATATTTTTGGAGCCTAAAGCTACAGAAAAGGAAAAAAAAATCCTGCCTATGAATGTCATCTTTACTATGATTTTAGCCTAAAATTTACTTAACTGGAAGGAAGGGTTTTCAGTTTGCATGTAAAATTTAAAGACCACAAAACTCTGGGCTAAGAAAATTTTATCCTAGCCTATTAAATTATTCTATGGTGACAGACTTTCCTTGACAAAACATTTTTCCAACTCCTCTAAACTCTTTTCTCAACTAGGACTCCACCTTTGGGTTTTGTGTTCCTCTTTGCATTGCCTAGTTTCAGTAAGAATCCTGCTAAATCACTTTAGGAAGAATCCCTTACCCTCATACCTGATGGAATTCCTTATCTCCTACCCTTAGTATTAGATCACCCTGGCCTGCCTTCAGCAAGAATCCTGTCAAATCAGTTTAGCCAGAATCCTCCCTGCCTCTGATGTTTTCTCTTAGTAATTTTCCATCTCCCAATTCCCATCCCTGACAACCTGTTCCTCGGCTATAAATCCCCATTTGTCTTTGCTGTATTCTGACTTGAGCCCACATCTATACTTAGGTTTCTTTTCCACTATTGCAATAGTCCCTAAGTAAAATCCATATTTACTGCTTTAACTTTTGTCCAGCTCTGGTTTTCTCTGACAATATTAAGGCTGACTGTTGCCATTTTAATACTGCTGAAAGATGACTCAAAAGGGACAGAAAGACGCATTAAATCAGTTGCAAAAAATTTCCACCTTAACCCTGTTTCTTCTCATCTAATTTCTCCACCATAAGACATCCTCAATTTCCAGATTCTGGGAATTTCGAGTCCATTCCCCTTTCTGCTTCTTCATTGAGGTCCCTCCCAGTTCCTTGTGAACACCCCTTGGCAGGTGTACCTCAACCTTAAGACCCACTTGGGATGTCAAGGAACTGGCAAGTAAGATGAGACTCGTCCCTCCCACCCGGTGAAACATGCTGCTTTTCTCCTGCAGTTTTTAAGGCATTCTTTCATTCTCAGAAGAGCAATTTATGCAGTTACTACCAATCACTCAAAACTGGCAGGGTGAGAAAAAAGTTATTTACCATCTCCAACACACTCTGTGTGGTGCTTCAGTGCCCCAACATCTGGGATAATGAGCACAGGCTGCGAGATTCAAGCTCCTCAAGGATCCTTCTTGTAGAGAAGTAAACAGGCATAGGAGAAAACTAGAAAAATGGAAGAACACTGATGGAGCACTGAAAATCTTTACTCTAGAGTAACTTATCTGTCAATGGCACTGGAAAAGAACACTTAAAGTATAAGATCAAGGACTTTTGTCTAAGATATATGCAGTTTGTTTCCTTGTAGGTAGGCATGATGACTAAAAGTTCTACATTACTCTCGAATACTAATTTCAAAATGAAAGATTAAGAATAATATTTTAAAATATGCAAGATTTTAATTGACATTAATTGAATCCCTATCATTAGTTGGATACACAGAATCTAAGTGCTTTACAAACATACATATACTTAATCCTCATAACAGTTTTTAAGGGAGGATTGTTGTTCCATTTTTTATATGCAGATATGGAGTGGTTGAATATTTTTGTGTATATTTACACATCATTTAGTGCTAAGTACGAGAAACTAAGTTTAAATTATACCAGGCTTCAAAATCAGTTTTTTTCTACTCCTTTACCAATATTTTCACATGTATATTATGTAATATGTACATATATAAACTCTGATATTGTTAGATATAGTGTGATATTGTCATTATATATAAACAAAAGAGTGTCCCATTAATTTTGCCATAGGATTGTTGAAAAGTACAAATAATTTATATGTATATCCAGTCTTTTTATCTGACTCATAAGTGAAGTAGTCCTTAAACATTACATATTTTTCTTGATGGCCCTGCTCTCTAGAGCTAGTATTTTTTAAAAAGACAAATTTGCCTCTTCCTATAAAGCACTTAGACAATACTAGTGATGTTTATATTTTCCTTGAACTGCAGTGTTTTTTTTTTCTCCAGGGTAATCTTTTATGAGTTAGGAGACACAGAATTTAGACTTACTTTTTTATTGTATATATTTTCCTCTGATTTGCCGTGTATGCTGCATTTAATTTTTTTAAAACATATTATTTCATTTGTTAGGAATTATAGACTTTAGTTTGTATCTCATATTTATATAGAGTACAGCTGAATTCATATTAAATAAAGTAGTAATGAGTTTTTTGCCTATATCTCTACTGTCTAATAATGTACTTGTTACATAAAATTTGTTATATATTTTTGCTTAATTATTTAATATAATCATACAATTATTAGAAAATATATTAAAAAGTTAGAATTCATTATCTAAAATGATAACCTATATGTTAATACAAATTTCTCACTTTTACCAATTTTAGTTTAGTTATACTTGAGGAAGTAGAGTCCAGAATTATAAACTAAAATAATATATCATTGCAGTAATTAGCTTTAACTTAAGGACATTTGCCAATAATTTCTTTTGGTTTCATCTGTGATCAGTATTTTAAGAAACAACAATATCAACCAAACATAAGTCCTGCCATTTAAAATCCTCCAATTAAAGATAAATGAAGGCAAATACACAAATAATTATAGGATGTGATGCAACTTGAAATTTTAAGTGACCCACATGGTACATCAGTAAGGTGTCAAATTTTGGAAGTGCCCTTTAGAAATATTAGCTGATGTCAATTATATATGATATAACACGTGAGTTATTCATATTAAGTAAAAATACTTAGTCCATTATCTTACCAATAATTGATCAGTGATAAATTTTTCCTTCCCTTCCCTGTCCCTTTTCCTTTTTCTTTCCCTTTCCCTTTCCCTTCCCTTTCCTTTCCCCTCCATTGACTCTAATTCATAGCCTGAGATATCATTTTAGCAGTTACACTATTTATAAAGAGGATTTTTAGGACACAAATACTAAATACCACCCATTATTTATAAGTGATGAAACAACAATGGCAAAAACAGCAGCAAGAGCCACACTTCCTCAACTTCCAATTCCAAAGGACAGAGAACACCACCAAATGCGTTTATCTCCTCACATACCCTACCATAAAACTGACAGTAAATCAATTCAGAAAGAAAATTATCCACAGTGATGAGGAAAACCAGTCTGAAGCCATCAACAGAAAAATACATTAACAAATAAGAGAAAGAAAAAAAGTTGATAAAGGAGTTCTAGTGTCTACAAATCAGATTTGTAGAACTTGTAGAAGAGGGGTTATAGTATTGGAAAATGGAGGCAAGCAATGTTTCAGAACACCAGAAAAAGAAGTTGTACCTAGAAATACTAAGCATGAGGGAAAGGAGAAGTGAAATGTGCAGTAGAAAACAGTGCTATTAGTTGTTAAGTTTGTATTTGGATCAGCAGTGATCCCCCTCAATACACACATGTTGCTGTGCACACAATGCCTGGCAGCAATCCAACCTTCAAATTCCCAGGCAAAAAGTGGAAAAGATTTTCCTAAAAAACAACAATTATGAACTCCCTTGGAAAAATTAGAGCAGACTTTTGGTTATTTGTAGACTACAGAAAAGGTCTTCATATTCTGACGTTTAGTGATCCCTTGGCCCAGTGCAACAACCAGCAATTTATGCACTTACCCGTGAGCTAAGTTCACTAGTCAATAAGGTTAGATTTTACACAGTGCTCCCAACTGGATTTATACTCTGTTTTAAAGTTTGGACATACAACTAAGTTTTCCAGGTCATCTAAGGAAAACCAGAGACCAAGTTAAAACAAACAGAAAAAAAGAGTAATACAAGGTAAAATGATAAAAAGAGCACACACACCACAAGAAAACCTCAACTAGAGTAGCCTCAGAAAGATTAAAACATATATTACAGAGAGATAAATTAATATAACACTATAATAAATGATCAGAGACAAAAATGAGTATATGGAATAAAGTCAAAATGTTAAAATAGTAGAAAACCTGTGTGATTACGTGAAAAGTGAAACTGAGTCCAAATTTTAGAACAAAACAAAGAAAAACATGATAAAAGGCATAAGTTGCAAAAGATTACTATACAAACTTTTACCTCTAATGAGACAATGTTTCAGGGAAAAAAAAGTGAATTCAGTCATTACAAACTAATACAAGATAATTTCTGTTGGTTAAGATTACACTATTTCTGACTAGAAGGGCTTGCTGAAAGTCTAACAATGCATATAAAAAGATACATTCATGGATCTAATCATTAGGAAATTGCTAGTCTTTCTCTGCCAGCTCTATGGTAAACTACGTAAGAGCAGGAATTTTGCCTACTTTGCCCACTGCTCTGTTTTAAGTACACAACATAGAACCATAGCCAGCACACAGCAACTACTTAGTGGATGAATAAATAAGTCAAACATAAGTTCTTAAATTTTCTAGAGAGGAAAAACAGAAGACAGGTACCATAAATCCTGGATTCTAATCAGCAACATTGATGTTAACAGAAAGTGGAACAATGCGTGTAGGCCAAATTACAAAATTAAGTAAGAATATTTTCAGAAGTGGAAGAGCTCAACAAGATTTACTCCCCCAAATTTTCTCATAAAGTATCTGAAGATGGCTACAATAAAATGATTAATTCAAGTGATAAGAAATCCTATGCACCAAGAAATAAGTTGATTCCATGATCTAACAAGGTGAGTAATGAAGGGTTGTCTGAGGATAACAGTTTGGAGCATGTCTAGAGAGCAATAAGTCTAAGTTAAAGCGGGGATAGAGATAGTTCCAAGAGGAAAACGTGTGCAAATAATGGGGCACTTGTATTTTGGTACTATTTTAATAATCAATAATAAAGATATGAAAAACTACATAATAAAGTAAGAGAGATATTTAAAAAATAAAACCAACAAATTTTTAAAAACAAGAAATCCAAACATTAAAAAATTCAAAATTGAGAAGCAATACATGTATGGTACACTGAGTAAATTAGAGATTTTCTTGTAAGAAATACTTAAAAACTAAAATCAAGAAATAGTCTGAATGGAACAAATGAATATCACTGGGATGTTAGTTTTCTCAAAGATGAACAGACAGATAGATGGACAGATGGGTAGATAAATATATGCATACATATATACATACATACATAAATATGTAAAAACTTTGATTATTTTATATAATATAATTTAAATGTGTAAAATCCAAAACTTTTTGTCTGGCTGGAAATTTAGCAAATTCTAAGCAGAGAAAAAATACTAATTTAGCTAAGAAACTTTAAGAAAGAAAGAAAAAGAATAAGGACAGAGCACTTTTCCAATAAGGTATTAGGTAATATTATAAAGCTATTTATATTTAAAACAGAACAATGCTATCATAAGATTTGCCAAGTTGATAAATAGAAATATATTCCAATGACTAAACTTAGGTGTAGAATTTTAAAAATCATCACAAAATAGGAAGGTGATATATTCACAAACAAATGGCATTAGGAAAACTGTCTAAATACTGAGAAAAATAAACCAGCTAGGGTATCATATTTAATAGTATTCAGAAAAATTAACACCCAAATAAATAAATAATTTCAAAATTAATGCCCAAATAAATAAATAATTTCAAATGCCATGAAAAATGCTAAGGAAACACAGTTGACTATTTATCTGATCTCACTATGACAAGAAACTTTCTCTGCATAAGACATTAAAAATCACTAAAATATTTGACACTGTTGATTAATATACATTTAAGATTTGGTAGATTAAAAACTATTTGAAATAATTAGTAACCATGTAGGAAAATGTGAGCAGAAAGTACACGAGATAAATATTCTTACTTATCAATTTAAAGACAAGTGAATTTTTAAAATAAGTAAAGGATACAAAGAGAATATACAATTAGAAATAAAAATCATAAGCAAATATTACAAAAATATTTAAAACCTTTAATGATTGAAGACGTGAAAAAATACTAAAGAATTATTATCTTCGACAGCTAGTTGAAAAAATATTTAGGAGTGCCTGTTTAGTAAACATACCCAAAGCAAGAAATGAAACCATCAGATGGGCGAAAATGTTGCCATGCTTGTGAGGTTGTTAAATAGAGCAATAAGATCAGAGATTCATGCGGAATTCTATAATATGTAGTTTTATAGAATTAATATACATTGATATAGTAATGCCTAATAAAGTGACCCTAATTAATTGCTAATATAATAAGATGCAAACAAAAATTATGTGATATACTAAAGTACTTATAACATAAAACTATAAAAAATACAGCAAAGTATTCATTTGTTAAGGTATACATAAATAACAAAACATTACCCAGGCTTTTTAAAAGCACATTTTGGAAGACTAATATAGAGGAACTGTCTGAAAAATTCACTTACATTAAAAATCTGAAACTCTATGTAAAATATAATTTCAACTTATTTGCTTATCTACCATGCGTATTCACATGCACTAAGCTTATTAAAACACATGGCAGCAATATTTTAATGCTGGTAATATCTGAATAACAAGTTTATGAATGACATATATTTCCTGCTAATTTTCTGTATTCTCTACAATAACATTACTATTATCATTAAGCAAAATGATGTTTTTAATAAAATTGTAATATCAATCTTTAAGAGGTGATTAGAAAAACTTTTTTATTCAAAGAATTACTCAGATTTTTGAATTCACAAAATATAAAGAACATTTTGTGTTTAAATTTATTTTTTTATTTTTGAAAAAACTTTTATTGATTTTGTATTTTTAGAAAGTAACTACTAAATTAATTTTATCTACAAGAATAAAATTATGTATTATTTGTAATATGCCCATTACTAAGATAAAAAGTGTCTTTAAGGCACACAAATACAAATCCGATGACAGAGTGTTTAGCCGGAACTTTTTTTTTATATACTTTAAGTTCTAGGGTACATGTGCACAACGTGCAAGTTAGTTACATATATATACATGTGCCATGTTGGTGTGCTGCACCCATTAACTCGTCATTTACATTAGTTATTTCTTCTAATGCTATTCCTCCCCCCTCCCCCCAACCTACGACAGGCCCTGGTGTGTGATGTTCCCCACTCTGTGTCCAAGTGTTTTCATTGTTCAATTCCCACCTATGAGTGAGAACATGTGGTGTTTGGTTTTCTGTCCTTGCGATACTTTGCTGAGAATGATGGTTTCCAGCTTCATCCATGTCCCTACAAAGGACATGAACTCATCATTTTTTATGGCTGCATAGCATTCCATGGTGTATATGTGCCACATTTTCTTAATCCAGTCTATCATTTTTGGACATTTGGGTTGGTTCCAAGTCTTTGCTATTGTAATAGTGCCACAATAAACATACGTGTGCATGTGTCTTTATAGCAGCATGATTTATAATCCTTTGGGTATATACCCAGTAATGGGATCGCTGGGTCAAATGGTATTTCTAGTTCTAGATCCCTGAGGAATCTCCACACTGACTTCCACAATGGTTGAACTAGTTTACAGTCCCACCAACAGTGTAAAATTGTTCCTATTTCTCCACATCCTCTCCAGCACCTATTGTTTCCTGACTTTTTAATGATCGCCATTCTAACTGGTGTGAGATGGTATCTCATTGTGGTTTTGATTTGCATTTCTTAGATGGCCAGCGATGATGAGCATTTTTTCATGTGTCTGTTGGCTGCATAAATGTCTTCTTTTGAAAAATGTCTGAAGCCTGAACATTTAATAAATATTTTAAAGCATAAATTTTAACCTATTTAGCTGCCAAACATTTACAGCCCACTTATAAGAATATATAGTATATATACCAAACATATGTGTGTATGCATAATTAGAATATACAGCATGCATACATATGCATAACATAGATCTATATTTGTATATATACACACCTACTGACATATATATTTAAATATTTATAATTAAAGTTTTCAATAATTGTGCATCTTAGGAACATATGACCACATTGCACAATTAACAAATATGGAACAAGAAAACCCCACAATTTTGAAGCAGATTATGCATTTTTTTATATGCTGCAATGCTTACCTGATTCTAGAAAAATTCCTGAACTCAAAGTGCATCTTCTACAATTTCTGACTAGCATAAACCATATATTCTTATTATTAACTCTATACAGATTTATTTTATCTACCAAAGGACAATCATCTCAAGAAAGGTACCTTCACTTATTGATGTCAGTACCCTCACATCTAAGCTCATCTTGAACTTTTCCCACACTGTACTTTTCTGTATTCCTTTATGCACTTATCCTGCATATGAAGGCTACACTCCTGTTGAGGAGAGAGCTAAATAGAGCAACTCTTACAATGAAGTTTAGTAATTGCCAAGATAAAACTAGTAAAACATGCAATACAAATACAAGTGTAAATTAAATGAAATTAAATGAATCAGAAAAGTCTTACAGGAGGTAATATTTGAACTTAATTTTTAAAATACAGTAGAAATTAGATCAAAAAAGGAAGAATAATTTACAAGAATAAAATGTCATATTTTCAGGCATAGAATGTATTGAATTATTATATGTTAGACAGAGATTATGACCAGTTTAGTATTATTACAAAGCATATACACAGGAAGCAGAAATAGTCAAATGGGGGTATGGATGACATATAGTAATGAATAAATGTAGCAGATCCTAGAATGTAAACAGTAAAATGTCTGGACAGCTCTTTGGAGCTATTATATTATTTTCATCATTTGTGGGAGTCATATTTATAAATATGAGTTGATATGGGCAGAACCAAAGCACTGGAATAAAGGAAGATAATAATGAATAAAATCTATGAAGTTGGTGAAAGAATAATTATGGAAGTGAGTGACAGGAGGAATCTATAATAACTCCCTTGTTTCTGCATGTGGCAAAGGAATATAACGACAGGAGAGTAGATTTTCAAAGATGAATTTAATTTCAGATATATTGTATGTAAGGAACATTTAGGACATACAAGTGGATGAACCCCCAAAGTAACTGAACATCCAGGATAGGAACTTAGTGAAAATCTCTGGCTAGAAAGTAGTTAATTAGTGATCTGCTTTTGTGCTTCATCCATGTTTCTCATTCGTGGGATCAAACTTGGGCAGTGTGACTATTTAGTTCTATTTTTTTTTTTCTTAGGAGTAGGATAACTGTATATAATAGTGATGCTTGGGGGAGTCCCAGTTGATAACTGTGGCCCCACCATGCTCTTTGGATTAACATTTTTACAGCTGAAACGTCCCAGTTGGACAATAAATTGTAGTGTTGCCCTACCAGGAGGCAGTGGTCTTATGGGTCTCTTGAATGAATATTTAAGCATTAGAGACAACAAAGATTACACCATGAGGTGAGAAAATATATTTAAAAAGTTTTCTAGTAAAATTATATTCCAAAAGTTACAATATTATGAAATTTTACTGGAAAAGAACTATTTCAAAAACACAATACACATGCATTATTATACATAGGACTTTGGTATGTCAGAGTGCACAGAGTGCATTTTATCTCATCTCCAACCTGTGTGCCTTACATATGATTTAGGAGCGCATTCAAATTAATTGTTGTGGGAAGTCAGGGACCCCGAACGGAGGGACCGGCTGGAGCCCCGGCAGAGGAACATGAATTGTGAAAATTTCATGGACATTTATCAGTTCTCAAGTAATACTTTTTTTTTCTTTTTTTTTTAATTATACTTTAAGTTTTAGGGTACATGTGCACAATGTGAAGGTTAGTTACATATGTATACATGTGCCATGCTGGTGCGCTGCACCCACTAACTCGTCCTCTAGCATTAGGTATATCTCCCAATGCTATCCCTCCCCCCTCCCCCAACCCCACAACAGTCCCCAGAGTGTGATGTTCCCCTTCCTATGTCTATGTGTTCTCATTGTTCAATTCCCACCTATGAGTGAGAATATGCAGTGTACAAACAAAAAACCAAGTAATACTTTTATAATTTGTTATGCCTGTCTTTAATCTCTTAATCCTGTTATCTTTGTAAGCTGAGGATATAGGTCACCTCAGGACCACTGTGATAATTGTGTTACCTGTACAAATTGATTGTAAAACATGTGTGTTTGAACAAGATGAAATCAGTGCACTTTGAAAAAGAACAGAATAATAGTGATTTTTAGGGAACAAGGGAAGACAACCCTAAGGTCTGACTGCCTGCGGGGTCAGGCAAAAAGAGCCATATTTTTCTTCTTGCAGAGAGCATATAAACAGACGTGCAAGTAGGACAGATATTGCTAAATTGTTTTCCTAGCAAGGAATATTAATATTAATACTCTGGGAAAGGAATGCATTCCTGGGGGGTGGTCTATAAACGGCCACTCTGGGAGTGTGTGTTTTATGTGGTTGAGATAAGGACTGAAATATGCTCTGGTCTCCTGCAGTACCCTCAGGCTTATTAGGGTGGGGAAAAACTCCACCCTGGTAAATTTGTGGTCAGACAAGTTCTCTGCTCTCGAACCTGTTTTCTGTTGTTTAAGATGTTTATCAAGATAATACGTGCACAGCTGAACATAGACTCTTATCAGTAGTTCTGTTTTGCCTTTCGTCCTGTTCCCTCAGAAGCATGTGATCTTTGTTCTGCTTTTTGCCCTTTGAAGCATGTGATCTTTGTACCTACTCCCTGCTTTACACCCCATCCCCTTTTGAAACCCTTAATAAAAACTTGCTGGTCTGAGACTCAGGCAGACATCATGGTCCTACCGATATGTGATGTCACCCCCGGCAGCCCAGCTGTAAAATTCCTCCCTTTGTATTCTTTCTCTTTATTTCTTAGAAGGCCAACACTTATGGAAAATAGAAAGAACATCGTTGAAATATTGGGGGCGGATTCCCCTGATAATCATGTTTGCTGCAAAAGCATAATAAATTGTTATTCAACCATAATGGATAGCCAAAGGAAAGGAACTGTATTGCTTATATGATGCTTCATATTCAAAGACTCCACAGTAATTACTTCTTAGTTCATAGTGACATTCAAAAGTCTTATCTAGCATAAATTTTCAGAATAGCCTCATCTTTGAATAAAACATAGATCATAGATATTATCTCATCTCTTGCAGCAGTATTACCTGAAAGTTGAGATTAAATAATCCTCTTAATGGAAACATAGTATCATCAAAGACACTTTTATCAGTAAAAAAGCTGAACACAGTTAATCAGTGATACTGTTAACAGGAAACATTTTTTAAAATGACATGATTGTGACAAAAACTATCAACCTAAGTACTATTCAGTCTTGAAATTTTTACTTCCCATATCAGAAATGAGTAAATATTTTAGACAAAGTTAAGGGAAATAAATGGCAGTCCACTTTGACAAAATACATCATATGGAAAAAGTTGAGTCATTGTTACCTATTACTGCCTATTAATCTTACTTTATTTTCAGACATAATTGGTCACTCCTTAGAAGCAAGTACATTCATTATGCTGAGGAGACAGGTAGATAACTATAACAGAAATCTTCTACTGATACTGACTGATCATCTGCATTTGTAGAGAAAATGATACATAGCAGATCTTTTATCACCTTGCCTCCAGGTTATTGTTGATGTATTTATTTTATAATCCATAGTATAATGAGTGTCAAAACGACAATTTCAATAAAGTTGGAATGTTTTCCAAAATACTTTTTTTAAAAAAAACACTAGGTAATCAAATTGGTATTAAGGAAAAAAATATACAGATGATCTGGGTTAATAATGTTAACATTTTTAACTCTTAAAGTCAATACCATCTTTAATCACCAAATAGCATAGCAACAAAATATATAGAGTAAAACTCTGTCATACCATGAGGACAAATAGGTAAATTGAAAATAATATGTGGATATTTTAATACACATTTCTCTGTTACTGATAGACTAAAAAGAAAAAAGACATTAAGTATATAAAGGATTTAGTCACATAATTAACAGCTGAATGTATAGTGCATAATGCCCAACAATTATAAGATAAATAGTCATATCATATGCTAAAAGCTTATTTAAAAATTGGACTGTAAACTAGTTCATAAGGCATTGTCTTAACATATTTCAATCTGGAATAAAGACCATGGTTCCCTACCAAAATGAATTAAGTTTTAAATTAGTCATAACTGTTAAAAGATAAGAAACATTCCTAAATGATCGACTGATAAATAAAGTTCTTTTTTATAAATCAGAATATGCTTTAAACTCAATGGTTATTAAATACTACATATCGATAATATGTATTGCAACTAAATCAGCCCTTAAAAAAAAAAAACAAAATTAGCCTTACATGTATATTAAAGAAGAAGAGCAAATATTAATTAGCAGAAAAAGAAAATCCACCATAGTTAGGAAAAAAACATATTAAAATAAATTATGGGAGTAACGGGAAGGAAATAGTAGCGATAAGAACTGAAATTGAATAGAAAACAAACATACCAGAGAAAATATCAACAATGTCATTAGTAGTACCTTTAAAGGACAAAATGAACAAATAGTTTATACGTCACTGGTAATATTAAGAAAAAAAATAAGACTCAAATAGGAATTCCATCCAGAATGAAAAAGAGAACACTACCACAGAAAATGCAGACATAAAATAATAATAAAGTTGTTTATGCATAAGTAAATAACAATACATTTTAAAATTTAGCTTTAAAGTACAAATTCCTAGAAAAAGTGTCTCTCGAAACTAGTTTAAATGGTAATGGAAAACCTGAATAGTCCTTTAATCATCAAAGAAGTAGAATTTATAATACCACATCTTCCACAACGAAAATTCCAGGCTCAGATGTATTCACTGTAAAACTTGAGAAAGCTTTCAAGGAATAAATGATTTAAGTTATACACTAACACTCCTAAAGACTCAGAAAAGGGGAAAGTCCCCAATGCATTTTATGAGGCAGCATAACCTTGAAAGTAGAAAAAACGATAATTACAGGAAAATCACTCATAAACTCGGATGCAAATTGTTTATGAAAATATTACGAAACCAGTCAAAAAATACATTTAAAAAATCCTACCCAATAAACATTTATCCCAGGAATGCAAAGCTAGTTAAACATTATAAAATCACTATGTTTATCTTAGCAGATACAGAAAAAATGATGGGAAAATTAAAATTAGAAAAGAACAGCACACATAATCCTAGATACAAATGAAGACTCTATAGTGAAATAGAAGTGAGTGAGAGGCTAAGATGCAGAGTGTACTTTTTGAGAGTCCCTTGGGTCTGGGAGAACAGTAAATGGAGTTTGGGACTTTCCAGGTAGAGTAGCCTTTGTAGAAATACCAGAATCTTGATTGCAATAAAAATAGGCTACTCCAAAGGGCATGTGTGCATTACAAATAAGCTAGTCCTCAAAATGACTGACATTTAGGTCTGTATTCATTCAAATTCTAGTTGGATTCAAGTGAATATCAAGCGATATCAGAGAGGAGGAAGATGCCTCCAGCTTACTTGCCATTTCTAAGCAAAGGTAAATCCTCCATGTGATCTAATCTACTAAAATATTATCCATATACTGGAATTATTTCCATAATTTTTTATATCCAATAGTTGGAACAAAATTTAAAAATAAATCAGTCAAATAAAAAGGCAACAATTGACTGCATAGATACAAGTAATGGATATAATAGCAAAAAATGTAAAAGACAAGAAAATATTTGACTTACCACTTATCAGACATGGTCTTTAAAATAAATTTAATTAATATGAGCTATAAATTAAATGGCACAATTTAGAATGCTGGAAGAAAAGTAAAACTTATTTAGAAACTTCAAACATCAATTGTCAGAACTAAAATTGTAAACTCAATAAATGAGTTTAGTAGGAAATTAGGTATTTTTAAAGAAAAATTAGAAAGTTGGAAAACAGTATAGAAGAAAAATAATTTTTCCTCAACCCTTTCAAGTTCTTAGTTGGAACAGACTTCTGTAATTCCACTTTCACACAAGAAAAACAAACAGAAGTATATTAACGTGTATATTAACACGCACATGGGAAGTACCTAAGGAATTAGTAATTCTGAAAAAGTTGTACTTGAATTGCAGCTTACGTGACATCTCAAAGAAAAGTTAATTATTGGAAAAGTGATAAATCAAAGAAAAAGGACTTTGAATCTCTATAGGCAGAAAATTGTGGAAAAGTAAATAAATCGTAGATAAAGGCTAGTTAGTAAAGCATGTTAATGTAGATTCCTTTGGTGCTATCTCCAGGTAAATAATTGTTTATAGTTGTCTTCAGTGGTTATTCTTTGTTCTCCCTGGAGAGAGGAGATGGAACATCTTTTTTTTTTAAACATAATTTTTTAAATTTATATCCCTCTTTTATGTAAATAGAGGAAAGGCAGAGAGCTTTCCTGCATCTACTTCTTCCCAATTGCATTCAACTGGAAACAATACTTACGCCATATCTGGCCTCACACAATTGGGAGTAAATATCCAGATAAAACTTTAAGAGGAATAAGGACAAAAAACCAGAAAAGATAAGTAAATATCAATGGAACAAGGAGAATGAATCTGCCATACATATAATTGAAGTGGCAGAAGAATTAACTTCCATATAATGGAAAAAAACAATATTCAGAGATATAATGAACAGCATTTAAAGCTGTTAGAAGGTATCATGAAATAGATTCAAGTAAGTCTATGAACTCTAGCACAATAAATAAAATAATATAACTCTGCTTGGGCTGACATAATAAAATATCATAGACTGAGCAGCTTATACAACATAAATTTATTTTCTCACAGTTCTGGAGGCTAGAAATCCAAGATCAGGGAGCCAGAAGAGTTGAGTTCTGGTGAGGGCTCTTTTCCTGGTTTTCAGACAGCTGCCTTCTCACTATATCTTCATGTGTTAGAAAGAGAGACACAGCAAACCCTCTGGTATCTTTTCTTATAGGGCACCAATTCCATTGGGAGGGCCCACTCTTAGGACTTCATCTAACCTTAATTACCTCCCGAAAGGCACAAGTCCAAACATCATGACACTAGGGGTTAGTGCTCCAACATGTGAGTTTGGAGGAGACACAAACATTAAGTACAGAAGATACTGCGGCATCATAAAAATAAAAAATAAAATATAAACTAATGAAAAACTACAAGGAGAAAATACAAATAGCAATAGGAAAAAAAAGTTATATTCCCGTAATGAAAAAACAAACATAAAATATAAACTAGACAACAAGGAAATGAAATAAAATATTTATGAACTTATAATACCATGTTCAGCAAAATATACTTTGAAAATTCAGGAAAAATAGAGATTTCTGCTTCTACCTCTACTGAAGAGACTGATATATTTTTTTCCATTTTTTAAGCCACTAGAAAAAAAAAAGACAAAAAAAGTGCTATATATTTCAAACATGAGACAACAATTGGCACAGTATTTTAATTGCTAAAAAAAGAGTAGCAATGAGATTATCCCTAAAACTGCTTCAACTTTCTGTGTGGAGGCAGTTTCCAGGTTTTATTACAGCACAGGAAAGAGTGACTCAAATAGAACCTATAAGTTTGGTTGGGTTAGGTGGACAATGATAAAGTTCAGAGAGATGTAGATATCAGAGAGGAGGAAGATGCATAGAGAAAGCTCCCAAGATCTGCATTGGGGTCACCCTGAATCCAACAACCAATAATTTAAAATTCATTATGTCTGGTATCCAGCTAAAATTAATAGGAAGGAACAGAAGCAAGAAAATATTATCCCAAGTCAGAAAAAGTCAATCAATAGAAGAAAATGCAGAAAAGAGATAACAGAATTAGCAAACAAAGATATTAAAATAGCTTTAAAGATGCACCATATGATCAAAAATTTAGAGGAATACATGACCATGATGAGTAAGGAGATTAAATATATATAAAACACATCAAATAACACCTGGAGATATAAGAAATGCAATATGCAAAATGAAAAACACACAAGATGGTATTCATAGCAGAGTAGACACAGTAGAAGAAAGGTTTAAAGAATGTCAAGACAGTGATAGAAACTGCCTAAAATAAAGCACAAATATAATAACAACAACACAATGAAATGAACCAAAAAAATAAAGAAATAAAAAGGTATCGTGCATCAGTGTCCTGTGAGACTCCAGAGCAGTTCAACATAAGTGTCACTGGAATCCTAGAAAAATGAAAGCGTACATGAAGAAAGAAATTTGAAGCAACAATGGCTAAAATTTCCAAAAATAATTAAAAAAAAATCACAACCTCACTGATGCAAGATGTTCAACAAATCCCAAGCAAAGAAATCTTAAAAACTACACCAAGCCATAGTACAACGAACTTTCTGCAAAAAAAAAAAAACTCATAAAGAGGAAAATTCAAATACAGCTAGAAAAACACATACACTACATACAGAAGAACATAACTAAGAATGGATGTATGCTGTTCTCAGAAAATATGTAAGAAAGAAGAGAGTTGAAAGACATCTTTAAAGTACTGAAAGAAAAAATGTTAAATTAATGTATTAAAAAAACTCTAAATATGAAAAATAATTACTTTTTGAAAAAACAAAAACTGAGAAATTCATCACCTGTGGACTTATACTACTGGAAATGCTAAAAGAACTTTTTTAGGCAAAAGAAAAATGAAACTAGATAGAACGAAGTCATACAAATGATAAATATCTTGTGGGTATTATTTTGCCCATTGTCTGTCTCTTGAAAATGCAATTGCCTGTTTAAAATAAAAATAATAACTCTATGTTGTAGAGTTTATAACATACATAGAAGTAAACTATAAGACAACAATGGCCCAAAGGACAGGAGCAAAAATATAGACATAAACCATTGTAAGCTTCTTGTACCATATATCAGGGGTCCCCAACCCCAGGGCAGGGAACAATGCCAGTCAGTGGCCTGTTCTGTTTAACACAGCAGGAGGCGAGCAGTGGGCAAGCTAGCAAAGCTTCATGTTTATTTACAGCTGCTCTGCATCATTTGTATTACCACCTGAACTCCACGTCCTGTCATTAGATGGCGTTAGATTCTCATAGGGGTGTGAACCCCACTGTGAACTGTGTATATGAGGGATGTAGGCTGCATGCCTTTTATACAAATCTAATGCCTGATGATCTGTCACTGTCTCCCATCACTCCCAGAGCGGACTGTCCAGTTGCAGGAAAACAGCCTCGGGCCTCCCACCGATTCTACATTATGGTGAGTTGTATAACTATTTCATTATATATTACGATGTAATAATAATAGGAATAAAGTGCAGAATAAATGTAAAGTGCTTGAATCATTGAAAAACCACCTTCCTCTCATCTGTGGAAAAATCACCTTCCACGAAACCGGTCCCTGGCACCAAAAAGTTTGGGGACCGCTGCCATATGTGATATAGTATAGTATCATTTAAAGGAAGCTTTGGTAAGGTAAAGGTTTATAAGTGCTGAAGCAAACCATAAAAAATAAACAAAGAAGTATAAGTATATAATCCAACAGAGGAAATAAAATACAATCCTAAAAATACTCAAATTATTTTCAAAGAAGGCAAGAAAAGAAGAGAAAAATGAACCAAAGATATAGGGGACAAATAGAACAAAAATAACAAAGTGGAAAATTAAAACCCACCATCTCAATAATTGCATAAATTATAAGTGGTCTGAACACTGCAATTAAAAGGCAGAAATTATCAAGCAGAATAAAATAGCAAGACCTAACAATATGTCCGCTAAAAGAAAGACACTTTAAACTCAAAAATGCAAACAATATAAAATAGTAAAAGAATGGAAAAGCTACCTTATTCAAACACCACTCCAAAAAAAAGCTAGAGTGGCTATTTTCATATTATTTGAAATAGATTTCAGAAGAATGAGTATTTTCAGGATTGAGATGTATTTCATGATTATCAATATGTCAGTGTCTCCCAGAGAACATGGTAATGCTAAATGTACATTTAACAATTAAAGAGGCTACAGGGCCAGGCAAGGTGGCTCAAGCCTGTAATCCCAGCACTTTGGGAGAATGAGGCTGACAGATCACCTGAGATCAGGAGTTCGAGACCAGCCTGACTAACATGGTGAAACTCTGTCTCTACTAAAAATACAAAAATTAGCCGGGTATAGTGGTGCGTACCTGTAATCCCAGCTACTTGGGAGGCTGAGGCAGGAGAATCATTTGAACCCAGGAGGCGAAGCTTACAGTTAGCCGAGATTGCACCATTGCACTCCAGCCTGGGTGACAGAGCGAGACTCTGTCACACACACACACACACAAACACACACACATACACACACAGGCTTCAAAATACACTTAGGCAAATGAAGAAAAAATGAAAACATTTTCAGATAAACCAAAAGAAAAACTATGTCAGCAGTCTACCTACAATAAAGGAAATTTCAGAGAGTCTTTGCGAGGAAGAAAATAATACAAGAAAGACAAAGAGGAAGGAATAAAGGGCAACATGAGTATGAGGGTAAACCTAAATGATTACTGTGTTTTTTTAAAAAAAAAGAAATAAAAATTTTTAAAAAGGTCATGAAAACCTAAGAAAATTTGGAAATACAACAATGTTGGAGGATTGGCACTATTAGAGATCAGCATTTATTATAAAGCTATGCTAATTATGAGTGTGTTATAGATACAAATGTAACAAAATAGAGTAATATAATAAAGTGTCAAAAATCACTACCTTCATTCACTTCACTGCTATACTCTGATACATTTGGAATATATCAAGTATCTAATATAAATAATTTTAAATAAAAGTGGTGGAGCATAGCAGTGATGTAAAGAAAATTTTGTCGTTAATAGAATGGTAAGTCAATTAGTTTTTGATTAAGAAAAAAATCTTAAATCCTACCCAGCTCCTTACATATAGGCCAATGTTCATGGGCATGAGAATGTGAAAGGTAAAATAAGCTTGTGGAAAGCAGCATTAAGAGTATATTCATGATTTGGGTACTATAGAACTTTTCTTATAACACAAAAATCATAAAGTGAAAATTAGAAAAAGACTAATAAATTGTACTACATTAAAAGTAAGAACCTCTATTAATCAAAAATCACCATTATGAAACTAAAACGCTAATCTTCAGAGTAATACATGATAATGATATTTATAACATGTATAATTTACAAAGGACTTATGTAAAAAATACATAAGGAACTTCTAAATTAGTGAAAAAATAACAGAACATCCCCTTTTTTTAAGGCATGGGCAAGAAGTCTTAAAGAGGTACTGTACTACAAAGAATATCTAAACAGACAAGCAGCATGCAGGAAATTACTGAAGTTCATTACTCATTAGTGAAACTGACAGCCGTATTAGTCAAAATTGAAACCTCTAAACTACCAACCAAAATGGCCACTAAAAATGATTGATAAGGTTTTAGCTGTAAAAAAACTTGGATGCTGTCATTCCAGGCCTTAGAACAATAAAGAGCCGAACAAAATATCAGTGACTTTTCATGGACCCATCAGATAACTGAAGATACAAGAAAAACTGCCACAATGAAATCTGGAGACTCAGGCACATCCAGAGAGATACAGACAGCATCCGCTTACCTGGAGCAGCAGCTGTTAGAGCCACACAAAGGAATATTTACATTGAAATTTTGGTGATTTGCTGAAGGCTGAGAGTGAGAGTGAGAAACTCTTGGAGGCTATAGTTCAAAAGTCTCCCCCTACATTCTTATATTTTAGTTCATAAACCCACCGATCTGATTGACAAGAAAAATCCCCATAGGCTTCTGGCAGGGAAAGGGGAAAAGTAACCATTCTGAAATATACCCAGATTTTTCTCCACAAGGAAGCCCTATTTGTCAAAGGAAATGATTTTACCAGGCCTTGTACCATCTCGAGAAAGGATTTCCACCCACTTGAGCCAACACTAGGCTTCCTGATTCATCTAATAGAAAAAAAAAAAAAAAAGCTGTATCACCACAGGAACACTTGTAAAGATTATAGCCAAGAGATATAGCTCACTAAAAGATAATATTCAGTCATAAGATTATAGAAGACTTCCCCTATCCCACATTACTACCACTATAACAAGGCTCCAATGTAATAAGAGTGATTTCAGGTGGAAGAGCTGTAAGACACAGTCTCTTTCTGATGAGAAATACTTGGAGAAGCCCAACAGTGAGAAGAGGGACAAAAATAAGTACACTGAAAGAATTTACAGCCTCTGGCACCTTCAACTAGAGCAAATGCTAAACAAAGTCCATCTCTAGCCAAATGAACATAAATCCTCAAAGTAAAGGCCTATTTACTTCAATTCTGTTACTCAATGCCACATGTCTGATGTTTAACAAAAAATTACAAGGTATCACAACAGGCAAGAGAAACAGTTTAAAGAGACAAAGCAAACATCACAACAAGATTCAAATATGACTCAGGTTTTGCAGTTATCAAAGAGGGAATTTAAAATAACTATGATTAATATGTTAAGGGCTCTAAAAAAGACATCATGCAAGAGCAGATGACAATGTAAGCAGAGAAATGGCAACTATAAGAAAGAATCAAAAGAAAGAGTAAAAATTAAAATATTGTAACAGAAAGGAAAAATGATTTGATGGGCTCAACAGTAAACAGGATAAAGCTAAGGAAAGACTTAACAAGTTTGAGAAATGTCAATAGAAACTCCCCAAATTAAAATATCAGAGGAAAAAAAGAATTTAAAAAAAATAATAAAAAGAAACGGAATATCCAAGGTCTTTAAAACAATTTCAAAAGGTTAAACATTAAAAAAGTCTGGAACAGCAGAAGGAAAAGACAAAGATAATGGAGTAGGAAAATATTTAAAATAATAATAATAACCAATAATTTTTTTTAAATTAAAGACAAACACTAAACTACAGATCCAGGAAGCTCAGAGAACACTACACAGTACAAATGCCAAGAAACATACATTTAGAGAATGTTCAAATTATAAAGCAAAAATCTTGAAACAAATCAGAGGGAAAAGCAGCTTATTTGCAGAGCAAGAATATGAATTGCATTGGGCTTCCCATCAGGACTCATGTAACAATAAGAAAGTGGAATAGAATACATAAAATGCTGAAGGAAAAACAAGACCAACAACCTGTGATACTGTATCTAGCAACATCTTTTCCTCCAAAAAGTAAAAAGAAATAAAGGCTTTCTCAAAGAAAATAAAAACTATAACTTCCTTCCTTCCTTCTTTCCTCTCTCTCTTTTTCTTTCTCTTTTTCTTTCTTTCTCTTTCTTTCTTTCTTTCCTTTCTTTCTTTCTTTCTCTTTCTTTCTTTCCTTTCTTTCTTTCTTTCTCTTTCTTTCTTTCTTTCTTTCTTTCTTTCTTTCTTTCTTTCTTTCTTTCTTTCTTTCTCTTTCTTTTCTCCTTCCTTCCTTCCTTCTTCCCTCCCTCCCTCCCTTCCTCCCTCCCTTCCTTCCTTCTTAATTTTATTTGAGACAGGGTCTCACTACAGTGCCATGATCACGACTCAATGCAGTCTCAACCTCCCATGCTCAAGTGATCCTACCAGATCAGCCTCCCTAGTAGCTGGGTATATAGGCACTGTCTATTTTGAAGAAAAGAGGTTTCACTACATTGCCCAGGCTGGTTTTGAACTCCTGGCCTCAAGCAATCCTACTGCTTCAGCCTCCCAAACTCCTGGGCTTACATGCATGAACCAACACACTTGGCCTTAGAACTAAGGAAATTCATCACAAGCACACATGCCCTGCCAGAAATTTTAAAAGAAGTTCTTTCAGGAGAAGAAAATAGTAAGTCAGAACTTCAATTGGTATAAAGAAAGAGAGAAAGAAAAAGTAAAGGTAAAATATTTTCCCTGTTCTTAATCAATCTAAAAGATAGCTAGTTGTTCGAAGTACAAATAGTAATAATATTTTGTTTGAATATAGCATAAAGTGAAATATGGTATATGTGAAATGAATGACAGAAATATAAAAAGGGATGGGAAAAGAAATTGGCAACATTCTGTTGCTAACTATCTGGATACTTGTAAAATAGTATAGTGTTACTTAAAAGTAAATAATTTATGGTAAATGTATATTATAAACACTTGGGCAACCGTACTATAAATTTTTTTGAAGTAGAATTAATACATAAGGAGAGAAGGTGGAATCATATAAAATGTTCATTTAAAACCAGATAATGCAGAAAAATAAAAATTAAAGAAACTAAAAATAACTGAAATGAATAGAAACAACTAAAACATGGTAGATATTAACTCAATATAGTAATCATTTGTAACATGAATGATCTAAATTCTTCAAATAAAATACATAAATTTTCAGATTTGATTTACAAAAAAACTCAATTATATGTTATCTGCAAGGAACCCACTTTAAATTAAGAACACATTGATTAAAACTAAAGGGATGAAGAAATATAGACCATACTAACACTAATCAAAAGAAAGCTGAAGTAGCTATATCAATTTCAGACAAAGCCGACTTCAGAGCAATGAAAGTTATTAGGGATAGAGAGGAACATTTAGTAATGAGAAAGCTGTCAATTCTTCAGGAAGACACAACAATCCTTAACATGAATTCACCTAACAGTGCATTAAAAGATGTGAGGCAAAAACTCACAGAAATGCAAAGGAAATTATATAAGGATAGAAAAAAATATTATGTTCTAAGATGACTATGGAAATAAATGTAATTAAATTAATAACAGAAAGATAGCTTGAAAATATCAAAACATTTGGATAATAAGAAATATACCTGTAAATAATCCACATGTCAAAGGCTCAAGAAAACTTAAAAAAAATTTTAACTAAACAAAACTTAAACCATAACTTAACAAAACCAGTGAAAGCACTGCCTACGGAGATATTTACAGCATAGAATACATATATTAGAAAAAAAGATATAAATTCAATAGTCTTTCTACTTTAGGAGCCTAGAGAAAATTGACCAACATAAACCTAAGGAAAGCAGGAGAAAATTAACAATAGTAATTAAAGCAGAAAATAATTAAATGGAAAACAGAAAAATCTAGTTATTTGAAAAGACCAGTAACATTTATAAACTTCTAGCCAGACTAACCAAGAAAAGAAAAGGAGATAAGACACAAATTACTACATCAGAAATTAAAGAGCAGTTGATATTACTGGTTCAATGTACATTTGAATGACCATAAAGTAATATTATGAATAACTCTATGGCGACCAATATGATAAACTGGACAAAATGGACCAATTCCTTGAAAGACAACTACTGAAACCCACACCAAGAGAGTCAGATAATCTGAATATCTCTTTATCTGTTAACGGACATTGAGTAAATCATAAATAACTTTCTAAAGAAAATGCACCAGATCCAGACTATTTCACTGGCAAATTCTACAAAACACGTAAGGGGAAATTATGTTGTTCTCTACAAATTCTAACAGAAACAGAAGCCAAGTGTATGCTTCTTAACTCATTCTATGTGAAGAGCATTAGCCTAATAATAAAAACAGATAAAAGACATTACAAGAATGGAAATCTATAGACCAACTGCTCTCTTTAACATAGATCCAAAAATTTCTAATAACATATTAACAAATTGAACAAACAATGGATGAAAAATTATACACCATGATGAAATCAGATTTATCCAAAGCTAATTTAAAATTGTAAAATCAGGGTAATCCATCACAAGCTAAAGCAAAAACAAAAAAAGTCATATCAACTGATTTAGAACAAGCATTTGACAAAATCTGATATCTTTTCATAATAAAAATTCTCAGCCAACTAGAAAGAGAGGAAAACTTCAACTTGATAAAGAACATTTACCAAATACCTACAGCTAATATATACCCTATAATGTGAAACTAGATGCCTTCCCTCTAAAATCAAGAACAATATAAGAATGTTCCCTCTCAGCATTCCTATTAACAGTATAATGGCAGTCTGAACTAGTATAATAAGAAATGAAAGGAGAATAAATGTTGCACAGATCAAGAAGACATAAAACTGTCTTTGTTCACAGATGACACGTCTGTCTACATAGAAAATCCCAAAGAACTGATTAAAAAAACTCCTGCCATTAGTAAGTGAGTACAAACTTAACAAAATATGTACAAGATCCTTATGTGGAAATTTGTGCACATGTACAACAATTCACATGTACTTTATAATAACCATAAATCTAAAAAAACAAAGAAATGGTTATTACGTAGCTTAGTTCATTATACAACTTTTAGCTTTAGTGAAGGACAATATTGCACACAGAGGCAGAAAGGGATCATAACAATGTTCTGTTTCTTGAACTGAGTGGTAGCTCCATAGTTCTTCACATTGTAGTTATTAATTAAAGTGTACATGAGTTTTATAAACCTTTCTTCATTAAATGTTACAAAAATAATAGCACAATATTATTCACTAAAATACTAAACCATAATCATGATGATAATAATAACAATCTGTCCATAGGAGCAAATGGCAGTATAGAAACCAACGATAATCAAAGAAATAAACTGGGAAAGAAAACCAAGAAATTTTACCTGTAAAACTATAAAATAGTCCCCAAAGTACTTTAAAATTTTGAAGTTATAGCCCAGAAGAAGATAAGCCAATTACACAAATTGTCTGCATAAGCTCACACAAATTAATCTCTTGATGGCCCCTCATCCTTCAGTTATAAAAGAAGAGTCATGTTGTTTCAAATTCTATCCAATTATGAAACACATGCCTAATTGCTCATTTATTTTAAAAATCCTATTTTCTTCTAGATTCAGACTGGGAATCAAATATTTATTTTCAGTCATTATAAATATTTCATATTTAAATATGCCAAAATAAAGTTTTCTGGAAAAGAGCTGAGAAGGGACATTATTCTGAGCCTGGAAAAAATACTATTAAAAATTATCAAATATTGAGATATTCAAAAGTATAATCTTCCCCTCTCAATCCCCCCCCCCCACCAAAAAAAAAGGATCCCATGCATCTTCTTAATGGTTCTTTTATCCTGTCTGCAATGTAAGTTGTGAAGAATTACCATCTTAAAGACAGAGTCAGAAACAGGATTAAGGTTTGGTTAGTTTAAACACCATTACCCATTAAAAATTAAAACAGATTACTGCAATAGCATCTCCATAATGTTCATTATGAAGAAGATAATAAAAGGGACAATTGTGCTTCTGCAGTTTTACAGTGTATATATCCAAAAATGGTACTCACCATAAAATGATTTAAAGAAAACATCCTACACTATGGCAAATACAAAAAGCGAAGGAAAACATAAGAATGACCTTGATCACTATTTTCATTTACCAATGTAATAGAGCTCCTAGCATGCTCAATTAGATGATGAAAAAATAATATAAGGAAAATTTAATAGTGCTATTTTCATAGATATTATAACTACAAACATGTAATCGGAATAACAAACAAAACTACTAAAACTAGTTAGACTTCAGCATAGTTAGTTAGAAGAGATAATGATAAAAAGCAATGTTACTGCTCAGACAAATCAATGTAAAAATGTAACACTTTAAAAATCCATACACAGAAACACAAAAAGCATCATTTGTGAAGAAACAGAAAAGAAACTCAAGATGTATAGGATAATTTTATAAAAATGTAGTATAGGACCTAAAAAAGAACATTGATAGAGTAATTATTTAAAAATATAAAATAAAATATTTCTACTCATCTAAAATAAAAATTACTTGTGACTCCAATAAAATTTACAACATAATTTTTCACCAAACTTGTGTACTCCTAAAATTAAAATAGAAGGATAAAGAATAAAAAATCAACATTAGGCAAGGCAATTTTGAAGAGAAATGGAAGTAGCTATTTATTCCACAATCTATTGAGACATATTACAAATAGGATAATTACATTAGAGTATAGTATTTGTGCAGAGATGATGAATATAACAATAAAATAAATAGAAAAATCAAGATATATCCATTCATATATGAAAACTGTATATGGCAGTGCTAGAATTCCAATTCAATGTGTAAAGGATACATTATTAAATAAACAATACAAGACAATTGGTTATAAGTATGGAAAACATAAATGGAACTGTACAGTACTGCAAATCCAACTTAATTTCTACATTACACAAAAAATGTGAAAATAAACTTTTAAAATACTAAAGAATGCCTAGGAAAATATCTTTATTTCTTCAATAGCAGAGAAAGATAGCTTAAACAAGGCACAAAAAAGCACACACGCACACACAGCAAAATAAATAATTGATAATTTCATCACATTAAATGAAAGCTTTTTATTTTGGTAAAGGGTTTCTGAGACAATCCTTTTCTTAAAATGTTGGGTCCTTTATGAAAATTCCTCTTTGTAAAAAGGACTGTCACCCTCAGTGGGCAGTCCCTTTAAATTAAAGACAAGTTATTAAGTATAAAAATGTTTCACAAAAGCTGATGACAATAAAACACACTAAATTAAGGCATCCATACATTGTGTGAAATGATAACTGTGTCATTATATTAAAAAATTATCTCTGTGTTATTCGCATAGGTAAACACCAGAATGCCCATAAACCCACACCAAATAAGACTCAGGAATCCACTCAGAAGACACCAAAACGGGGATACTCACGTGGTAACTAAAAGATTCTTACTTGACATTTCCTTCAATACCTTCCTTATCTATCATTACTTTTCCTATTGGGGCAGCATAGATCCCTTGACATGAATACACTTATGGAACTAACTAAACAGGAAGTCATTTATGTGTATTTTGTCCCCAAATATTTAGGAATCAGGATTACTACTATAAAACTTCCCATAAAATACACTAAAAATTTAAACAATCTCTTTTAACTTTCAAAAGAGTAACATGTATGTTATGATAAATATAGAACCACAAATCCAAGAAGCGATTCCAATGTTGGTTGTTTGCTGGAATCACTACTTAGTGACACATTCAGGCCACACCAATTTCCAGACTGGAGTGTTTGCATATAACTACCTAAAGAAAATCCATGAAGGCCATAAGCCCACTCTCATCGTCAGTATAGCTGTTACATTTAGAACCACTTTTTAGTAAATCTGACCGAAAATTTTGATCACCTGCTGTTTTATTGCAGGATGCATATAAGAAATGTTGAAAAATGCTTCATAATACAACCTTGATAAAACGAGAACATTAATTTAAAATTACATATAATTTTATTTGTGAATATTCCTCCTTTTTTATAACGAGAGGGTTCTCATTATAAAAAGGTTTACCCTATAATTCTGTCACTTTATAAATAATGAATGCATTTTTTCAATTGTGGATGATTTCTGCGTTAAAATCATTACTGCAGTAGGTATTGAAATAATCTAAGAGATGCTTATTTGCCTGTAATGGAACTACATCTTCAAGACATAAATAAGTAAGCAGGTATGAAAAGGTTATTTGTTTTCCAGATATTAAACAGTATGTGAAAGCTTGAAGATTTAGCATAGTAATCCATATTTGCATGCCAGTTATCAAAAAGAAAGCCAGATTCTTATTATGGATTTATGATTGCCTGGCATTAAGAGGAAAAGTCACCTTATAAAAAATAGTTGCTTAAAAAGTAGCAACTGCCGGGTGCGGTGGCTTGCCTGTAATACAAGCACTTTGGAAGGCGGAGGTGGGCGGATCACGAGGTCAGGAGTCGAGACCATCCTGGCTAACACGGTGAAACCCCGCCTCTACTAAAAACACAAAAAATTAGCCGGGCCTGGTGGTGGGCGCCTGTAGTCCCAGCTACTCGGGAGGCTGAGGCAGGAGAATGGCGTGAACCCGGGAGGCGGAGCTTGCATTGAGCCGAGATCGCGCCACTGCACTCCAGCCTGGGAGACAGAGCGAGACTCCGTCTCAAAAAAAAAAAAAAAGAAAAAGAAAAAGTAGCATCAAATCTTTCACCTCAATTGTCAAATCTAATGTGCCTGGACTTTTATTGTATTACTACAGGGGAAATGTGTTTTTATGTTGAGTCAGTTATCCTTCATTATTCCTAAGAGGCCAAAGGGAAGTTTAGTTATACATGTAAGATCAAGCTACCCCCCTGCAAGATCACAGTCATTATCCAGCCTTACATATGTAATCAGGAGTGATGAAAGAGGTTATTGTTAGCAACTAACCTATATATCGCCTACATGTCAGCATTCCCAATAGGTGTGCTTTATGTATCCTCTCTGTCATGATCTTTTCAACCTCACTGGGATTCTTAAATATTCTAACTATTGAATACTTACGTGTGAAAACTGTATGATCAAAGTTAACTAACATCTAAGTTAACGCTTTTCAAAATCAAGTCTAGATTTTCTTATGCTATTAATGTTTTCACCTGGTAGTCCTGAATCTATCAAATTCCTGATGTTTTTTCCATACAATTTGTCATGTAGTTTCAACATTAAATTTTGTCGTGTTTTATTCATTTCATATTACAAATCATTAGTAATATTATGTTAGCATTTATAATCAATACACAATTCTTCCAATCTATGAATTTCTTCCCATAATAAATCATGAATTATCCTAAAAGAAGCCTTTGTAGAGACTGCCAATGTTTTTCTTGCTGTAAAGGCTCCTATATTCTGTTTCATATTGATAAGAGATGCCTCAGTTTACACAGAAATTCTAAGTTTAATATGTGTTAAAATACTCCATAGTGTAGTCTGTAGTGGTATATGGAGATCAACTGCACATTCACAAAATAGATTGCTCATTACAATAACTGAGTTAATAACCTTACATTGAGTCAGTACAAATTGGATTGTTTCCATTGGTTTTCATAGCCAATGCTTTGCAATTAAGATTGTTGTCATGCATCTAATGTTGGTTGCCAAGAGTACTCTCCAAGTTACATAAATCTCTCCTGGTCCTAAATGTAAACTCATCATTTTCTCATAAAGAAGAGCATTTATTCAGACTTCTTCCCTGGACATTTCACAGTAAGAACCATAGTGTTAGCAACACAAAGACCAACATTAACAGCAGGCAGAGACAGCAGAGACTCCTCTATATCAAGTACTGCCAGCTAAGACATTTGTAGCTGTTGTATCAGTATGTATGGGCTTTCAGAAAGACTCTGCATTGTCTTTCTAGTTTTTATAATTTTTATTTAAAAGAGACAATATATCAGCATATTAACCACAATAGTTTAATGCTGAAGCCTGTCTCTGAAAGCCAGAAAATTGGTACTTCTAATAAGTATATTTGCATTATCTCAGATGGAAGTAATCTCCTTTTCCACTGAACTCACATGACTATTTGTAGCTTTTCCTCACTATCATATGGTAGTTATTTCTGCAGTGTACTGCCTTACCTCACCAACAAGTCTGTAATTATTTTTTAGACAAAAATTCCAGTCGTATTAATCTGCAGAGAGAGAGAAAGAGAAAGAGACAGAGAGAGAGAGAGACAAAGAGAGAGAGAGAGGAAAATGCTCTATGCCTGTGATTATATACAATATAATAAAAAAGGCATTTTAATGTTGAGCAAAATTGATGTAGACTCTGATCTTGCAGTGTTTACATTCTGGAGGAGAGGACAATATTAATCAAACAACTAAAGAAAAAAACATAAAAATATAATGAAATACAGGTATATGATGCTATGAGACCATATAATAGAAAGAACATATCTGGTTTGGCTGACCAAGAAAACTTCCTTCAGAAAGTGACTACTGAATGAGATGCAGGCAAAAAAAGTGAGCTGCTCAGGGAGAAACAGTCAGGTGCAAAGACCATGGTGGGAGGTGACATTATATGAACAAGAACAGAAAGGTCTTTGTGCCTTGAATGCAAGAAGGGCATGATGGGGGACAACTTGGGGCCATTTAGAAAAATGCTAAACCATGGATAACATTGTAAGCCATGTTAAATAACTTTGTCTTCAGTCTAAGAATAATGGTCTTTACTGAGGTCACGACATCTCAATTTTGTGTTTTGTAAGCTCTCTCTGTCTGCATGTGGAGAATAAGCAAAATAGATACATCGCTGGGTATTGTAAATAATTTAGGAGGCTCTTGGGGTAGTCTACGGGAGAAATCACAGTAGTAAAGATTAGGATAATGATAGTAAAAATAGGGAAAAGTAGATGAATTTTAGAATTTTCTTTGTAGGTAAAACTGACCAGATTAGGTGATGAATTGTTTTTGTGGAGTGAAAGATTGAGAAAGATGACAAAATGATTCAGAATTTTACTGGTATATGGTGAGCCGTATACTGAGCTCAAGAACACCAGAAGAATGTATGTGGCAAGATAATCAAGAGGTTAGTTTTCCACAAGTTAAATTTAAGGCATGTAGGTAATTAGATATATCAATTTGGAATTGACTAGCAAGGTCTGTGCTATACAAATTTGTGAGAGCCATTATAAAGAATTTTTTATTGTCTGAGGGTTTTTTATTCTTTCTTCTTTGCAAAGTGAATGCTGCATAAGATAGCATGTCTAATTTGCTCTAACTTTTGATATCATTTAAACTAATTGAACTCAATTCATGTAACCAGATAAGCATTTATAGGTAGCATATTGCTTTTGTCCTATTGATGACTTTATTTTGTATCTGTATGTTTTTGTGGATCATATTTTACGGGATGATTTTAGGCAGTGAAGTATATACCTAAGGATATTAAACATGAAAATATATCTATCAGATTTGATATGGTTTGGATGTTTGTCTCCTTTAAAACTTATGTTGCAACGTAATCCCCAGTGTTGGAGGTGAAGCCTAGTGGGAGGTGTTTGGATCATGAGGGTGGATTTCTCACGAATGACTTAGTGCTATCTCCTTGGTGATGAGTGAGTTCTCACTCAGTTCATGCAAGATCTGGTTGTTTGAAAAGATGTATCATCTCCCCCCTCGCTCTCTTGTTCCTACTATCATCATGTGACCTGCTGGGTACTGCTTTGCCTTCTGCCATGACGGTAAGCTTCCTAAGGCCCTCACCAAAAGCAGATGCTGACGCCATACTTCCTACAGCCTAGAGAATAATGAGCCAATTAATCCTTTTGTCTTTATAGATTTTCCAGCCTGAGACATTTCTTTATAGTGATACAAAAATGAACTAACACAGATAATTGGTATTAAGCAGTGGGGCATTGCTATAAAGATAACTGAAAATGTGAAAGTGGCTTTGGAACTGGGTAACAGGCAGAGTTTGGGAGACTTTGGAGATCTCAGAAGACAGAAAGATGAGGGAAAGTTTAGAATTCTAAGAGACTGGTTAAATGGTTTTGACCAAAATGCGGACAGAGATATGGATGGTGAAGACCACACTGACAAGGTCTCCGATGGAAATGAGGAAGTTACTGGGAAATGGAGTAAAGGTCCTCCCTGTTACACCCTAGCAAATAACTCGGCTGTACTGCATCCAGGTCCTAGGGATCTGTGAAAGTTGATAATTAAGAGTGATGACTTAGGGTATCTGGCAGAAAAAAATTCTAAGCAGCAAAATGTTCAAGAAGTGACATGGCTCCTTCTAACAGCCTAAATTATATACAGGAGCAAATAAATGATCTACAGTTGAAACTTATATTTAAAGGGAAACAGAGGATAAAAGTTTGGAAAATTTGCAAACTGGCCAAGTGACAGAGAAAGAATATAAAGAACCGATGGAGCAACCATGTGCTAGAGAGGCATGCGTGACCAGAAGGACGCCATGAGCTAATATCCCAGACAATGGGAAAAATGCCTTGAAGGAATTTCAGAGATCTTCAAGACTGGGCCTGCTCCCAGAAACCATTCTATTCTCCTGGGCCTCTGGGCGAGGAGATCCAGGGCCAGAGGCCCAGGAGAATAGAATGGTTTCAGGGGCCAGGCCTAGGGCCCCACTGCCCTGAGCAGCCTTGAGATATTGCTCCCCATATACTTGCTGCTCCAGCTATGTAATGGCTCAAAGGGGCCCAAGTACAGCTCAAACCACAGCTCCAGAAGGCACAAGCCTTAAGCCTTGGTGGTTTCCACATGGTGTTAAATCTGCAAGCGTGAAGGGGGCTTGGTGGCTACCACCTAGATTTCAGAGGATATATAGGAAAGACTGGGTGCCCAAGCAGAAGCTTGCCACAAGAGTGGAGCTCCTCACAGAGAAACTCTACCAGGGCAATGCTGAGGGAAAGTATGGAATTGGAGGCCCCATACAGAGTCTCCACCAGGACACTGTCTAGTGGAGCTGTGGGAAGGAAACCATTGTCCTCCAGAACCCAGAGTGGTAGATTCACTGGCAGCTTGAACCCTCTGCCCAGAAAAGCCACAAGCATACAACTGCAACCTGTGAGAGCAGCTATGTGTACTGTGTCCTGCAAAGCCACAGGCACAGGGCTACCCAAGTCCTTGGGGGCCCATCCTTCACAACATGCTGTGGAACATGAAGTCGAGGATTGTGTTGGAGCTTTAAGATTTAATGCCTGCCCTGCTGGGTTTCAGAGTTGTACAGGGTCTATTACCCCTTGCTTTTTGCCAATTTCTCCCTTTTGGAATGGTAATGCTTACCCAATGCCAGTAGCATCATTGTATTTTGGGACCAAATAACTCATTTTGATTTTACAGGCTCATAGGTGGAAGGAGATGAGTCTCAGATGAGACAGGACTTTAGACTTAATGTTGGAATGATTAAAAACTCTTGGGGCCTATTGGCAAGCGATAATTGTATTTTGCAATCTGAAAAGAACATGTGATTTGGGGGGGCCAGGGATGGAATGACAAGGTTTGGATGATTATCCCCTCCAAATCTCTTATTACAATGTAATCACCAATGTGGGAGGTGGGGCCTAGTGAGACGTATTAGATCATGGGGATAGATACCTCATGAATGGCTCCTTGGTGATGAGTAAATTCCTGGTCAGTTAGTTCATGTGAGATCCGGTTGTTAAAAAGAGTGAAGCACCTCCCCACTTTCTCTCCTGCTCCCACTCTCTCCATGTCATGTGCCTGCTCCCCCTTTGCCTTCTGTCATAATGATTACCTTCCTGAGGGGCTCACCACCACACTTCCTGTACAGCCAGCAGAACCAAGAGCCAGTTAAATCTCTTTTCTTTCTAAATTACCTAGCCTTGGGTATTTCCTTATAGTGATGCAAAAATGGACTAACACATGGTTGAAGAAATAGACAAATGAAAACTGGACTCATAGAAATGGTATACATGGCAAATAAATTAATGTTTAGTAAAGAATACTACAAATTGTCAAATGATAATATATTGACAATTATTATGATAGCTAGTTAAGCCACTTTCAAATAATGTCATAAAAGGTGATAATTTACACACTTTAAATATAAGGGAGTTGATTTCAGAAAAATAAAGCACCACTTAAATATTATATATTTAATGTCATTAAGGATACCTTAATAGTTAAAAGGAATATTAGCTTTGTAAAATAATTATCGTCATTGTGTGTACAATAAATTATCTTTACATATACGTACACATATATACATATATACACACACATATGTAAATATATACATACACATACATGCACATAAATACACACACATACATAGGTATGTATTTTCAAAAGCATGTACCTACAGGCACATTTGCTGTTAAGACATTAAGCACTGTTTAATTTCATCAATACTTTTGTCAAGTGAGAACGAATAGAGAAACAGACAAAAGTAGTCTTCTACTGTCCAAGGCTAATTGGAAATGCCAGAGTGAGAAAAATAATCATAATAGCAACCATTACCACCTCAGCTGTCCTCCTTAATCACAAGTGGATATTCCATTGCATCATTATTCTGCTACTACTACTCCATTCACTGTTTCACTCTAAGAAAGTTTCTGGTATTCCATTAATTTTTAAAGGGATTTTAATGGATGTCCTATGAATTTTCAATGAGCTATTTGAAGTTGGACAAACCTAATTAGGAACGTGTTTACTTTCTGTTTTTTTTTTTTCAGAGTGATTAATTTCACGCAAGACATTAACCTAATGTTACTCCAAAGAAAAAATAGAGAACATGAGGTACTACTTCTACACGCTAATGGACTGCTAATTTAAAAAACCAAATCAAGCATTAACTTGGAAGAGTCTTTTTCAACATATAAATTATTTCTGGTTAGCCTTTTATTTCCAGGTTAATTAAGAAAATCTTTTGGCCTTGATTTTAGCAATTAGTAAATGAAAATGTGTTTGAATTTACTTTGTTTTGTGATTTACACTAGAGAATCTATCAGTCAACACAGTTCCTTTGCTAACAGCTTTTGTAAAGTAAATGCTTTTATCTAGAAAAAGTCTTGCCAGTGGAAAACAACATACAAAAAATTATTAATTAACTAATTGGGCAGATAAAATCTCTGGAGTTTCTTGTGGGGTTGCCATAAAGAAACACACTATTTTTACATTTTCACAGTCGCCTCAGGCTTGGACAGTGTCCTCTGTCTCCTTAAGCACATGAAAAACACAGAAAATTTAGAATGCATTTCTCATGTTGTTTTATTTAATGGAAATCTAAAGAAGCAAAGCAACAAAAGCAATTCCTAAAATAAATGAATAAATTATGTACAAAAGCAGTACCAGGTAACAAAATATAGGAAGAAGAAACCTACACTAAAATCATGTTTGGAATGAATCAATCTGCATACTCAGACTCATCATTTTACACCATCATCACATTTATAATCAATTAACCTCAATATAATCTAGATATATTATTTTTGTATATGTCTTAAAAGTAGTCCTTCTACACCACCTTGAGCATACTAGCAACAACATACTGGCTGCCTATTTTAAATGTTATATAATTAGATACATCATGATTCAGATATAAATTCTTAACTACAGTTTTTCTGTTCTTCTAATAACATATGCATTTCTATTGCATATTGACATGTAATATGTCGCAAAATAAAAGTGGGTTCATTAAGTATCTCTTACCTGTTCACTTCAAGAAAATTTTAACTGCCAAGCATCCAATCACTGACAATTTCAGCTATATCAAACTTTTGTTCTATATAAAAGTGCACCTACAATCAATTTTCTGTGCAGTGACATTGCGATGTAAATATATCCCCAAGAGCAACAAGAAATGCTTACATCAAGTATTTAGGAGAAGAAAAAAAAATGCCTCAAACATGAAGTTAAACTAGAAACATGGCAAAACAACAGGCTCATAAGTATGAACCAGGAAAGTCCGAACTTTTCCTGAGACGTTGTCTTTATTTTCAAATCCTATGACCATAAATAATCTTTTAACTAATACATTTACCTGATTTCCCTAGAAGTTAGAAAGCCCATACATAAATTTATGGCTGGGAATTTGTTTTGTGGTGGTATGCAGTACATTGTGTTATGCATTTTACAGATCTTCATGTCCCCTGATTTCAATTCATTTTCCTATATATGATTTTCATTTTCTTTTGTTTTTCTAGTATGCACATTTAAAGGCTGGCATAAACTCTCCTTGAATGACCCAGATAACGTATCATTCAATAAACCAACCAATCAGGAAAAGTGCTCTTTCTAGCACCAGTTCATTACCCTCTATATAGCACTGGACATCAAAGCCATGGAAACAACACTTATTTTTTTTAAATTCAGAAAATGAGAAATTGTATTCCATTTTCATAGTTTATTAGCCAAGCAAATTTGATAAAATATTTGGTCATTTTGAACCTTTTTATTCATTTGCAAACATTGTTATTTTAATCTATTCCTTGTCCAGGCCTTAGGGTTGTAAGTATAAATTATGATAATGCATGTGAAACACAAATCCTAAAAAAAAAAATCAGAAAATTCCATAAGGATAGAGGTTATCAACACAAAAAGTGGTAGACATTGAATCTCCAAAAAATATGACTCAAAAACAACAACAACAACAAAAAACAAGGTAATCAGTGATGAATAATACTAGGTTTAATTTGTATGTAAGTTAGCAAGATTTTTAGTTTTCCTCCCTTAAGTGTTTTAAACCCACTGACAATGATTGAACTGAATGCAATCAACTTACTTCTGGAGCCTGAAGAGTTCCTCACGGCTGTGAAGGAGTCGGCACTCTGCCTGGCTGCTGCAGAAGACGGACAGAGTGAAAGCATCTCCAAAGCTGATTTCAGAGGACGGTGTCAAAAGATGGGTGCTCGGCTGCTACATATCTTCTCAACACCTGGATGAATGGTTACAGGGATTCTTCAAAGGAGGCAAGCACAAAAAAAGAGTGTATCAAAAAATGCTTATAAAGTATCCTTGAAAAATATAGTGGCTGTTAACTGGGTGATCAATCTCAAACTACAGCAGGAGTATCATGCAATATGATTTAAATATATTTGCATAATAAAGCTTTCCAATGGAATGTGCAACATACTGTGATTTCAATAAATATATTAGCATTCTCCTTTCCTTTTTGAAATAAGTTTTCTTATCAAAACTGAGGATAATTTAAATAATCTTAAGCTGTATAGTTCGATTTCATCATATTTAAATTAATTCAACTTGCAGTCTAATGTTAAAACAGTGCATAAGTTAACATATATTTAAGCATCACCTACTACTTACGAGTCATATGACAGTTAGCATATGGCAGTGAATGAACCTGAAAAACCCTTATCCTGATTAAACTAATAGTCTTATGTTGTTTTTCCCGTATATTTTTCAACAGAGAAAATCTGACTATTGCAACCTATATGTCTATGAAAGAAATACATAGGCATGCCATTTATTTTTTAACTTTATGTCAGAAGATTACTGATTTCAACCTCTTTTTGAGGTTTTCATGTCACTCTAAAGAATAGCTAACTTGGCTCTATAAAACACAATACTTAACTTTCTTTCCTATAAGATTACTATGTAATAGTACAAATTGATATTCAATCACTGATATTTGTAATGCAGAAATAGGCTGAATTTTTAAAACGTTCTTGAAATTAATAAAAGCATTGTAATTTTACTTTAACTATAACTTATTTTGTCTGAAGAAGCGAAAGTGAGAAATAATGAAATTCCAAAGCATAATAATAAAAAACAGACCTAAGATGAAACAGCAACTTGAGTTTAGCTTATTATTTCTGCTGCCTCCACTTGTAAAGATATATGAATGATCTTATAGAGTCAAAATTTAAAGAAGTGATTATATTGTCTTAAGATACTCAATAATTAGGAATTTATTTAAAAAGGAAAATTAAGCTATTGCTTAATTTAATACTGATATGGTCAGAAATACTAAAAATCAAGGCACAGATTACTTGTGCAATTAAATAAAAGTAAATTATAGCTTATATATTTCAATTATTTATCTGAATCTGTCAATCAATGCTGTATCTTTTTGAAATTTATGTTTACTATAGCATTTTAGAATAACTGGGACATACCACATACACAAATATGAATATAAATCAATCATTTGACAACCATGTTGATACAGCAATTGTTTGCCTTTTCATTTATTTCCTTCCATGAATATATTTTAAGCTAACTTTCACATTCATATATGCATGACAAAAACATCAGAAATCCAATAGTACATCTTCCTCCAAAGTAAGATGTCCTCCTCGGAGAAAACCAATTTCACATTTTAGAACATTCTTTCAGAAATAGTTTGTGTGTGTATGTATGTGTGTGCGTTTGTAAATTTTTGTACATATATCAGAATACTTTGCTCTGTTGTGCCCTGTTTTTTTTTTTTTTTTTTCCTCCTTTTTTTTTGAGACGGAGTCTCGCTCAGTAGCCCAGGCTGGAGTGCAGTGGCGCGATCTCGGCTCACTGCAACCTCCGCCTCCCGGGTTCACGCCATTCTCCTGCCTCAGCCTCCCGAGTAGCTGGGAATACAGGCGCCCGCCACTACGCCCGGCTAATTTTTTTGTACTTTTAGTAGAGACGGGGTTTCACTGTGTTAGCCAGGATGGTCTCGATCTCCTGACCTCGTGATCCGCCCGTCTCGGCCTCCCAAAGTGCTGGGATTACAGGCGTCAGCCACCACGCCCGGCCTGTGCTCTGTTTCTTTAACGTCTTGAAAAACATTCCATTTCTGTCTTCTAGCATGAATCCATCCATTCTAACAGTGCACATCTACCATAAGCGTAATCTTAGCTGGTAAAGTATCTTAACTGAAAAAGTACACCTTTCTGGGATTTTGTTGTTATAAAAATAATATTTATATGAATATATATGTATTCTGCATATATAATCATATATATGTATTCTGCATATATAATCATATATATGTATTCTGCATATATAATCATATATATGTATTCTGCACACATGTTAGTAAATACAGGCACAATATATTCCTAAATAAACTGTTTAGGTTAAAACACCTCATTGTCCGTGCAGCTCTGATCATGTTTCTTTCTTTGTAGTAAAGATGCAGTATAAAAAATAAATCTGAATTCTGTAATTACATTTTCTATTATTTCATTATGGTAGCAAAATATAAAGGCCTCAAAATATCATCCTAACTCCCCCTAAAACATACTGTTGACCAACAGTAGGTCTATGTCTTTATTTTAGCATGAAAAGCACAGTAACAACTGAAATTCCTACCTAAATTATAATTTCCCAGAGAAAATTTATTGTCTATATGGTCACATTACTAATGAGAACAGCATTTCCTTTTTTGTAATCATACCTTTTATTAAGATTTACTATGTGCCAGCTACCATAAAACATGTGTTAACTTAAAAAAATTCTCTTAAGAATCAAATGAGGTAAATACATATTTCTATTTTAGTGCTACAAAAATGCAAGGACAGAGAAAGGTCAACTAACCTTGGGCAAGCTCATATAGGTAAATAGCAAAATGAGGACTCTCACCTAGGGCTATCTCACTCTATGAAATGTCTTATATCTCATAATGTAAGTGACATTTTCAAAAAAATCCATAAGGATTCTATATTAAAGTAAGGTGTTATTTTTTTAGTCCATATATTTTGGTCAATGCAATGACCAAAGAGGGAAAATTCAGATTTGAGATTCTAATACTACATTTTCTAGTGTTACCATACAAAGATTTTTTTTTGTTGATATTATGTTGAAATGGAACATCCTATAAAAAATTATGGTCAATTTCTTAGTTCCAAGTTGTTACATTCTTAGCATAGTCTTAGAAAATTCAGCAACTGTTATTGTTTATGTACATATATTTCCAAGAAATATAGTTCTCCCTCTAACAATTATTGTGGATGCCATATTAGTCTGTTCTCATGCTGCTAATAAAGACATAACTGAGGCTGGGTAATTTATAAAGGAAAAACATTTAATGGACTCACAGTTCCACATGGCTGGGGAGGCCTCACAATCATGTCAGAGGATGAAGTAAGAGCAAAGGGACATCTTACATGGCGGCAGGCAAGAGAGCATATGCAGGGGAACTCCCCTTTATAAAATCATTACATCTTATGAGACTTATTCACTATCACCAGAACAGCTTTGGAAAGACCTGCACCCATGATTCAATTCCTTCCCACCATGTCCCTCCCACGACACGACACATGGGCATTACTGAAGCTACAATTCAAGATGAGATTTGGGTGAGGACAAAGCCAAACCACATAAGGTGCCAATACTAAACTCAGAAAGAACTTAGAAAAAATGGGCAAAGCTCTAGAAGTTATTAGAAAATATGTATTTAAAAGTGAGAATCATTACCTCCTCCAGCACCAAATGATACTTTCTTATCCTCTAGGATATCTTTACTAAGTGTTCATCAATTGCCTGAACATATACATTGGTAAGAGCCTTAAAATCAACAAAGGTAGGACTTTAAAGTCTTCTAGACCAAGGCTGAAATCACAACTGTGACCATTTTTCTCTTTCAAAATGAAAACAGTTACAAAAAGTTGTAATTATTTCAAGATACAATGTATGTGAAAGTACTCATCATAAAACCTTATACATTATAGGCATTGCAACAGTTTTGTTACCCTTAGAAAATTCTTCCTAAACCTGCCCTAAGTTTTGACCCATTGAAAGCCCTTGAAATACTTGAAGACACCAGAATATTATCTCACATATTCCCTTCATTTTAAATATTCATAACATTTGAAAAATTATGAATCCATCAAATGGTATCATTACCAATCATTTCTCCCTAGAATTCCTAATAGTACAAAATAAAGAATGAGTTGTTCTACCTTTATTTTTAGCTATATTTACTTTGTGTTAAAAATGATTAGAAAATAAACAGCCAGATGTTTTGGCCTACATGATGCAAAAACCAGCTGTTTTGAAATATATAAATAATTGAATCATATGGTTTTACTACAGTTCATTCAATTACTTATTTATACTTATGTAATAATATATTGAGATAAAATAGCCATTATCTTTTGGGGGATTACTCCAAAACTGAGGTTATAAGATAGGAAATTCTATTTTATTAAAACAAATGACTTGAAAAATAATTTGGGACACAAGCAAAAAATTGAAAATTACTCCATATTAATGAGTTTGTTAAAGCATAATTATTCAGAAATTCATATAAACACTATTATTAAAACATGCTTGCCTCACCATTAATACTGCTAAACCTACTTTAAAAGTAAATTAGAGGCAATGATTGAATATGAAAATGCATTTGTTATTGGAAAAAATGTAGCACCATATCCTTGGCTATAGGAAAACTTTTACAAATTATTACACACATCCAAGATCATATGACAAATAAATTAATACACTGCTAGAGCATTTATTGCTTAATGTAAATGTCACATTGTAAACGAGAACAACTAATCATTCCTTTCCTCTAATAGCAAGAGTTCAGCAGTTAAATAAAGCATAAATCTTGCTGACCTAAAAATTTTATTACTGCATTTGTAATATCTTGTTAACAACTAACAGAAAATAACATTAAGGGATACTGTATTTCAGTAAGCTAGAACTTAGGTGAAGGTTTTTTTTTTTTTTTTTCAGGGTGTGAAGACAGAGGGTGGGTAGAGGTTGTGCTTGCTTTTCATTGTTTTTAAAGAAATGACTCATTCACTATGTTTCATAGTAATAGTTTAAAATAAGATATTCTCACCACATACAAAAAAGAGATGCTAAATTAATAACTGATTCAGTGAAAACCAAAATGTATTATTATAATTTAAATTTAATTACAAAATTTCTGATTAGTAGATAGTGGTTGTAAAATTCCTCTACAAAAAATAAACAAAAGAAATGTAAAACCAGGCCCAGATGAAGACCCCAGAGCTATCAAAGTACTTTTACTTGCACAACAATATTTTGTCAAATGATAGAATCAAAATAATCCAAAATAATAACAAAAATACTTCAAATAATGACTTCACAATTTAAATTTACTCTGCTAAAATTTTTCTTGATATTTATCAGAAATTCAAAGTGTTATAAACTTTTTTTTCCCTGAAGACAACTTTGGCACATCTTCATCCCTTGGTGAAATGAGAGAGTGGTCCTTTGACTTCATTTGCTAGCTCATGTTGTGCTCTGACAATGTAAATGTCAGGCCTACTCTGTTCTTTGGACCATAGGGAAAAACAAAATACAACATTATTGTCGCTCTTAGTGGTTTGGCAAAAGTCAGCAGACAGATAGTATGGTCACACTAATATGTATGTCAGTTTATCTCTTTGGTAATGATCTTTTTTCAATTAAAACAGAATATCAGTTTGTGCCTATCAATAGAATAATTATCACTTTTTATCTACATACCGTATTTTCTTCTTTCTTCCCTTCTCCCTTCTTTCTTTTTTCCTGTATCCCCCATTTCTTCCTTCCCTCCCTCTCTCCTTTCCTTCCTTCCTCTCTTTCTCCTGCCTCCCTCCCTCTCTCTTTTTCCCTTCAGTAACTCAACAACTTATACTTAAACCTTTTGTCCATTAGTATTTAAATGGTTATAATACCTACATCAGGGTGTCACTGTGAATGTTATTGGATATATTACATACATGCACACAACTGCGTATGCACATGCACCCAAGTACCATAACCTGAAAAAAAATGTTTTATATAAATCAATATCTTATCTATTTCAAGTTTGTTTGACCTGATTTTTGACCTCTTTCCACTACTTCCATCAGGGGCCCAATTTAGGTTCATGTCAGGAGGAGGTGGCAAATCTTTATTAGTCCAAATGGACATTGGGGCTTACTGTGAACATCATGTTAGCTGATTATTGGATAATAGCAAATCTCCGTGTTAGTGTATTCATGGAGGTTTTATCTCCATCTAATCCCTAACCATGTTGTTCTATAATATAATCCCCTTATGTAGATCCTTTATATCTACCAGTTTTCACCTTCCCTCCTTTTCTCCCCTCTTCTGTGTCCCGTCCCTCCCTGTTTCCTCTTTCTTCTCTCTATCCCTCCCTGATTCCCTTCTTTCCTTCCTCCCTCCCTCTCTCATCCTTCATTTATTCCTCCTTTGCATGTTAAATCAGAAATCATTTCATAAAGAAACCATAATACTGCACATTTTATAAACATACAAATTTTTAAAAACCCAATTCAGTAGAATTTCAAAACATTTATATTACATTATGTCCTCTCTTTAGCGTTCTGATTCATGTGTAAATGTGTAGAAGCCAGATCAATTTTTTAATGTGCAAATGAGAAAGTGCAAGTTCTGTTTGTTTATTAATATTCATAATACAAGTAATACATGAGTACATTATTCTTTTAAAATTAGATATAATAGAAGCAAGGCACAGTGACACATGCCTGTAATCACAGCTGCTTTGGAAGACTGAGGTGGCAAGACTGCTTGAGCCCAGTAGAACAAGCCCAGCCTACGCAACATAGTAAGACCCTATGTCTGAATATTAAGAAATAAATGTTTATTTATTTATTTATGGATGAGGGAGAGAATTATTTGTGGCTATACGTGTAGCAGAATGTATCATGTTAACTGAACTTTTCCGTATTTTTACTGTGTTCATGTATACCTACATATGTGATAAAATTTAGAAAACTAAATAGAAGCAAATACAAATACATATAAAATTGGTAAAAATCTGATAAGGTCAGTGGGTCGTACGAATGACAGTTTCTTGGTTGCGATATTGTACTACAGTTATGCAAGATGTAACCACTGGAAAAAACCAGGTATAAGATATGTGGGAATCCCTCTGTGTTATTTCCACGACTGCATGAAAATTTACATAATAGCGCATCATCTGCCTTAGGGCGGACTTACGTGTGAACAGTTTCAGGACTGCAATCTTAGCACTTTACTAGAAAATGAATATCTAGAAAAACATGCTTAATTGTCACAGTGAATTATTTGTCCTTATTAAACCACATTTGAAATACAGTGTGTCTCACAGAAAACTAGAAAAAATATAAAACTATCAGTCAATGAAAAGCTCTGAATTGCTATTTGCTTTGGGTACCAGACCACATCAATGGCATTATAGCAAAGCACAGAGATTACATTTTGTACCAGGTATGTAATATGGTAAAATGACCAACTACTAAGTGCACTCCTGGACTGGTGTTAATCAGAGTCTTTACCTGTGCTTGTCTAATTGCGTTTCCCTTTATTAGCCAATAAAATAAAATAAAATGCTGTTTTCTGGTGCTCTCTCTGTGTGTGTGTGTGTGTGTGTGTGTGTGTGTGTGTGTGTGTGTGTGTGTGTAGAGAGAGAGAATATACTTTATAATGGTCACTGTAAAAATACTGGAACATATATATTAAAGTCAGTGGGTTGAACATGAGACTGTAAGTCCTGGGAAACTATTAAGCAATTGAAAATTAGATTCATAGATAGTTAAGAGAGATTTTGAAATAAACTCAGAAAAACTAAGGACCACATGGAGTATGGGAGTTTCGAAGAACTGCAAATATTCTGAAAAGCAATATGGGTGTGAGAAATATCTACAAGCACGAGAAGCACCTTTTTGGGAAGGAGGACTTAAAAACACATTACAATGACAGGAAAGAACTAAGAGTTTTGATGTGAGAGGTATTACACTTTAAAATGTACCATCCTAATGGTACATCATGTGATGTACCACGTGTCTTAGATCTCTTATTGGCCTGTAAGCTCTTTGAGGTCCAGGAATATAATATGAATAATTGTATGCCCTGCAGCATCTAGCACCTTCACCTACATACAACAAATTACATTTTTAACTGCAAATGAGGAAAAATCACATAGTAAAAAACATTCAAAGAAGTCATCTCTTGAGGAGAAAGTTTCCAAAAGAAAAGATGACTCAAAAAGAAGAGAATATTTTAAAAAGGAAAATTAAATGATGCAATTAGAAATTATTTCGATAGAGAGGTCATTGGAAACAAAGTTAAACTATGAAGGCTGTATGGGACAAATTTTCCATAAGGTCAGATTATAAACAGTCATGTATAAAAGACAAAGGAAGAATGAAGAACTAAAGATGAATACAAAATAATGTTTGCAAAGCATTTTCAGACACATTATTTTATTAGACCGTAACCCTGCTGTCCTTGGTCTTTTCTTGTTCAGCATTTTAACATTGACTTAAGAAAGGACATAAGAAATTAAACTTGTTAAATCTGTGAATCTGTGACTGACACAAAGCTGGGATTTTAAAATGTCTCCATAGGCTTATGAATGGGCCAAGACTGTCAAAATGAAATACAGTAAAGCCAAAGTAAAGAGGCTTAGATTTAGAAACTTAACTATTAAAGTACAGGCAAGGGTTACTTCTTTGAAAGTAGTTTATATGAAATACACATAAGGGATTAATTGTCTCTATGATCCTTAATGGTCAATAGTTTCAGGACTGCAATCTCAGCATTCATTAATAGAAAAGATACATCCAGAAGAACAAGTTTAATAGTCATATTGAAATATGTCATCCTTATCAAGCCACATCTGGAAAACAATGTGTCTCATTATGAACTTGGTGAAACATGCCAAGAGACAAAAACTCAAGGAAATCTGGCAAGCACTGCAACTAAAAAGTGGTTGGAAAAACCTTGGAAATTTTAGCTTGAGAAAGAGATATGATAAAGAGAAGACACCTTCAAAGGCCATTTGAAAGCATAATTTGGAAAGAAGGATAAGAGTTGCATGGGGGCTCTACTTTTACATTAAGAATATACTATTAGGATAGTCCCATATTAGTATGAGCCACCATGGAAAAAGTGAGTGAATTGATTTCTGATAGCTCACTCTATATGGGTACCAAAAATGACATTCTTCTGGAGCCAAGATGGCCGAATAGGAACAGGTCCAGTCTACAGCTCCCAATGTGAGCCACGCAGAAGACTGGTGATTTCTGCATTTCCAACTGAGGTACCGGGTTCATCTCACTGGGGAGTGTCAGACAGTGGGTGCAGTACAGTGGGTGCAGCGCACCGAGCGTGAGCCAAAGCAGGGCAAGGCATCGCCTCACCTGGCAAGCGCAAGGGGTCAGGGAATTCCCTTTCCTAGTCAAAGAAAGGGGTGACAGATGGCACCTGGAAAATTGGGTCACTCCCACCCTAATACTGTGCTTTTCCAATGGTATTAGCAAATGGCACACCAGAAGATTATATCCCACACCTGGCTCGGAGGGTCCTACGCCCACGGAGCCTCACTCATTGCTAGCACAGCAGTCTGAGATCAAACTGCAAGGCGGCAGCGAGGCTGGGGGAGGGGCGCCCACCATTGCTGAGGCTTGAGTAGGTAAACAAAGCGGCCAGGAAGATTGAACTGGGTGAAGCCCACCACAGTTCAAGGAGGCCTGCCTGCCTCTGTAGACTTCACCTCTGGGGGCAGGGCATAGCCAAACAAAAGGCAGCAGAAATCTCTGCAGACTTAAATGTCCCTGTCTGACAGCTTTGAAGAGAGTAGTGGTTCTCCCAGCACGCAGCTGGAGATCTGAGAACAAACAGACTGCCTCCTCAAGTGGGTCCCTGACCCCCGAGTAGCCTAACTGGGAGGCACCCCCTAGTAGGGGCAGACTGACACCTCACACGGCCGGGTACTCCTCTGAGACAAAACTTCCAGAGGAACGATCAGGCAGCAACATTTGCTGTTCACCAATATCCTCTGTTCTGCAGCCTCTGCTGCTGATACCCAGGCAAACAGGATCTGGAGTGGACCTCCAGCAAACTCCAACAGACTTGCAGCTGGGGGTCCTGACAGTTAGAAGGAAAGCTAATAAACAGAAAGGACACCCACACCAAAACCCCATCTGTACGTCACCATCATCAAAGACCAAAGGTAGATAAAACCACAAAGATGCGGAAAAAACAGAGCAGAAAAACTGGAAACTCTAAAAATCAGAGCACCTCTCCTCCTCCAAGGGAATGCAGCTCCTCACCAGCAATGGAACAAAGCTGGACGGAGAATGATTTTGACGAGTTGAAAGAAGAAGGCTTCAGACGATCAAACTACTCTGAGCTAAAGGAGGAAGTTCGAACCCATGGCAAAGAAGTTAAAAACCTTGAAAAAAAATTAGACGAATGGCTAACTAGAATAACCAATGCAGAGAAGTCCTTAAAGGACGTGATGGAGATGAAAACCATGGCACGAGAACTACGGGACCAATGCACAAGCCTCAGTAGCCGATTCGATCAACTGGAAGAAAGGGTATCAGTGATGGAAGATGAAATGAAGCGAGAAGACAAGTTTAGAGAAAAAAGAATAAAAAAGAAACGAATAAAGCCTCCAAGAAATATGGGACTATGTGAAAAGGTCAAATCTACGTCTGAATGGTGTACCTAAAAATGACGGGGAGAATGGAACCAAGTTGGAAAACCTCTGCAGGATATTATCCAGGAGAACTTCCCCAATCTAGCGAGGCAGACCAACATTCAAATTCAGTAAATACAGAGAATGCCACAAAGATACTCCTCGAGAAGAGCAACTCCAAGACACATAATTGTCAGATTCACTAAAGTTGAAATGAAGGAAAAAATGTTAAGGGCAGCCAGAGAGAAAGGTCGGCTTACCCACAAAGGGAAGCCAATCAGACTAACAGCTGATCTCTCGGCAGATACTCTACAAGCCAGAAGAGAGTGGGGGCCAATATTCAACATTTTTAAACAAAAGAATTTTCAACCCAGAATTCCATATCCAGCCAAACTAAGCTTCATAAGTGAAGGAGAAATAAAATACTTTACAGACAAGCAAATGCTGAGAGATTTTCTCACCGCCAGGCCTGCCCTAAAAGGGCTCCTGAAGAAAGCACTAGACGTGGAAAGGAACATCCGGTACCAGCCACTGCAAAATCATGCCAAATTGTAAAGACCATCGAGGCTAAGAAGAAACTGCATCAACTAATGAGCAAAATAACCAGCTAACATCATAATGACAGGATCAAATTCACACATAACAATATTAACCTTAAAGGTAAATGGGATAAATGCTCCAATTAAAAGACACAGACTGGCAAATTGGATAAAGAGTCAAGGCCCATCAGTGTGCTGTATTCAGAAAACACATCTCATGTGCAGAGACACACATAGGCTCAAAATAAAGGGATGGAGGAAGATCTACCAAGCAAATGGAAAACAAAAAAAGGCAGGGGTTGCAATCCTAGTCTCTGATAAAACAGACTTTAAACCAACAAAGATCAAAAGAGACAAAGAAGGCCATTACATAATGGTAAAGGGATCAATTCAACAAGAAGAGCTAACTATCCTAAATATATAGGCACCTAATACAGGAGGACCCAGATTCATAAAGCAAGTCCTTAGAGACCTACAAAGAGACTTAGACTCCCACACAATAATAATGGGAGACTTTAACACCCCACTGTCAACATCAGACAGATCAATGAGACAGAAAGTTAACAAGGATATCCAGGAACTTAACTCAGCTCTGCACCAAGCGGACCTAATAGACATCTACAGAACTCTCCACCCCAAATCAACACAATATACATTCTTCTCAGCACCACACTGCACTGATTCCAAAATTGACCACATAGTTGGAAGTAAAGCTCTCCTCAGCAAATGTAAAAGAACAGAAATTATAACAAACTGTCTCGCAGACCACAGTGCAATCAAACTAGAACTCAGGATTAAGAAACTCACTCAAAACTGCTCAACTACATGGAAACTGAACAACCTGCTCCTGAATGACTACCGGGTACATAACGAAATGAAGGCAGAAATAAAGATGTACTTTGAAACCAACGAGAACAAAGACACAACATACAAGAATCTCTGGGACACATTCAAAGCAGTGTGTAGAGGGAAATGTATAGCACTAAATGCCCACAAGAGAAAGCAGGAAAGATCTAAAATCGACACCCTAACATCACAATTAAAAGAACTAGAGAAGCAAAAGCAAACATATTCAACAGCTAGCAGAAGGCAAGAAATAACTAAGATCAGAGCAGAACTGAAGGAAACAGAGACACAAAAAACGCTTCAAAAATCAATGAATCCAGGAGCCGGTTTTTTGAAAAGATCAACAAAATTGATAGACCACTAGCAAGACTGATAAAGAAGAAAAGAGAGAAGAATCAAATAGACACAATAAAAAATGATAAAGGGGATATCACCACCAATCTCACAGAAATACAAACTACCATCAGAGAATACTATAAACACCTCTACGCAAATAAACTAGAAAATCTAGAAGAAATGGATAAATTCCTCGATGCATAAACCCTCCCAAGACTAAACCAGGAAGAAGTTGAATCTCTGAATAGACCAATAACAAGCTCTGAAATTGAGGCAATAATTAATAGCTTACGAACCAAAAAAAAGTCCAGGACCAGATGGATTCACAGCCGAATTCTACCAGAGGTACAAGGAGGAGCTGGTACCATTCCTTCTAAAACTATTCTGATCAATAGAAAAAGAGGAAATCCTCCCTAACTCATTTTATGAGGTCAGCATCATCCTGATACCAAAGCCTGGCAGAGACACAACAAAAAAAGAGAATTTTAGACCAATATCCCCGATGAACATCGATGCAAAAATCCTCAATAAAATACTGGCAAACCGAATCCAGCAGCACATCAAAAAGCTTATCCACCATGATCAAGTGGGTTTTATCCCTGTGATGCAACGCTGGTTCAATATACGTAAATCAATAAACATAATCCAGCATACAAACAGAACCAAAGACAGAAACCACATGTTTATCTCAATAGATGCAGAAAAGGCCTTTGACGAAATTCAACAGCCCTTCATGCTAAAAACTCTCAATAAATTAGGTATTGATGGGACGTATCTCAAAATAATAAGAGCTATCTATGACAAACCCACAGCCAATATACTGAATGGGCAAAAACTGGAAGCATTCCCTTTGAAAACTGGCACAAGACAGGGATGCCCTCTCTCACCACTCCTATTCAACATAGTGTTGGAAGTCCTGGCCAGGGCAATCAGGCAGGAGAAGGAAATAAAGGGTATTCAATTAGGAAAAGAGAAAGTCAAATGGTCCCTGTTTGTAGATGACATGATTGTTTATCTAGAAAACCCCATCGTCTCAGCCCAAAATCTCCATAAGGTGAAAGGCAACTTCAGCAAATTCTCAGGATACAAAATCAATGTGCAAAAATCACAAGCATTCTTATACACCAATAACAGACAAACAGAGAGCCAAATCATGAGTGAACTCCCATTCACAATTGCTTCAAAGAGAATAAAATACCTAGGAATCCAACTTACAGGGGATGTGAAGGACCTCTTCAAGGAGAACTACAAACCACTGCTCAATGAAATAAAAGAGGATACAAACAAATGGAAGAACATTCCATGCTCATGGGTAGGAATAAGCAATATTGTGAAAATGGCCATACTGCCCAAGGTAATTTATAGATTCAATGCCATCCGCATCAAGCTACCAATGACTTTCTTCAGAGAATTGGAGAAAACAACTTTAAAGTTCATATGGAACCAAAAAAGAGCCCGCATCGCCAAGTCAATCCTAAGCCAAAAGAACAAAGCTGGAGGCATCATGCTACCTGACTTCAAACTATACTACAAGGCTACAGTAACCAAAACAGCATGGTACTGGTACCAAAACAGAAATATAGACCAATGGAACAGAACAGAGCCCTCAGAAATAATGCCGCATATCTACAACTATCTGATCTTTGACAAATCTGACAAAAACAAGAAATGGGGGAAGGTTTCCCTATTTAATAAATGGTGCTGGGAAGACTTGCTAGCCATATGTAGAAAGCTGAAACTGGATCCCTTCCTTACACCTTATACAAAAATTAATTCAACATGGATTAAAGACTTAAATGTTAAACCTAAAACCATAAAAACCCTAGAAGAAAACCTAGGCATTACCATTCAGGACATAGGCATGGGCAAGGACTTCATGTCTAAAACACAAAAAGCAATGGCAACAAAAGCCCAAATTGACAAATGGGATCTAATTAAACTAAAGAGCTTCTGCACAGCAAAAGAAACTACCATCAGAGTGAACAGGCAACCTACAGAATGGCAGAAAATTTTTGCAATATACTCATCTGAGAAAAGGGCTAATATCCAGAATCTACAATGAACTGAAACAAATTTACAAGAAAAAAACAAACAACCCCATCAAAATGTGGGCAAAGGATATGAACAGACACTTCTCAGAAGAAGACATTTAGCAGCGAAAAGACACATGAAAAAATGCTCATCATCACTGGCCATCAGAGAAATGCAAATCAAAACCACAATGAGATATCATCTCACACCAGTTAGAATGGCAATCATTAAAAAGTCAGGAAACAACAGGTACTGGAGAGGATGTGGAGACATAGGAACACTTTTACACTGTTGGTGGGACTGTAAACTAGTTCAACCATTGTGGAAGTCAGTGTGGCGATTCCTCAGGGATCTAGAACTAGAAATACCATTTGACCCAGCCATCCTATTACTGGATATATACTCAAAGGATTATAAAACATGCTGCTATAAAGACACATGCACATGTAAGTTTATTGTGGCACTACTCAAAATAGCAAAGACTTGGAACCAACCCAAATGTCCATAAATGATAGACTGGATTAAGAAAATGTGGCACATATACACTATGGAATACTATGCAGCCATAAAAAATGATGAGTTCATGTCCTTTGTAGGGACATGGATGAAGCTGGAAACCATCATTTTCAGCAAACTGTCGCAAGGACAAAAAACCAAACACTGCATGTTCTCACTCATAGATTGGAATTGAACAATGAGAACACATGGGCACAGGAAGGGGAACATCACACACCGGGGCCTGTTGTGGGTTGGCGGGAGAGGGGAGGGATAACATTAGGAGATATGCCTAATGTTAAATGACAAGTTAATGGGTGCAGCACACCAACATGCCATATGTATACATATGTAACAAACCTGCACATTGTGTATATGTACCGTAAAACTTAAAGTATAATTTTAAAAAAATGACATTCTTGTGTGGGACTTAAGTTTGGAGGAGATTGGTCCTAAGGATTCTGTCTGATGCTAATGTCCTGTGAGACTGCCTTTAGTAAGATACTTAAGGTTAAGTTAACCCTATGCTCAAAGTCAAACTGACTTCTCTGCATCCTCAGAGTGTGCATCTGCTTGGAGAGACTTCCAAAGATGAGATAAACAGATACATTGTATGTATCACCAGTGACTTTATAATGTGATAAACATTTAAAACTAAATATAAGTGTGAATATTTATCTCATCTCCTTGAACATATCTAGAAGTCCATTCTTAAGCCAATACATATGTGCATTGGAGGAATGAAAAATATATATATGTGGAAGGATTATAATTTCAATTTTTTTTCAATATATTCTAATTTGTGATTTTGATGCTTGACCACGGGAGCTGTAATTCCATTTATAGCTCTAAAAGTATGTGCATTTGAATTTTACCATAGTGCTATTAACACCGAACTTTATTAACAAGAGCATAATTTGATTTTCTTCTTTAGAGTGATTACATGCTGAAATGGTTTGGCTCCCTGTTCTCACCCAAATCTCATCTTGAATTATAATTGTGTTGAGGGAGGGCCCTAGTGGGAGGTGATTGATCATTGGGGCAGTTTCCCCTGTGCTCTTCTCATGATAGTGAGGGGGCTCTGACAAGATCTGATGGTTTTAAAAGTAGCATGTTCTCACTCATAAGTGGGAGGTGAACAATGAGAACACATGGACACAGGGCGGGGAACATCACACACTGGGGCCTGTCGGGACGTAGGGGGCTGAGGGAGGGATAGCATTAGGAGAAATACCTAATGTAGATGATGGGTTGATGGGTGCAGCAAACCAACATGGCACGTGTATACCTATGTAACAAAACTGCACGTTGTGCACGTGTACCCTAGAACTTAAGGTATAATAATAATTTTTAAAAAGTGGCAGTTTCCCCTGTGTGCTCTCTTCTGCCACCTTGTGAAGAAGGTGCCTGCTTCCCCTTTGCCTTACTCCAGGATTTTAAGTTTTCTGAGGCCTCCCCAGCAATGCAAAACTCTGTCAATTAAACTTCCTTTGTTTATAAATTACCCAGTCTTAGGTAGTATCCTTACAGCAGTTTGAAAATGGACTAATACACATGCATTAGCCAAATAATTTTGCGTAAGTGGTAACTGAGATCACAATACAATGAAAGCAAATTTTAATATTTAATATATGTACTTTATTATTTTCAAAGCTTTGTTACATACATTATTTTATGTGACCTTCAAAATAATATTACAAAGCAGGTATCACAGTTATCATTTGCTCTCATTTTCAAGGCCCAAAGATGATGTCTCTTGCACAGGTCTATGCCACTATTTGCTGGCAGGTAAAACAACAAACTATAGAATCTCTTTCCATTATCTCTCTCTCTATATAGAAATATATATACATGAAATCTTATATACATATAAAAAATCTTATATATATATATATATATATATATATATAAGAAAAGTTACTCAGCCTCAAGAAATTCCAACTAAGCCATGACATTAAGAGAGAAGAAAACTGATAACATTATACAGGATGTAAACAATAAGAAATAAAATGGAAATTTAATTTATAGGGACCAAATTGTAAAATTACTTACACACAATTTTTCTAGTTTATTTTGGAGCTAAGGACAATATATGTTTAAACTTATCTCATCATATCAAAATGAATAAGCCAAACAGAAAATATGTTTTAATATAGAAAAGAAAGTTAGAGAGACAGTTTCAAAATGTGCATGTCTCCCTATTGATGTTAACTAAAAGTTACCATTTTTGATATTTTATTTAAATATGTGCTAGTTGTCTAACATCAGTAACCCAATTCTTAATTCTGGCATTGATTTAGTGATAATGAACTTTCAACATTAGGATGAAAATTTTCTCATCTAATTAGTGAACTTATTTTAACTTTTATTTTAGGTTTGGAGGTACATATGAAGGATTGTTACACAGGTAAACATGTGTCATGGGAGTCTGCGGTACATATTATTTCATCACCCAGGTATTAAGCCCAATATCCAATAGTGATCTTTGCTTCTCCTCTCCCTCCTCCCACTCAAATAGACCCCAGCGTCTATTGTTTCCTTCTTTGCATTCATAAGGTCATATGGTTTCACTTTCACTTATAAGTGAGAGCGTGCAGTATTTGGTTTTCTGTTCCTGTGTTAGTTTGCTAAGGATAATAGCCTCCAGCTCCTTCCATGTTCCCGCAAAAGACATCATCTCTATATACACCATGGAATACTATAGCTGTATAATATTTCGTAGTGTATATGTAGCACATTTTTTATGGAATCTATCATTAAATCAATGAATGTTTGTTAATTCAATGTCTATGACATCCTTTGGTTCTATTTGCACTCAGTTCTTGCTTTATTATAAGTCAGTATTTCACTACCTCTGGCATGCATTAATACAATAGCTTTATAAATGGATTCAGTCTTATAAGACAATACAGTTTTATAAGACAATACAACATATTCTGGATTGTTACTGTTTGCATACGTCTCTCAACGCTCATGTATTGGAAATTTAATTGTCATTGCAACAGTATTAAGAGGTGAGGCCTTTAAGAGGTGATTAGGTAATGAAGGCTCTGTCCTCGTAAATGGTTAAATTACATTATTTTGGGAGTGGCCAAGTTATCATAACAGTGAGTTCATTATAAAACATATGAGTTTGCCAATTATTCTCTGTCTGGTGTCCTCACTTCCACCTTCAGCCCTTCTATCATGGAGTGACCCTTGCCAGATGCTGGTGCCATGCTATAGAATCCACTGCCTCCAGAACTACAAGATAAATAAATTTATATATATATATATAAAATATCCTGTCTGTGGTATTCTGTTATAGCAGCAGAAAATAGAGTAGGTCATCCATATTTTTATTTTGCCAACACTGTAATGATTACCTTTAAATGCAAATGAAATTATGTGTCACATATGAAATTCTAGTGTACCATTAAAAGCCCATACGCATCTGGCTTTCACCATTCCTCACACTAAGCTGTATTCATACTGAACCATACATTTTTTTCTGAGTTTTTAATATTGGGGTAAAAATGCACAACACATTTACTATTTAATAGTTTTTAGTGCACAATTTAGTAGTATTGTGTACATTTATACTGTTGCACAACCATCATTACCACTCTTCTCCAGAACTCTTTTCATCTTGCAAAACTATTAAAAAATAACTCTCCATTATCCCCTACCTGAAGCCCCTTGCAATCACCATTCCACTGTCAGTTGCTATGTTTGGGACTACTCTAAGTTCCCTCTATAAGTGGAGTCCTATAATATTCTTTTGTAATTGGCATATTTTATTTAGCATAATCTCCTCAACATTTATCCATGCTCTATCATATATAAGTTGTTTTTTCCTTTATGAGGCTAATATTCCATTGCATATATATACCATTACCTTAGCCATTTGTCTGCTAATGGACAGGTGAATTGTTTCCAACTTTTAGCTTTGTGACTAATATAATTTTAAACATGGATATACAAATACATTTTTTGATATCTTGCTTTCTATTCTTTCCACTTCTATACCCCAAAGTGGAATTACTGAATCACAGTAGTTCTATTTTAATATTTTGAGGAACTATCTTATTTTCCCAGGCAAATGAACCACTTTCACTTTACATTCCCACCAACACATCAAGAGCGTAGAAAGGTTTAAATCGCTTCACATCTTCTCCAAGTCTTCTTATTTTCTGTGTTTATATTCTTTGGAGAGTCTTCATCCTAATGATTACGAAGTAGTATTACATGGCAGTTTTGATTTGCATTTTCCTAAAACTGTTGATGCTAGGCATTTTATTATATGTTGTTTTCCATCTGTATATCTTTTCTGGATCATGCCTGTTGAAGGCCTTCATCTATTTTTGAATTGGCTTATTTCTTGTTGAGTTTTAGGAGTTCTCTATATATTCAGGATATTAATAACTTGTCATATATATAATTTCCAAATACTTTCTCCCATTCTGTGGGTTGCCTTCTTACTCTATTGATAGTATCTTCTATGCACTTTAAAAAATGTTCATGATTCCAATTTGTCTATTTTTCTCTTTGTTGGCTATGCCTCTGCTGTCATATTCAATAAACCATTACTAAATCCAATATTTTAAAGCATTTGCCTTGTGTGCTGTTTTAAGAGGTTATAGTTGTCAGTGTTATATTTAGGTCTTTAATCCAGTTTAATTTTTGTATATGGTGTTATGTAAAGGTCCAACTTAATTATTTTGCATGTTTTTCCAGCATCACTTGTTAAAAAGACTGTCCTTTCCCCACCTGAATGGTGTTGGCAACCTTGTCAAAAATAATTTGTCCACACATGCAAGGGTTTGTTTCTAAATGCCGTATTCCATTTCATAGGTATATATGTTTGTTTTTATGCCAGTACCAAAATCCTTTGATTACTGTAACTTTGTAGTAAGTTTTGCAATCAGGAAGTATAAGCCCCATAGCTTTAAAAAATATATATTGTGTTGGTTATTCAGGATTCCTTGAAATTCGGTATGTGTTTTAGAATTTTTAAAAATTTCTTCAACAAAGTAATCAGAATATAGTGATTGGAAATTTGTAGATCCTTTTGGGTAATACTGATGTTTTAATATTAACTCTTCCCATGGTGAACATAGGGATTCTTTCTAATCTATGTCTTCTTTCATTTATTTCAGAAATGTTTTGTAGTTTTCATTCTGTAAGGCTTTTGCCTCCTTTGTTACGTTTATTCCTAACTCTTTTATTCTTTCTGATGGTATTGTAAATGGAATCATTTTCTCAATTTTCTTTTCATACTGTTCATTATTAGTGTATAGACTGCAAATGCTCTTTGTGTGTTAACATTGTATTCGCTTATTTTGCTGAATGTGTTCATTAGTTCTAGCAGGCTTTCAGGTGTGTATTTTCTTTAGCATTTTCTACTTAAAAGATCATATCATCTGAGATCAGAGATAATTTTATTTCTTTCTTTTCAATTCTAATGCCTTTTCCTTCCTTCCTTTCTTCTTTCTTTTACACATTTGGAGTGCCTAATGTATTTTTGCTTTTTTAAAAAATTTTTGTGAGTACACAGTAGGTGAATAGATATTGCTCAAAAGAGGAAATATAACTGGCAAAGAGGTATAGGAAAAGGTGTTCAACATCAGTGATAATCAGAAATAAAAATAAAATCTACAATGAGATATCATCTCACCCCTTTATTTGTTTTTATTGCCTAACTGCTCTGGCAAAGACCTACCACTCCATTGAGTAAAAGCGGCAAAGTGGATTCTTGCCATGTTCACAATTTTAGGAGTAAATATTTTAGTCTTGCCCCACTGAGTATGATATTTCTGTATTTTTTGTCATACATGACTTTTATAATATTGAGGTAGTTTCCTTCTATTCTTTGAGTGTTTTGTATCAGGAAAAGATAGTGAATTTTGTCAAATCTTTTCTTGGCATTAATTGAGATAATCGTGTATTTTTTCCTTCATTCTGTTTATGTGGTATATTACAGTGAATGATTTTAATATGTAGAGCCATCATTCCATTCTAGGAATAAGTCACACACAGTCAGTCGGTATATAATCCTTTTAATATGCTGCTGAATTCAGTTGGCTAGTATTTTGTTGAGAATTTATACATCAATGATCATAAGGCGTAACTGCCTGCAATATTTGTTTCCTGTATTATCTTCCTTTGACTTTGCTACCAGGGTAATGGTGGCCTCATAGAATGAGTTAGGGAGTGTTCCTTCATTTTCCATTTGAGAAAGATTAGTGTTAGTTCTATAAATGTTTAGTAGAATTCATTAGTGAAGCCATCAGATCCAGGGCTTTTCTTTTTGGGGAAAGTTTTAATTAGTGGTTCAATTTCCTTACTAGTTACAGTGCTATTCAGATATTCGATTTCTTCTGGGTTAATTTTGGTAAGTTTTGTATTTTTAAGAATTTGTCATTTCATGTAGGGTTATTCAGTTTGTAGATATACAATTGTTCAGGATAATTTCGTAATCCTTTTTATTTCTGTAGAATTAGTAACATCTCCACTTTCATTTCTTATAACAAACTTATTTTGAATCTTCTCTTTTTTTCTTAGTCCAATATTCATAAATTTTTATTAAGCATTTCAAAGAACCAATTTTTAATTTGAATGTTCTCTCTTATTTTACTATTATTTATTTCAATGATCTCTGCTCCAATCTTTACTATTTATTTCCCTCTGCTATGTTTGGGGTTTAGTTTGGTACTCTTTTTCTAGTTCCAGAAATTGTAAAGTTGGGTTGTTCAATGAAGAGCTTTCTTAGTTTTAAATGTAAGCATGTATAGCTAAAAGTTTTCCAGTTAGCATTGCTTTCACTGAGTACCGTAAGTTTTGATATATTATGATTTTGTTTTCATTCATTGCTAAGTATTTTCTAATTTCCCTTGTGATTTTTGACCCATTTGTGTTATTTAATTTCCACAAATATATGTTATTTAATTTTGACAAATTTGCGGTATTTTCAGCTTTTCTTTTGTTATTTCTAACTTTATTCTGCCATTGTCACCAGAGTAAATATTTTATGTGATATCAATCTTTTAAAATGTATAGATACTTAATCTGTGGCTTAATATATGTTCTATCCTGAAAAATGTCTTGGGTGAACTTGAGAAAAATGTGTATTCTGTTGTTGGGTAGAGTGTTCTGTGTATCTGTTAGGTCCGGTTGTCTTATTTTGTTCATTAAATCTTCTATCTTCTTATCTTCTGTTTATAGTTGTTCTATTGAGAGTGAAGTATTGAAGTATCCAACTATTGTGTAGAGATATTTTCCCCTTCAATTCCATCAGTTTTTACTTTATATTTTTACAGTCAATTACTACGTGTAAATGTTTAAACTGCTTTGTCTTCTTTCTCTATTACTCTTGCTCAACTTTTATTAATAAATAATGCCTTTGTCTCTTGTAAGCTTTATAAATTTAAAGTTTATTTCATCTGCTATTACTATAGCTACCCCAGCTTTATTCTTGTTAATATTTACATGAAATATATTTTTACATATTTTCATTTTCAACCTATTGGTGTTCTGGATCCAAACTGAGTCTCTTGTGAACAGCATATTATGTGAATTATGGTGTGCGTGTGTGTGTTTCTTAATGCATTTTACCAATCTGTGTCTCTGAATTGGAGTGGTTAATCTGTTTACACTTAAAGTGATTACTGATAATGTGGGACTTACTTTTGTCATGTTGCTATTTGTTTTCCATATATATTATAGAATAATGCTCCTCATTTCCTACACTACTGTCCTCTTTTGTGTTTACTTAAATTTTTTTGTATTGAAATGGTTAAATTTATTTCTCTCTTCCTATTTATTTATTTTTTCATTTATTTGAGACAGGGCCTCATTCGGTCACCCGGGCTGGGAGTGAAGTGGCACGATACCAGCTCTCTGCAGCTTCAACCGCCTGGGCTCAAGTGATACTCCTGTCTCAGCCTCCTGATAGCTAAGACTACAGGTGCATGCCACCACCATGCTTGGTTAAATTTTGTATTTTTTCTAGAGATGAGATTTTTGCCATGTTGCCTTGGTTGGTCTCAAACTTCTGGGCTTGAGCAATTCACTCACTTTGATCTCCCAAAGTGCTAGGATTATAGGCATGAGGTACTGCACCCAGTAGCTTTCTCATTTTCTTTTGTGTATATTCTTTAGTATTTTATTTGTAGTTACCAAATGATTGAATTTAACATCCTCCAATTACAAGACTCTGATTTTATTCCAGCTTAACTTCAATAATGTACAACATCTCTACTCCTTTGACAGTTTCATCCACACCACTTTTAGCTGTTGTCACAAAATTATATCTTTGTACATTTTTTCCTAAAGTACAAACGAATATATTTCTTTTAAAATTTTATTAATTTATGTTTAATTCACAAATAATAATTGTACTTATTGATGAGGTAAAATGTGATGTTTTGATCTATGTATACACTGTACAGAGAGCCAATTAAGCTAATTAACATATCCACCACCTTAACAACTTATATTTTTTGTGGTGAGGACATTAAAAATCTATTATTTTAACAATTTTTAAATACATGATATATTCCTACTAACTGTAGTTACCCATGCAGTGGAATACAACACTGAAGTTTATTCCTCCAATAAAACTGGAACTTTTCCCCTTTGGTCAACATTTTCATTTTCCTCATCCTTCCCCAATCTCTAGTAACCACTTTTTAACTTTTGATTCCATGAGATAAACTGTTTTATTTTTATTTTATTGATTTATTTTTTGGTCAAGCACTGCGTCTTTATTTTACATATTATTTCCAAAGCAGACACTGTTTAAGTGAGCAGCCAACAGAATTTATAAGATAGAAAGTGAAAGCAAAGGTAACTGGCTCAAGTCTCTAGCATACACCATGTATATTTCATATCTGATCACCTTGCATGTCTGGCTTAAGTGAAGGTAGGGCGATGTAGATTTTGCAAGCAAGAAATCTATTTTCTGTGACCAGGAATGGCTACTACATGCCTTATAAAAAAATGCACAACATGAAATGTTTCAATGAAATCAAAATTTCCTCAAGCAAGGATATGCATGAACAATAATGAACACATACACAGCAACTTGGGCAGAAAGAATGGATCATGCCATGAGACAGTGAGGTTAGCACACTGATCAAGAGCCCCAAACAGGAGGAGCCAACCCAGTGGCAAAGCAGGCTAGGAGGGTGAGCAGCAGCCATCTCCATCCACCTTGATTTCCTTCCTGCCTTCACTCTAAGTTGAGCAATTCCATGTCAAAGATAGGATAGCACTGGGAGGGATGATACTAGAGTAGCCTGGAGCTCTATATGACACATCACATATGCAGGTCAGCTTCACCTTCTGCCCCAAGCTCATCTGCGCTATGTACTCTTCAAAACCACTGATGACTTCCTGTTCACCAGTTTTGAACTTGAAAGGTTTGTTTCTGTCTTCGGATAAATCAAATTTATTCCCATTTTGGAACACCCCTATGTAGTGCGCTACACACACCTGGCTCTTCTGGCTCTTGTTGGTGAATGTCCTTCTTGACCCATCATGGCCCCATAAGCCCCATCCACGGGAATTGCTGATGTTGCCCCAAACCCAGTTTGGCTCCCGCCCCAGTCACATAGTCGCTCCAACGTATCTTCCTGTCACAACTGCAGAGATGAAAGAAGTGCAGCTGAAGTTGGGACCTAAGTCAGTAGGTAGGATGATATCAAGTTTTTTAGATATTACATATAAGTTAGATCATAAACTATTTGTCTTTCTATGACTGGCTGAATTCACTTAGTATAAATTCCTCCAGTTCCAGCCATGTTGTGAATGAAAAAAATTTCCTTATTTTTATGGCTGTATATTATTCTAGTGTGTGTGTGTGTGTGTGTGTGTGTGTGTGTGTATACACACCACATTTTCTTCATTAATCTTTTAATAAAACCAGGTTGCTTCTATTGCTTCTATATCTTGGCTACTGTGACTAATTCTGAAATAAACATGAAAGTACAGGTATCTCGTTCACATGCTGATTTCAGATTCATTGGCTATATATCCAAAAGTAACATTTTTGGGGTCATATGGAATCTACTTTTAGTTCTTGGAAAATCTCCATACTATTTTGCAAAATGATTGTATTAATTTACATTGGCCCCAACAGTGTACAAAGGGTCCATTTCTTGCCAACACTTGTTATCTCACCAACACTTATCAATTTTTGTAATAGCCATTTTAATGGGTGTGAGGTGATATCTCATTGTGGTTTCAATTTTCATTTCCCTGATGATTAGAGACATTGAGGATTTTTTCATATATCTGTTGGTCATTCACATGTCTTCTTTGGAGAAATATCTGTTCAGATTCTTTGTCTATTACTAAATTAGTTTTTTGGTTTTTTTTTTTTATTTTAGCCCCTTACCATATGTATGGTTTAAAAATATTTTACCTAAATTTGTGGGCTATCTCTCCACTATGTAAATTGTTGTCTTTGCTGCATCAAAGCTTTTTAGTTAGATGCAATATCCTCTGTCTATTTTTGCTTTTCTTATCTGTGCTTTTGAAGTTCCATCCCAGAAATCCTTGCCCAGACCAAAATTATGAAGCTTTTACCCTACATTTTCTTCTAGTAGATTTATTGATTCAGTCTTTCATATTGGTCTTTTGTCCGTTTTGAATTAATTCTCATATATGGTGTGTCAGAAAGATCCAATTTCATGCTTCTGAATGTGGATATAAAGTTTTGTCAACACCATTTATTGAAGTGATTGTCTTTTCTTCATTGTGTTTATCTTTGTGGAAAATCAATTGACCTTAAATAGTCAGGTTTGCTTCTGTGCTTTCTATTCTTTTCCATTCATCAATATATCTTCTTTCATGCCAGTATCATGCTGTTTTGACTACAATTGCTTTATAATCTATTTTGAAATCAGGAAATTTGATACCTCCTACTTCATTCTTTTTGCTCAATTGCTTCAGCTATTCAAGGATTTTTTTCTATTAGACTTTTATTCTATTTCTGTGAAAAACAAATTGGAATTCTGATAGAGATTGCATTGAATCTGCAGGTTGCTTTGAGTACTATGTATGTTTTTAAAATAGTAAATTTTTCAACCTATGAACATGAGTTATCTTTATATTGTGTGTTTTTCAACTTCTTTCACCTATTATAGTTTTCATCATAGTCAATCATTCACCTCTTCAGTTAAATGTATTCCTAAATATTTAATTTTATTTTTGGATGCTATTGTAAATGGAATTATTTTCTTGATTTCTTTTTGGATAGTTTGTTGTTAGTTTATAGAAATAGTACTCTTTTTTAAATTTTGTTTTCATAAACTACAACTTTATTAAATGTACTAATCAGTTCTAATAGGTCTTTGATAAAGCCTTTAGGGTTTTCTACAATAAAAATCACCTCATTGGCAAACCTGATGCCAATTTCAATTTGCACTGACAATTTCACTTCTTTTTTTCCTTTATGGAGGCCTTTTATTTCTTTTTTCTAATCTAGTTGTTCTAGCTAGGACTTCCAATACTATAATGAATAGAAGTGATGACAGTGAGCATCCTTTTCTATTTCCTAATCTTAGAAGAAAAGCTTTCAACTTTTCACTGTTTAATATGATATTAACTGTGGGCTTGTAATATATGTATTTTATTATGTTCAGGTACATTATTTCAATACCTATTTGTTGAGAGCTTTTATCATGATCAGATGTTAAATGTAGTCAAATGTTTTTTCTGTATCTATTGAGAAAATGTTTTTTTCTGTATCATATGATTTTCTTCTTCATTTTGTTAATATAGTGTAACTCATTTATTGATTTATGTGCATTGAGCCATCCTTTCTCTTGTGGAATAAATCTCATTTTATCAAAGTTAATAAATATTTTATGTGCTTCTGAATTTGGTTTGCTAGTTTTCTTGAGGATTTTTGCTCCATATTTATCAGGGATTTTGGCCTGTTGTTTTCTTTTCTTGTAGTGTCCTTGTATGGTTTTAATATTAGGGTAAAGTTTGCCTTGTAAAATAAATTTTGAAGTATTCCCTCCATTTCAGTTTTCTGGATAATCTTGAGAAGGACTGATATTAGTTATTTAAATGTTTGGTAGAATTGGCAGTGAGGCTATCATGCCCTGGGCTTTATTTTTATTTTTGAAAGTTTTTTATTGTTGATTCAATCTCCTTACTTATTACAAGTCTGTTCAGATTTTTCTATTTCTTTTTTATTTGTCATGGTACATTACATGTTTCTAGGAATTTTATTTTTTCTGTGTTATTCATTTTTTATTATATAGTTGTCCATGATAGTCTTTAGGTCCCTTGCATTTCTGTGGTATCAGTTATGATTCCTTCCATTTGGATTTTATTTGAGTCTTCTTTCTCTTTGTCCTTGTTAGTCTAGCTAATGGTTTGTCAATTTTATCTTTTGAAAAAACCCCAATTTTACTTTCATTTATATTTTCTACTGTTTTTCTAGTCTCTATTTTGCTTATTTCTGCTCCGATCTTTGTTATTTACTTCCTTCCACTACGTTTGTGCTTAGTTTGTTTTTTTTTTTCTAGTTGCTAGAGGTATAACATTAGGTTGTTTGAAATCTTTCTTCTTCTTTGATGTAGGTGTTTATTGTTATAAAATTCCCTCTAAGGATTGTTTTTGCTGTATCCCATAAGTTTTGGTATATTGTGTTTCCATTTTTCCTTGTCTCAAGATTTTTTTTTCTTTTAATTTATCCTTTGTCCTATGTGTCATTAAGAAGGATATTTAATTTCCACATATTTGTGAGTTCTTCAAGATGATGATGATGATGATGATGATGATGATGATGATGATTGACACAATGTCTGGCTCTGCCACTCAGGCTGGAGTGCAGTGGTGTGATGACAGCTCACTGAACCATTGATGAGCCAAGCTCAAACAATCTTCCCACGCCACCCTCCCAAATAGCTAAGACTACAGGCACATGCCACCATGCCTGGCTTATTTTTGTATTTTTGTGGAGATGGGCTTTGGCCATGTTGCCCAGGCTTGCCTCAGACTCCTGAGTTCAAGCAATCCACCCACTTTGGCCTCCCAAAGTGCTGGGATTATGGAATGAGCTACTGTGTCCAGCCTGCTCCTATTATTGGTTTCTAGTTTCCTGCCATTTTAGTCACAACAGATGATATTCAATATAAATTCATTCTTCTTAAATTTGTTAAGAATTGACTTGTAGACTAACATGTGATCTATAGAAGAGAATGTTCCGTGCATACTTGAGAAGAATATGTATTTCACTGCTGTTAGATGAACTGTTCTATAATACCTGTTAGATTCATTTGTTGTAAATAGTAGTTCAGAAAATTTCCCTTGCCTGGGTAAGAAGTTAGAAACACAGATTTATAAAGCTCAGTGAACATATAACAGTTTGAATATAAAACAACCTACATTAAGACACATTATAAATAAATTGCTAAAAGTTAAAGGGAGAATATTGAAAGCTATCAGAGATTCCATAATGTAATGATGAGCAATCTGGACTCTGAAAGCTATCAGACGAAAGCTACTTAATGTATAAAACGGGATCTTGAAAAGACTGTCACTGGATTTTTCAGCAGAAAGCTTGCAGGCCAGAAGAGAATTGAATGATATATTCCAAAAGATGAAAGAAAAAAGAAAACAACTTCTGACAAAGAATTCTATACCCAGAATCCTGTCATTTAAAAATAAAGGGGTTAGATCCCATTTGTCAATTTTGGCTTTTGTTGCAATTAGTTTTGGTGTTTTAGTCATGAAGTCTTTGCCCATGCCTATGTCCTGAATGGTATTGCCTAGGTTTTCTTCCAGGGTTGTTATGGTTTTAGGTCTTACATTTAAGTCTTTAATCCATCTTGAGTTAATTTTTGCATAAGGTGTGAGGAAGGAATCCAGTTTCAGTTTTCTGCATACGGCTAGCCAGTTTTCCTAATACCATTTATTATATAGGGAATCATTTCTCCATTGCTCACTTTTGTCAGGTTTGTCAAAGGTCAGACGGTTGTAGATGTGTGGTGTCATTTCCGAGGCTTCTGTTTTGTTCCATTGGTCCATATATCTGTTTTGCTACCAGTACCATGCTGTTTTGGTTACTGTAGCCTTGTAGTATAGTTTGAAGTCAGGTAATGTGATGCCTCCAGCTTTGTTCTTTTTATTTAAGATTGTCTTGGCTATACAGGCTCTTTTTTGGTTCCACATGAAATTTAAAGTTTTTTCTAATTCCGTGAAGAATATCAATGGTAGCTTGATGGGAATAGCATTGAATCTATAAATTACTTTGGGTGGTATGACCATTTACATGATATTGATTCTTCCTATCCATGAGCATGGATTTTTTTTTTCATTTGTTTGTGCCCTCTCTTATTTTACTGAGCAGTGGTTTGTAGTTCTCCTTGAAGAAGTCCTTCACATCCCTTGTAAGTTGGATTCCTAGGTACTTTATTCTCTTTGTAGCAATTGTGAATGGGAGTTCACTCATGATTTGGCTGTTTGTCTATTATTGGTGCATAGGAATGCTTGTGATTTTTGCACATTGATTTTGTATCCTGAGACTTTGCTGAAGTTGCTCATCAGCTTAAGGAGTTTTTGGGCTGAGATGATGGGGTTTTCTAAATATACAATCATGTCATCCACAAACAGAGATAATTTGATTTCCTCTCTCCTATTTGAATACCCTTTATTTCTTTCTCTTGCCCGACTGCCCTGCTCCGAACTTCCAATACTATGTTGAATAGGAGTGGAGAGAGACGGCATCCTTGTCTTGTGCCGGTTTTCAAAGGAAATGCTTCCAGCTTTTGCCCATTCATTATGATATTGGCTGTGAGTTTGTCATAAATAGCTCTTACTATTTTAAGATACGTTTCATCAGTACCTAGTTTATTGAGTGTATGTAGCATAAAGGGGTGTTAAATTTTATCAAAAACCTTTTCAGCATCTATTGAGATAATCATGTGTTTTTTGCCATTGGTTCTGTTTATGTAATGTATCACATTTATTGATTTGCATATATTGAACCAGCCTTGCATGCCAGGGATAAAGCCAACTTGATCGTGGTGGATAGGCTTTTTAATGTGCTGCTGGATTCAGTTTCCCAGTATTTTATTGAGGATTTTGGCATCAATATTCATCAGGGATACTGGCCTGAAATTTTCTTTCTTTGTTGTGTTTCTGCCAGGTTTTGGTATCAGGATGATGCTGGCCTCAGAAAATGAGTTAGAGAGGATTCCTTTTTTTTTCTATTGTTTGGAATAGTTTCAGAAGGAATGGTACCAGCTCCTCTTTGTACCTCTGGTAGAATTTGGCTGTGAATCTGTCTGGTCCTGGGCTTTTTTGGATTGGTAGGCTTTAATTACTGCCTTAATTTCAGAACCTGTTATTGGTCTATTCAGGGATTTGACTTCTTCCTGGTTTAATCTTGGAAGGGTGTATGTGTCCAGGAATTTATCCATTTCCTCTAGATTTTCTAGTTTATTTACATAGAGGTGTTTATAGTATTCTCTGATGGCAGTTTGTATTTCTGTGGGATCAATGGTGATGTCCCCTTTATCATTTTTTATTGTGTTATTTGATTCTTCTCTCTTTTCTTCTTTATTAGTCTGGCTAGCGGTCTATAAAGAGCTTCTGCACAACAAAAGAAACTATCACCGAAGTGAACAGGCAATGTGTAGAATAGGAGAAAATTTTTGCAATCTATCCATCTGACAAAGGGGTAATATCCAGAATCTACAAAGAACTTAAACAAATTTACAAGAAAAAAAATCAAAAAGTGGGCAAAGGATGTGAACAGACACTTCTCAAAAGAAGACATTAATGAGGTCAACAAACTTATTTTAAAAAGCTCATCATCACTGGTTATTAGAGAAATGCAAATCAAAACCACAATGAGATACCATCTCATGCCAGTTAGAATGGTGATCTTTAAAAAGTCAGGAAACAATGGATGCTGGAGAGGTTGTGGAGAAATAGTAACGCTATTACACTGTTGGTGGGAGTGTAAATTAGTTCAACCATTGTGGAAGACAGTGTGGCAATTCCTCAAGGATCTAGAACCAGAAATACCATTTGACCCAGTGATCCCATTGCTGGGTATATAACCAAAGGATTATAAATCATTCTACTATAAAGACACATGCACACATATGTTTATTGCAGCACTATTCACAATAGCAAAGACTTGGAACCAACCCAAATGCCCATCAATGATAGACTGGTTAAAGCAAATATGGCACATATACACCATGGAATACTATGCAGCCATAAAAAAGAATGAATTCATGTCCTTTTCAGAGACATGGATGAAGCTGGAAACCATCATTCTCAGCAAACTAACACAGGAACAGAAATCCAAACACCACATGTTCTCACTCATAAGTGGGAATTGAACAATGAGAACACATGGACACAGGGAGGGGAACATCACATGCTGGGGTCTGTCAGGGGGTGGGGGACAAGGCGAGGGATAGCATTAGGAGAAATACCTAATGTCAATGAAGGGTTGATAGATACAGCTTATCACCACGGCACTTGTATTCCTATATAACAAACCTGCATCTTCTGCATATGTATCCCAGAATTTAAAGTATAATAAATAATAAAAATTAGTAAAACTAATAAAATAAAAATAAAGGAGTGTGGCCAGGTGCATTGGCCTATACCTATAATCCCAGCACGTGGGGGGGCTGACGCAGAAGGACTGCTTGAGCCCAGGAGTTTATGACCAGCCTGAGCAACATAGGGAGACCCATCCTCTGCTAAAAGTAAAAGTAAAGATTAGCGGGGTATGGTTGTGCACACCTGTGGTCCCAGCTAGTCAGCAGGCTGAGGTAGGGAGATTGCTTGAGCCCAGGAGTTTGAGGCTTCAGTGAGCCATGATTGTGCCACTGCATTACTGCCTGGGTAACAGACTGAGACACTGTATCAAAAAATATATAAAATAAAAATAAAAATAAAGGTGAATGGATGGCAAAAACTTTTTCAGACAAAACCCAAAGGAATTTATTTGTATAAGAAATGTTAAAGTTTTTCATGCTAAAGGAAAACATTGCAATGTAGTGACATAAAAACATGTAAAAATATAAAATTCATTAGTAAAAATAAGTCGAGTAAAACTCAGAATATTTTTATGCTGTAATGATGTTGAGAAAATAAATCAAATATTTACGATGATGGTTTAAAGAAAGAACTATTAAAAACTATAGTTACAAAAATATGTTAAGTAACACAAACTATAAAAGATAAGCATGTGTCATCAAAAACACTTTTTTGGTTGTCAGGGGAAGTGGAGCTTTTTTTGTAAGTGATCAAAGTTAAGTTATTATTAGCTTAAAATAATCTGTCAATATATTTTATGTAAGCATTATTGTAACCACAAGCAAAACCCTTACTAGATACACAAAAGATAAATGAAATAATTCAAAGCATACCACTACAGAAATTCAACAAAATGCAGACAGCAAGAAAGGAAGAGATAACAAATGATCTACAAACTAACCAGAATGTAATGAACAAATGGCATAAGTTCTTACCCATCAGCAATTACTTTGAATGTAAATGAATTTAATTTCACAATTGAAAGACATAAAGAGGCTGAGTGGATTAAAAAAAAAGACAAGACTCCATTGTATACTGCTTATAAGAAGCTTACTTCACCTCTCTGCACACACAGAGACTGAAAACAATAGAATGGAAAAAAGGTATTCCATGCAAATGGAAACAAAAGAGAGCAGGGGTAGCTAGATAGCTATACTTATATAAGATAAAATAGACTTTAAGTTGAAAACTATACAAAAGAAAATGATGTCATTATGTCATTATAAAACAATAAAAGGTCAATTCATCAATAAGTTACAGCAAATTTAAATATATATATATATATATATATATATATAAAACCAGTCCAGGAAAGGTGGCTCACGCCTGTAATCCCAGTACTTTGGGAGGCTGAGGTGGCAGATCACCTGAGGTCAGGAGTTCAAGACCAGCCTGGCCAACATGGTGAAACCCCATCTCTACTAAAAATACAAAATTGGTGCGCACCTGTAATCCCGGCTACTCAGAAGGCTGAGGCGGGAGAATTGCTTGAACCCAGGAGGCAGAGGTTGCAGTGAGCCGAGATCATGCCATTGCACCCCAGCCTGGGCAATAAGAGTGAAACTCCATCACAAAAAAAAAAAAAGAAAAGAAAAGAAAAGAAAAAATATATATATACATATATAAACACAGCATCAGAGGACCTGAATATATAAAGCAAATATTAATAGAACTGAAGAAAGAGATCTGCAATACAATAACAACAGAATACTTCAATACCCTACTTGCAACACTGGGCAGTTTATGTAGATAAAAAATCAATAAGGAACCATTGTTCATAAATCAATAATTTTTTTATATATTAATATTTTAAATTGTGTAGAAAACAAAATTTAGAGTTACCAACCAGAGTTACAATGATATTAGCTTTTAGAGTAATTGCTTTTTAATGTATTCATGACTAAATCATGGAGAAATCAAAAAGTGGAGTTACAATTATTAAAAATAATATGACTTTTACAATTTCCCACATACTTACTTACCTTTACTGAGATCTTTATTTCTTCTTACTGATTGAGACCTACTGTTTGATGTCTTCTTATTTTGATCTGCAGAACTCTCCTTAACATTTATTTTAAGGCAGGTCTACTGGTAATAACTACTTCAGCTTTTCTTTATCTGGGATTCTTTTACTTTCTCTGTCACTTTTGAAGACAAGTTTTGTTAAATACAGGAGTCTTGGTTGATATTTTTTTTTTTAATTTTCTTTTAGCACTGAATGTATCAACCCACAGCTTTGTGGCCTCCAAAGTTACTTATTAGTATCGTTTGCATATGATAAGCAGGCTTCTCCCATGCTGCTTTCAAATTTATTTGTCTTTAAACAGTTTGATTATATAATGTATTTAGGTGTGGCTGTCTTTGAGTTCATCCCACGTGGAGTTCTCTGAGATTCTTAGCTGCTTATATTTATGTCTTTCATCAAATTTGGAAAGCCTTCAGCCATTATTTCTTCAAACATTCTCTCTGCTCCTTTCTAACTCTCTTCTTTAGGTCTACAAAATGTGTTGGTCTCCTTGATGACATACCAATGGTCCTTTTGTTCAATCTGTTTTTTTTTTTTAACTTTCTTTTCCTAAGACTATAATTTTTAATGCTCTATCTTCAAGTTTGCTGATTCTTGCTCCAGCCTGATGAAATCTTTCTATAAATCCCTCTAGTGAATTTTTTTCTTTTCTTTTCTGGTACTTTTTAGCTATAAGATATTTTTTGTTTCTCCTTAGGTTTTCTGTAAATTTATTGATTTTTCTACTTTGTTCACATATAATTGTGTTGACGTTTCAATGTGTTCCTTTAATTCTTTGAGTATTTTTAATACAGATTTTTTTTTTGTCTAGTAGATCTGCCATCAGAAATTCTGTTGGTTAATTTTTTTTCTTGAACTATCTCATCTTTTCTTGTTTCCTTGTATGTTTATACATTTTTCTGAAAACTATACATTTGAATCTAATTATATAATAACCCTAGAATATTAGATTATCCCTTTCCCACAGTGTTTGTTCTTGTTTTCATTTTTTGTTTATGTTTCGTTTTGATTGTTGTAGGCTGTCTCTGTTGCAGAGTTCGCCTGAAATGTAAACTTAAGGTATTTTCATGTCTTATTTAAGCCTGTAACTTCCCCTTGGCAAGTGTGGTTACTTCTTAATTTACCTAATATATGTATTTTTAAAAAATATTTTAGTTATCAATGTCTGGCTCCCAAAATGAGACAAAGGCAAAAATAAAAGTGGGAACAAGGCACCAGCCTCTTAAATCCCCTTGAAGTCACCTCAGCCAGAAGCAGAAGACTTACAACAATAGGGGTTGGTGAAACAATAACGGCCACTGCCTCGTCATAATCATCAAAATCAGCAATCAATAATCAGAACACAGATCCTGATATTTGAGAGTCATTTTTGCACATTCTGGCTTCCCCAAGCTGTATGCATGCTGCTCTAGGAACATGTACACAGCTGGCTGCCCTGGAACTGGGTGCAGGGGATGGGTAGCTGAAGTGGAAGATCAAAATTAACTACAATTTACTGTCCAATCCTTCTTTCAGAAGTTTCAAGACTTCAATAGGCTTCAGAGTTTCAGTACAGTTATATCAGACATATTCTGAAAGTAAATTTGTTGTCTGGATGAGAAGACAGATTTCTGGTGCTTCTCACTATGCCATCATTCCAGAATCACCTGCTAAAACATATACTTTAAAAAATGACTTCAACTCTCTAATTATACTTGCAAATCTTCAAGCAAACTTGCCTTTTGGATATGTGAGGCATCTGCACCACCAATTTGGAATATCCTAATTCCTCTTCTTTGCCTAGCTAACTCCTTATCATGTAAATTTAGCTCAAATATCTGAAGGAGATAAAGAAGGGAAAACATCAACAATGGATTACATGATCAAATTTATATTTTTTCAAATATTTTTCTGGCTGATGATGGCTAAAGTTGAAGCAGAGAAATCAGTTAGGGGATGATTTCCATAGTGCAGGCTATAGGTGACAATTTTAGGGTAGAATGGTGGAAGTAGCAAGAATGGAACTCCATACAGATCTATCTGATGCAAGACTGCATAATAACTATACTAGAAAGAGGGATATTTTAAAATTTGATTCTATCATTTATTAGCTTTATGATTATTAGAAAGTCATTTTACCTAAGCACCAATTATTTTATCTCACAGATTTTACATGAAAATTAAATAAGATAATATCAGTGAAGAGTTAGCACAAGACACTGAAGAACACAGAAGGTAGCCAAGAATGGGACTTACCTTTGAAAATATCAAATCTGGTTAAGTTTGTGACAAATTTAAAAAGAGAGAGAGAGAGAGCATTTCAGATACTGTATGTGAAAAAAAGATCCCGTAAATTCATATGATCTGAAAATATAAATAAAAACCCAAATGATTTAGATAATTTTAACCATGGACAAAAGGAAAATAGAGTGACGAAGACCTACAGTTGGTGTGTGATGAGACTTTGGTCCTAGACTCAATTATCTCACACTTTTTTATTGTTGTTGTCATTGTCCATAAGAAAAATTTATTATCATTGCATCATTAAACATCTTAGATATTAAGAGTCTTGAAATATATAACTACAAAATTTCCTTTTGTTTTTAAAAATGAACATCTAGATGCTAAAATCCCATTTTGTATAGACCACTCCATTGGGTACTACCCACCAAATGAGCAGATGAGAACCTTTCATTCAATTAACATATACAGGCATAAATTAAGACATTACCAATGATCGGAGAAAGGAAAGGCAACTTCAAATTCTCTATTTTTTTTTTAAACTCTCATCTTTTGTTAACAAAACCATACCATTTTGGTGGCTTTATTTTAATAAAATCATACAGATATATACATATATATTCTATTAGACATATGTATAATGGCAAATTAAAGGACTGAAAAGAACCAAGGCTCTAAAACAGAAAAATCATTACGTAAAATAGAGATGACTTGAACACTATATAGTCATTAAAAATGAAAATTATATAATATGTGTTAACGTACAAAACTGATATTATCTATGCCTTTTTTATAACTATTTCTAAACATCAAGTTCACACTCAAACTACATTTCCTGTGGAAATCCTTTCTGGACTCATAAGAATGGTTTGTAAATCACATTTTAGGCTCCCTGAAATATAAAACAATATGCATCTCCTTGCAAGTCCATTATATTCTAAATCTAGCAAAGTGCATTGCCACTAAAGTGTTCGAAATTTAGCAACATTGATAAAAGTAAGTTTGCATATTATCAAAGACTAGAAAGGAATAGAGACATGGTTGTTTTGTTCAATATTTACTGTAGGGGTGATAAATGATAAGGACCTTTATTTATTTTTAAATAATATAGTTTAGTAGTTCATATCATCTTTGTAATACAAGGTGAAAATTAGAAGACAGCCATTTAAAAGCAGTCTATTTTTGTCTATGGTTTTATTTGCATCTGTAATGAGATAATAAATAACTGATAATTTGCAATAAACATTTTCATCTTTATTTATGAACAGAAAAACAATTGCTATGTTAAAATACCAGAAACAGAATTTTGGCAAACATGTACAGATTATATACAGAACATTACTTCTAATGTTTTAGGTTGCAGTTTATATACGATTTGGTTTCAACAATTAAAATTTTTAATACTAATTCTTCCAGTAAACTATCTCTTTAAATAAATTATTCTTCACCTAATTGGCAACAAAGTGTTGCTTTCTTAAATTTTCCCCTAATAATCATGTATACTTTAAAATATTTAAAACTCCAAAACCATTGCTAAATATTTGAGTATTTTTTTAAAAAAATGAATATTATAGGTACAGAATGCATTAACTTGGACATATTTCTTTTAAAAGAGGGGTGCAAAAACAAAACTTCATTTTTTTAAAATCATGCCTTCCATAGAACTACTTAAGATATAAATGTGTACAAGAATTAAGATATCAAAATATATGCAAGAATTATTTTTAAAAGGTTTGAAATTACAAAAGCATTGTCACTCAAAATAATGTATTCTTTCCTGTATAGAATAGGAAACGATTGTTTATGAAAATGAGGATAGGTAATACTATAATGTTGTATTACTCTGTTTGTGTTACTATAAAGGAATACCTGAGACTGGTAAATTTATAAAGAAATTTATAATTTATAAAGAAAGGAGGTTTAATTGGCTCATGGTTCTACAGGGAGTATGGGTAGTGTGGTGCTGGCATCTGCTTCTATTGCAGGCTTCTGGAAGCTTATAGTCATGATGGAAGGTGAAGTGGGGAGGAGGGATGTCATATGGCAAGAATGGGAGCAAGAGAGAGAAATAAGGGAGGTGCTACACTCTTTTAAATAACCAACTTTTGTGTGAACAAACTGGGCAATAACTTATCCATCACCAAAGCAATGGTGCTAAGCCATTCACAAGGGATCTGACCCCCTAAACCAACCACCTCCCACAAAGCTCCACCTCCAACACTGGGAATCACATTTCGACATGAGATTTGGAGAGGACAAATGTTCAAACCACATCAGATGGTGTGACTGAATGATTGATTAACTGCAAAAACTGAGCTCATTGTTGGAAACCTTGGTTCTGGGTTTCAAAACACAATTCAGATTTATTTTTAAAAGATGCCATCTGTGAATAAATAGTTCATGTAGTGAGCTGAAGGGACGTTTTTAAATAAAAATGGATGAATCTTTAAAATTGTTGGTTAGTGAATTCATTTCTAAAAGGACTCACAAAAAACAACATGCTTGATCAATTTTTGATGGAGCCATTAAAATTAAAGATGCCATTTTTGTCAAAGTGATAAAAATGTCTCTCATCTAAAATGCTCAGACACTCAACTGAGTTAAGAACATTAGAACCAAGAGACTCATAAAATGTTTTGGCTTCAATATAGAAGGCAGCTATAAAATTTGGAATCTTTCCCATTCTTATGTGGTAGCCTTGATGAATTCTCTTAATGATAAAGAATTAGGAGAGAAAGTTAGATGAATTGAATAGATTCTAATCTTAATTACAAAAGAAATCTGAGAGTTAAAGGATTTACAAACATTTACAAAGATTATGCAGTATCTTTCACTCTTGTTTTATTAAAAGACAGATAGGAGATGGTTTCAATTTGCTTTATTTTTCATACTTGAAAGACTTCCATCATTTTTGAAATGGAAAGACAAAGATGTGTGTGTTTTCTTTTTCCTTGAGAGTCTTTGGACTCATTAAGATGATCTATCTATAGGAGGCTCAGACACGTAAACTTTTTTGCTGAGCAATTATATCTAGTCTTTTCTTCTCTGGATTATAGATTTTTTAAGTTGTTAGTCTGTAACTCTCAAAGAGATAGTTACAGCCTACCTTATTTGTGTTTTCTTCAAACAGAAGCAACACCAACTAAATTTGTTTGCGTGTGCTTTTAGTGATTGCTGACCTGGCCAAGTTTATCCAATAAATATGACTAATGGAAGATTGCTCAAAGTGAAATACAGCCCTTTAGATTTTGGAAACCACCCCCAACAGGAGTGATATTGCCAAAATCATTACCAGAATTTTCCCACTGAATGAGCAGAAACCTGAAAATAAGCATGGGTGTATGTTAATGCAGTGTCATGAAAACAAAACAGACAAAACTGCAACTGACCTCTCTGGAGAATTTACACTCAAGGGTGAGAAGGCATTTGCATTTCAGATTATTTAGCAATTTAGTAATCCTCTACCACCCCACCTTCATGTACTACTCAATACTCACCTAACTTTCATAGTTGGAATATTTTATAAATGCAGAAAATAAAAGTATTTTGGCTCAAAGTCACATATACAGCCAAAGGTACTGCCAGAACTAAGATCCATACATTTCAGACTCCAGTTCAAATGTTTTGTTGAAATTGTTTCTATTTATTTGTTTTTATTATTACTCTTATTATTTTGTATTATACATGCTGCTTGATGATGTTGACTATTTATTTTATTTTAAAAATATATTTATTTTATTTTAGAGACAGGGTCTCACTCTTTCGTCTATGTTGGAGTGAAGTGGCAGAATCACACCTGACTACAGCCTCAAACTCTTAGGCTCAAGCAATCCTCCCTGCTCAGCCTTCTGAGTAGCTAGAACTACACAAGTGTGCCACCATGACTGGCTAATTTTTTTTCTTTCCTATTTATTTATTTATTTATTTATAGAGATCGGATTTTTGCTTTGCTGCCCAGGCTGGTCTCAAACTCCTGGGCTCAAGTAAGCCTCCTGCCTCTGCCTGCTAAAGTGCTAAGATTACAACTTGGAGCCATGAGGCCTGGCTGACTGGCTGTTTTACCTCCATTGCTGATTTGATGTTTATAAAGCACTGGTTTTAATACTAACTGTCGTTTAAGATAGTTACCAGTAAATAGTTCACTGTTTTAACATACAAATGACTTTTAAATTAGTTTCCAACATTAAGATTATATTCTTCCACACATATGTGAAGTCATTACCCTCAAATAAATGATTAGTAAAAAGTCTTGTCACTGTAAAAGGTCAATGGTGATTCCATCTTCAAATGGAAGTGTCTCACCTATGTATAAGCACTGACTAAATTGCATAGTGCACAAGTTTCATAAAACACCAAGATGTTATGACCTCGTTTTGCAACAAAATTCATATTAAGGGTAAGAAACAAAAAATAACTGGTAAAGAAACTGAAAGTAAATAATTTTACATAAAATGTTAATATATACATACAATTACAGCCTTTTGTCTACACTCTTACTATAGTCCTATATTGCTCTGGCGAGCATTATGTTGATTTAGTGTTTTTACTAAATATCTATCAATGATCTATTAAAATATTACCCATTTTAGTCGTTTTAGTAAATATGTATGTTTACACAGTTCAGCAGTTTAACTATAATGAATAATGTGCTTTATACTTTTGAACCACCTGTAACAGAGAAAACTGTTTCAGAGTGATAGATTTCTGTGATGGCCATTAAAAAGTCAAAAAAAATAGAAAAAAATATATGAACCATTATTTTGTTCATGGAGTAGGTATGACTAAGTAGAACAGACTACTGTTCATATGGGTTTTCAGAGGCACATTGGTCTTCAGTTTCAGCATCATAATGCCCCTATGAAAATTCAGGCATTATAAACATTATTTTAGTTTAGTTATTATTTGTAGAATATCCTGGAAGGATGCATGGGTGTTACTTCCTCTGATGCAGTTTAGCAAGAGTTATCTTTCATACAGTATATTTGTTATTTAACAAAGATTAAGTTCCACCAAATTATAACTTAGGAAAGTTTTAATTGACACAAATTGGAAAGGAAAAATGAACGCAGTTTATAGGAAAGGCAAGCAATGATGAAAGTTCCCTGGATCCCTCTGAACAACAAGGTTTACCAGATAGCAAAATTAGAGCGTAGATAATGAAAAAATAATAATTGAAGGAACAAAGACTATGTATCATACTTTTGAGCTCCAAATAGGAACAGTTCTATGGCCAATTGTAAGCCAAGCTACTTAAGTAACATGATCCCCTTTTTATCCAATTAATGTGTTGTGATCATCAATCGTACTTGATACTCTATGCTTAGGTTTCTGAGAGCAATCGTGTTTAAAAACTAGGAAAAATCTACCAAATAAATAACTGATGAGAAATTTAAACCAAATGAATCATAATTTCCTGTTTAGGAGATAAGAGGTAAACACTTTGAACAGTAACATTTTCTAACATGTTTTTTACCTTAGTATAAGAGAAAGCAAATAAATATAAAATTGGAGAGTTAAAAGTAAATACTGGTTACTCCAGAAAAGAGCATGTCTTCTGCATTCAGGAATCTATATATATTATGAAACAGACATACAGAGCCTGGAAGATCTTAAAAGACTTCATGAAGTAAAGCAATCTGGTTCAGTGGAGACTTAGAAATATTATTTGATCAGAAGCACTCTGTAATAATTACACATATGTGGCAATTTACAGTAATTCTGGCAAATATTTACCAACTCCTAACAAACAGATTTGGTTGAGGGTACAAGATGTATACATTAAAGAAATGTTCTGGCCCCAAAAATATGGTACAACAACTATGGAATTAAGAATGACTTCTGGCTTATAGTTTTCAGAGAGATGACTAGTTTTCATCTGTCAGGCAGTGGACAATAGCCAGTAAGGGTTAGAAGAGACAAGAAGATATCTCTCTAGTCCTGACCTAACTACCACATGATATACAGAAATAAAACTTGTGAATCAAGATGCAGTGAAATGTCAACTATCTCCAAACAGCAGATGAAGCCATGCAAGCAAATGTGAAGCAGAAAACACAAGAGTTAAAGCAAGGATTCCAAAGTCAGCTAGCCCCACGTTCTTATCCTGAGTCCTCCTCTTAATAGCAATGTCACCTAAGGATGATAGCAACATTTTTAAGCCTCAAGTTCGCCACATCTAAAATGTGAATCCTAACTCTAAGCACCTTGTTAAAGTAGTAATAAAGCATAAATGAGAGAATTAATGTAAGGCGATGGGCCAATAACTCAATTTCTAGTACTAGGCTCCTATTTACTAAGAAACAAGAAAGGGAAAATACATAGCCCCAAGGCAAAATATCCTAGTGGTTTTTCACTTCAACAGGGCCAATAAATGTAACAATTCAGCTCTGTTAAAAAAAAGGATAATCTGACAAAATGGACAAAAAATAAGGGAATATAGTCCTTCAAAATCTACAAGGCTTTTGAAAGGTAGTAACCGATTACCAAAGTTTGAAATAGAAAGTTCAAACAGTAGGAAAAATAAATGAGACTTTTATTATGGCTGTGGGACAAAGATGAATGAAGAACTGACATGATTCTCATAAGGGCGGGTTGAGGTATAAAGATGTAAACATTTAAAGATTAAAATTAATAATTATCACATACAATAATTTTCCAGGTTATTACATTCTATATTATATATTAGTCATAACACATTCTTGAAAATATTTATACTTATTATATTACACAAAGATAAAAATATCTACACTGGCCATTTTGCTACTTAAAACAACCATAACTTAATATGGCCTTGTAGTTTTAATTAATATAAATTCATTCATATGAGCTTATGAACAGTTTTTAGATCTCAAATGCAAATTATTTCAGTCTTCAGTGCAGCATTTTAGAATATATTTTAGCTAAAGGTATTAGCTAGTTGGTAATGACATATAAATATCCTAATGTGTTTCAAAGGTTTTTAGTTTGTAAATTTGTTGTCTGAAAAAAACCTTATGCTCTAAATGTAAATGGTTCTTTCAGTCACGCTAACTGTGAAAATTAGGGGTGCTTTCTAATGTTTCAAAGTCATTTTAGTTTTTTTTCCCAAGATGGAATACCAGGGGATTTTAGCATGCCACTTGAAAACAGCAAGATAGTGCATACAGATCAACTCTGTCAGTTGTATTTTGAGAAAGAAAATTGGAAGCATGAAGGACACTCCAGATCTCAAGAAGGAGAAGAGATGGGTAGACAGACCCCATGACAGCATTTGGCTGATAAAAGTGAGTGTAGCCCCAGTACGTGAGAGAGGCACAGAACCTCCTTTTGTGACTCATCTTTTCACATGGAATTCGAGGCCAAGGGAGAACATTTTGTTTCTCTCCAGACCTGGAGCTAACTTGGAGATAGGCTTACAGACAGTGAGAGGGAAAGATACCATGAAAAGTGTCAGGTGTTTAACCCAGACCCAGGACCAAGAACAGGACATAATTTTTAATCCAGGTGTATACAAAGTCAGTCATTCTTTGGTGACATGGCATTATGATGGCACAGGCATTTTAGTTTCAGGCCAGAGACTAGAGTTCTTACTCTGGAGTAGGGTAGGGGCCTTCACACTCAGAACTGTGAAAAGTGGCTCAGTAGTAGGTGCTAGAATTGTGCTCTCCATGGTCACAGGCCTGGGACAGGAGAAGAGCTGCTGCAGCTCTGGTTTCTCCTGGGCAACGAGATTTGCAGCAAGAGTCAGCTTGGGGACCTGGAACCAGTCTGTGTGTGTCATTGCTGGATGCCCTAGCCTGCTCCCCAGAGATCCTGGTGCAGCAGGGTGCCCTCTGCTCCACTCCTGGGAAGATCACCAGGCATTTGGGACATCCGCTAACATGAACTAGCAGCCTGAGCTGTCCCATCCTTCCTGTGCAGAAATCTTGGTGCAAGAAGGCCCTGTCTTCCTCATACTTGGTCAGAGCTCCAGGCATTCTGAGAACCTGCTTGCCTGGTTCAGTAGCCCAAGCCACACCACCCTTTCTGTGTAGAGATCCTGGTACAGGGAGGCCCTCTCCACTTTACACCAAAGTAGACTTCCAGGCATTCTAAGCACCTGCTTGCCTTGCTCAGCAGCCTGAGCCACACCACCCTTTCTGTGCAGAGATCCTGGTACAGGGAGGCCCTCTCCAATTCACATCCACGCAGATTTCCAGGCATTAGGAGTATCCGCTTGCCTGGTTCAGCAGCCTGAGGCACCCCACCATTCTTGTGGAGCGATCGTGCTGCACTGGGGTCTTCTACACCTCACACCCATGCAAATTTCCAGCTATCTGGAGCACTCACTCTCCTGGATTAGGAGTTGAGGCTACCCCACCTACTATGCAGAGAGCTTGGGGCCAAGGAGGTTTCCCAGCTTCAAGCCTAGGCACACTTCTGGGTGCTTGGTGGCTACCCATTTGATTCTCCCTTGGCACTGGTGCTTGCGCCTGCCAGCAGGGAAACTGTAGGTGGACCTGCCCAACCTGGCCCCACCCATCTTGTCCCCCACCTTAGGAGCACAGAACATTGTGTATTCCATGAATCAGCCCATTGTCTGAGGGAACAGAGAGCTCCCAGTAAACAAGAATTAAGTATATATGCAGCCACACTGGCCACATCTGGCACTTACCCATAAGAATCATTTACTGACTTGTAGGATGAACTGCACAGCCCAATATAAAATCTGCTGAAATGCATAGGGCTATAGAGGCAAAGCAAAAAGACTCTTCCCAACATTCTTTACAATCACACCCCGGAGTGGGGACAAAGGGAAAAGGGAAAGAGAAAGAAAAAAAAAAAACACCGTATTTTATTATAGGGAGAGAAAGAAAAAGAAAAAAAATTATTCACATATGAAAATGATTATAAAAATTAGAAGTTCTAGTGTCTCCACATAAGAAATCAGAACAAGAATTCTGGAACCATGAAAAATCTGAATGCAGTGAAACAACCAATGGATCACACTAGCTCTCCGGTAACGGTCACTAACCAAAATGGAAACTCAGAAATGACAGATAAAGAATTCAAAAGCATGGATTGCAAAGAAACTCAAAGAGACCCAAGACAAGGTTGAAAATCAACATGGAGAAACTTCTATATCAATCCAGGAAATGAAGGAAGACATAAACATTTTAAAAAGATATCAATCAGAATTTCTGAAATTGAAAAACTTAAGGAATTTCAAAATATAATTGAAACACTTATTACTAGACTGGATCAAATAGAAAAAAAGAATTTCAGAGCTTGGAGCTGGTCCTTCAAACTAGCCAAATTAGACAAAAATTAAGAAAAAATAATTTAAAAAAATGAACAAAGTCTTCAAAAAATATAGAATTATGTAAAGCAACCAAACCTACAAATTATCGGCATTTTTGGAATCAACAAAAAAAGTAAACAACTTGGAAAACATATTTGAGGGATTAATTCAAGAAAATTTCCCTAATCTTGCTAAAGAGGTAAACATCCAGATACAGGAAACCCAGAGAAGAACTGTGAGATACTGTACAAAATATACATCACCAAGACACATAGTCCCCAGACTGTCCATGGCTAACCCTGAAGAAAAAATCTAAAAGGTAGCTTGAGAAAAAGACTAGATTACATACAAAGGGAATCCCATCAGGCTAACGGGAGACTTTTCTGCATAAATCTTATAAGCCAGAAGAGACTGGAAGCCTTTTTTCAGCATTCTTAAAGAAAAGAAATTAAAACCCAGAATATCATATACCACCATTTAAGCTTCATAACAAAGGAGATACATTTTTTTTCTAGTCAAGCAAGCACTAAGGAAATTCATTATCACTATATCAGCCTTAAAGAAGATTCTTAAGGGAGTTCTAAACATGGAAATGAAAGCATGATACCTGCTACCACAAAAACACACTTAAGTACATAGTCCACAGAGCCTATAAGGCAACGACACAATAGAAACTACAAAGCAACAAGCTAGCAACTTCACAACAAGATTAAACCTCACATATCAATATTAACCTTGAATGTGAATGATCTAAATGCCCCATTTAACAGGCACAGAATTGCAAGTCGGATTAAAAAGCAAGATTCATCCATCTGCTGTCTTTAAGAAACCCATCTCACACACAATGACAACCATAGGTTCAAAGTAAAGGGTTGGAGAAAGATCTGTCACTCAAATGGAAAAAAAAGGAGTTGCTATTCTTAGATCAGATAAAATAAACTTTAAACAATGATTTAATAAAGCCAAAGAAGAACATTACATAATGACAAACAGTTGAAATCAACAAGAGTACTTAACTATTCTAAATATATATGCACCCACCACTGGAGCACCCAGGTTAATAAAACAACTACTTCTAGACCTATGAAAAGACTTACAGAGCCACAGAATGATAGTAGGAGAATTCAACACCCTACTGACAACATTAGATAGACCATTGATGCTGAAAACTAACAAAGGAATTCTGGACTTGAATACAACACTGACCAATTGTATCTAACAGACATCTATAGGACACTCCACTTATCAACAAGAGAATATACATCCTTCTCATCTACACACAAAACATTCTCCAAGATCAACATTATGTTTGGCCATAAAGCAAGTCTCAATAAATTTAAAAAAAATCAAAATGACACCAACCACATTATCAGACCATAGTGGAATAAAAATATATATCAATATAAAATAGTTTCCCCAAACCACACAAGCACATGGAAATTAAACAACTTGCTCCTGAATAACTTCTGAGTAAACAATGAAATTAAGGCAGAAAACAAATATTTATTTGAAATATATGTAAACAGAGACACAACAAACCAAAATATAGGAGATACAGTGAAAGCAGTGTTAAGAGGAAAGTTTATAACCCTAAACACCTATATCAAAAAGTTAGGAAGATCTCAAATTAATTTTCTAACCTAGCAATCGCATTACTGGGTATATATCCAAAGGGAAATACATCATTCTGCTGAAAAGACACATTTACTCTTATGTTCATTGCTGTTCTACTAACAATAGCAAAGACATGGAATCAACCTAGGTGCTCATCAACAGTGGATTGGATAAAGAAAATGTGGTACATATACATCATGGAATACTATGCAGCCATAAATATGAAATCATGTCTTTTGTGGCAACATGAATGGAGCTAGATACCATTATCCTAAGTAAATTACATGTTCTACTTGCAATTGGGAGCTAAACATTAGGTACTCATGGATATTAAGTTGGCAATAATAGACACGGGGGACTACTAGAATGAAAGGGATGGATGAGGGAAAAACTAATGATTGAGTACAATACTCACTAGCTGCTTGACAGGATCATTCATATCCCAAACCTCAGCAACACACGATATACTCATATGACAAACCTGCACATGTACCCCTTGAATCTAAAATGAAAGTTAAAATTATTAAGTAAATCAGTACATACAGAGAAAAATATCTATACCTCTCTATATGGAGAGATAGTTCAGATATACATATATGAGGAAAGTTTATAGCTCTAAACACCTACATCAAAAAGTTAGAAAGGTCTCAAAGTAATTAATTTTCTAACATAGCAATCGCATAACTGGGTATATATCCAAAGGGAAATATATATATATATGGAGAGTGAGTTCAGATATATATATATATACACACACACATACATATATATACACACACATCTCAAAATCTATCAAAATTTTGAAGTATATATCAAAATCTTAAAAGATGGAAAGAGTAAAATGATTTGAGAAATATTTATCTATGTCAGAAACAAGAAAGTGATTAGACAGAATGCAGTGAAGTTGCATTAGAGGTAATCTGAAGCTTATGAGATTACTAAGTGTGTTAAGTGTTGGCATAGTAAAAACAGTAGTAAGAAATAAAGGTTGCTATGTGGGTGACTTGCAATAATAACTATTACAATAGGATAATTTCAACAACAATTTCTTAAAATATACATATGTATAACATATATTAAAATACCACACAATATGAATATAAAAGGATGCAGTAGTCATCATTTTTATATTTAAAATATATCACATATCTAAAATGTTATCAGTCTAAAAATAATAAACCACTTACTTAAAATCTACTACTCTTGCTAAAATGGAAAGCCTAAATGGAACAAATAGACATCATATTTCATAAATAGACATATAAGCCCCTTTTCAATGATTTGAGTACCCACAGCCAGGATGAGAGTAAAATAATGAACACATTCCTTTATATGAGGTCTCTTTTCGTGTTTTGCATGATAATTAAAGACAAAGATTCTAATGACTGACAATTCTGGGATTCCAGAGAAAGGACAGTTCACAAAAGTGATGAATTACCCCAGATTTTTCTTTTCTGGTACTCTGTAATCCAGAGTGTTCAGCTTCCTCTTAATGCTGCCTCCTTCTGTGGTTGTTCAATGGCTTCCTGTCTTACAGTCACAAGAGGAAGCTAGCATTGGCTTCCTCATTCCTATTTGCTGCAAGAGAGGTGGCAAATGCCTCTTTCTAACTATGAAAAATAAACTTCCATCCCTGTTAATGCCCCATACATAGGTACCTATAAAGCAGTACCTATCACCAGTTTAATGTCAATCACTAAAGTGTTTAAAGCTGAGTTTCTGAGCCAATGGCTAATAAGGCAGGTGAGATTTAGCTTAGATTTAGCGTAGATGAATCAGGGCTGAGATGTGGAGTTTTGGCCAATTGCCTAAATAAACAGGCAGTCAGGAAGACGTGAGATGTATTTGAGGGAACTGACTATGCTGTCTACCTCATCTAACACGGAGAGCTTTCCCATATGCAGGTGGCATGAGAAACGAATTCAAAATATGTAAATTCTAAAAGTGAAGAATCTTATCTTTAAAAACATGAACAATAGGTAAGTACATGTAAAATATAGGCTTAAAATGGTTATAATAACTAGAATTTCTGCCTGTTAGTAGCTAAAGAGATATTTCTCTGCCCTTTTTAATCCATGTCAAACAAATCAAAGAACAGGTACTTAATATGACACTTAATGGTATAGTTGGCTAATTTCAATAAGCTCAGTTATCACTTGTACTGGTGATATTTTAAATTGCAAGACGGAGAAGTGCATATTCTACAATTACATTCAACAATCATATTATTGTGAATCTATTTGTCAGGCATTACAAATAGATATGATATTTCCTTTTGACAGATGAGGAACCTAAGGCTTAGAGATGTCAAGTAACTTCTCCAAGGTCACTTAGTTAATAAGAGAAGATGCCAAGACCATAGCCAATTATTTTAATAGAGTCCAGTTATTTTTCCACTACATGCATTACAATGTAGCTACATTTTATCTATGTAAAACAAGATGCTAGGACACTTTCTGTCTTGGTTTTGGAGACAAAAAGTCTCCATAGGTTCTTAGCTTCACCTAAGCTAAGAACAACACAAAAAATGAGAAGCATACTTATATTCCATAGTGAAGAGCCAGCCCATGGGTGTAGGATTTATAATATACATGGTCTAAAACCTGTCTAGTAACTTTTGGCCTACCACCCTTTTCTAAAATAAATAAGAGGTTTGAGACTGAAGACACCAGGAAAAAGACTTCCCTTTTTGGGGAAATTTGTAGGACTGCTGAGATTGAGAGAATTTACCTTTAGCAATGTTCACTAGAGTTATACAGTATGTAAAATGTCAGCCTCAGGATTTAACACAGTGTAGACACTCAATGATAAAAACTAGTGTAACCCTTAATATGGGTCTGACCATAAGTTACAGAATACCCAACTTTAGCTGGTTTAAAACAATAAGAGAAACTATTGGTCAACAACAGTGGAAGCTGTGGTGAGAATGGGCTTCAGCAAAGATCAGAGAGACTCAGGAATTTCATCATGGATCCAAGTTTCGTAACCCTCCTCAAGTGCACAGGGTCAATTTTACTCTAAGGCTGGTGCTTCACCATGTAGGTGGCAATTTAAAACTACGTGTTTTGGTGTTTACATCTAGCAAGACATAGAAAAAATTAGCTTTCATAGCTTTCATTTAAACACAGAAATATTCTTTCCTCAATATGTTCAGTAAGTCTATCTTCAATATGCATTGATCCATCCAAGCCTACTCTAAGCCATTCCTGCAAGACTGAAAGATCAAACATGTTTTGCCTAAGACAATTAAATGGGATGTAATAGAGGTTGAGTGTGGAGTTGGGAGGGCAACCACGACGTCCATAACTTCTGGGTAGAATCTTCACCATTTACATTCTTTTTTATTTATAAACATGGACAACTTAAAATGCTAACCTATAAGCTTAGATTCGTTAAAAGAAATTTTAAAATGACCATTGCTATCATGAGCCTGTGTGGTTTTTATAGCAGTAAAGGAGGACACGATTTAGAAAATACATTGGTTTGACGAAAAACAAAGGTTGAAAGACTCTATTAGAAAATAGAGCATAGAAAAGTAAATCCATCAGAACAAGGATTCCATGGTGGGCTCTGACTTGAAGGAGAGAAGACAGAAAGAAAATCAAACAAAACCAGAGTGCTATGGTTTGAATATCCCCTTCAAAATGCATGGTGAAATTTATTTGCTAATTTAACAGTGTATTAGCACCAGTAGAGTGGGGTGCTGCTGAAAAGATACCTGAACATGTGGAAGCAACTTTGGAACTGGGTAACAGACAGAGGTTGGAGCATTTTGGATGGCTCAGAAGACAGGAAAATGTGGAAAAGTTTCGCACTTCCTAGAGACTTGTTGAATGGCTTTGCCCAAAATGCTGATAGGGATATGGACAGTAAAGTCCAGGCTGAGGTGGTCTCAGATGGAGATGAGGATCTTGTTGGGAACTGGAATAAGGGTGACTCTTGCTATGTTTTAGCAAAGAGACTGGCAGCATTTTGCCCCTGCCCTAGAGGTCTGTGAATTTTGAACTTGATAGAGATTATTTAGGGTATCTGGCAGAAGAAATTTCTAAGCAGCAAAGCACTGAAGAGGTGACTTGTGTGCTGTTAAAGGCAGTCAGTTTTACAGGGGAAGCAGAACATAAAAGTTCTGAAAATTTGCAGCCTGACAATGCAATAAAAAAGAAAATATCATTTTCTGAGGAGAAATCCAAGCTGGCCGCAGAAATTTGTATAAGTAACAAGGAGCCCAATGTTAATCCCCAAGACAATGGAAAAAACGTCTCCAGGGCATGCCAGAGGTCTTCATGGCAGTCCCTCCTATCACAGGCCCAAAGGCTGAGGAGGAAAAAGTGGTCTTGGGGGCCAGTCCCAGGGTCCCCGTGCTGTGTGCAGCCTAGAGACTTGGTGTCCTGTGTACCAGCTGCTCCAGTTGTGGTAGAGCTTAGACCGTGGCTTCATAGGGTGCAAGCCTCAAGCCTTGGCAGCTTCCACGTGGTGTTGAGCCTGCCAGTGCAGAGAAGTCAAGAACTGGAGTTTGGGAACCTCCACCTAGATTTCAGAAGATGTATGGAAACGCCTGAATGCCCAGGGAGAAGTTTGCTGCAGGGGCAGGGCCCTCATGGAGAACCTCTGCTTGGGCAGTGTGGAAGGGAAATGTGGGGTCAGAGCCCCCACACAGAGTCCCTACTGGAGTACCACCTAGTGGAGCTATGAGAAGAGGGCCACTGTCTTCCAGACCCCAGAATGATAGATCCAACGACAGCTTGCACAATGCACTTGAAAAAGCCACAGACACTCAATGTCAGCCTGTGGAAGCAGCCAGGAGGGAGACTGTACCCTGCAAAGCAACGGGGGCATGCTCTTGTACTTCCCAACCTCCAGAAATGTGAGCTGAATAAACTTATTTTCCTTATAAATTTCCCAGTCTGTGGTATTCTGTTATAGCAGCAGAAAAGGAACAAAGGCACAGAGAAAGCAAACTCCTTTGCTTCTGAAAAAAGTGTCCATCTGAAAATTAAAGTTAAGGTGAGATACCACATAAGGTATTTTTGTTAAAGGAAGAGGTTTAAAAAGAACAGAGAGGCAGAGTTGGAATTCTGACCTTTCATATGGAACCATAGAATGTTCTACATTGTTAACCTAATTGAAACCTCTTCAAAATGTTAAACATTCCACATTATTGGATCAAATGATAGAATTTCTGGTGACTCAATACAAAGGAAGGATATAAGATCAAAAATAAAATAATGCCAAAGAAGTGGTCTTAAAGAATCCCTCTTTGATTTTTAAATAAGTCATTTCAAAATGGTAATGCAGTCTCACGCATTAGAGATAGCACAAGATTTTGAAGATGTTTTCTCTCCAATTTGTTTCAATTTTCTCTCTATGTTCATATACCTTAATATACAAATTCCTTTAATTCATGGATATGTTACTCTTGGATATAAGGATCTTGGAAATCTGCCTGCCTCTGCATACCTTCCACCACCACCATTTTATAAAACCCTTTAACATTCTATGTTTTTTTCAAAGTTTGAGGACTATGTTGCCCAGAACTCTTGAAATGAAACATTCTAAAAAGTCGTAATGATTTTTCAGCACTTTTTTTTAAAAAAATAGGGTCTTACTTTGTCACCCAAGTTGGAGTGCAGTGGCATCATTACAGCTCCCCGCAGCCTGAACCTCCTATGCTTAAGCAACACTCCTGCCTCAGCCTCCTGAGTAGCTGGGACTATAGGTGTGCACAACCACTCCTAGCTAATTTCTACATTATTTGTAGAGATGGGGTTTTGCCATGTGCTCAGGCTGGTCTTGAACTTGTGGGCTCAAGCAATTTGCCTGCCTTGGCCTCCCAAAGTGCTGAGATTACAGGCATGAGCCACCACATCCAGCTGATTTTTAGCATCTTTGACTAAAAAAATCTAAAATACCAATGTTCTCCACACATCAGAAAATAGCACACGTCTGTCCAATTAAATTAGTTCTGATTATAGTAAATAAAACCTTACCAGTTCACTACAGCAAAGGGAAAAAATTAATCCAATTTTGTTAACCATGCATAATTTTGAAGTAATAATAGACTATTATATAGTTCAGTAACAATTCTTGTATGATAATTATATGTCAAGTATTATGTTTTGTGCTTTGGGGGTAAATAATATGTTGATTCATCTAAGCAAATCTCATGATTTAATGTAAGTCCTTGAGGAGAAGCATGACCAAATTTATGTGGGCAGCCAAGAGAAAGAGAAAGAAGTATCCCTCTAAATATCAACTAAAGAGGATGATAATTATGATTCTCAAGTCTCTGTTCCTTTGAATTCCATATCCCATCCACTTAAAGTAAGCACTTTTAAAAATCTTATGTTTTCCATTTCTTTTTTTCCTTAATTTATTGAGGTATGATTGCCATACAAAGGATACACATAATGCCATTTCTCTTATATAATTTAGTTTTGCATATTTATGCATGTAGTTATGTTTCATTTTAACTGCTGCATGACATTGCCTTTTAAAATACAACTCCATTTACATATTAATTGCTCTGACAGTGGGCATTTGATTGTAACCTGCTGATGCTACAAGAAATACAGGCATGAACCTTCTTTTCTAACTCACATTAAGAAAAATTTATCTGGAATTATTACATTCCTACAACTGAATATATGAAGTTATAAGGCATGAACACACTCAACTTTAAAAGATAATGACAAATTGTTTCAGGAAGAGATTGTATCAATTTACCTCTCATCAGCAGGCAAAATTATTAATGTTCTCTACACACTGTAACTTGATTATAAATGATTAACAGTTTGCCAATATGGTATATTTGAAATGGTATCTCACTTCGTTCTTAATTTTTAATTTTCTGATTACCAATAACATTGAAAGTACTTCTATAGGTTTATTGATCGTTCTTCTTTCCTCTTCTGGCAAATACATCTTTATGCCTTTTGACTATTTCACACTGAGATTCTGGAGATTTTAGATTGTATATAGATTTTTTTGTATACCTCAATACTACTCATTTCAATTTTATGTGTTACATATATCTTCAGTTTTATGTTAATAAAGACAAGTTTATAGATTGTCTTTGTACTAGATGTACTTTATCAAATATATGTTTAAAAATCTTAATTGTACAAGAGTCTAATTTCTCAGTACTGCTTTCCATGGTTTGCACACATTTTTCTTTACTATTTATTGTTAATATGTTGCCTAAAATTTTCCCTTACATTATGAAGACTCTCCCATTATTTACTTTGAAATTACTAACAGACTGTTTTGCACATTTAAGTCTTTAGCTGGAATTGATTTTGGATTACTGTAGTCATTTTCAAATATTTTCACATGCACATTCAGTAGCTGGTTCTACAGCTTTCTTAATAATCCATTCTTTCCCACTAATCTGCAAAGACATTTCTATGATATACAGTTTTCATATCTGCATAGATTTGTTTGTAGACTCTCTTTTTTTAATCAGACTCTTCCATGAATATTTCCTTGTTAATACCACAGGCTTTTATTTTCCTTTTATAAATTATATTTCTCTTTACATTTGTTTTATTTTATTTTTCATGGAAAATAATAATTACATATATTTGTGGAGTAAAATGTAATGCTGTGATATATCTATACATTGTACCAGATTAAATCGAGACAATTAACATATTCATCACCACACATCTTTTCTGGAGAAAAAAATTTTAAATCTATTATTTTAAACTTCAAAATGGGAGGAGCAGCAAAAGTGGAAAGTTTGGGCATGAGATCAAATTTAAGCTGTTATTAGCATAAAATAGCCTGTTTTAAGATGTCTTATGCAAACTTCATAGTAATCACCTTCTCTTTCTTGCTTAGGTTATATAAAAATTGTTGTGATTTGGTAGAATACCTAAACCTGTTCATTTAAAAAGAAATATGTCTTGGCTATTTTTGATCCTTTCTCTTTACATATTAATTTTAGAATTGCCAAGTTATATAACAAAACCTATTATCCTTTTGTTTGGAATGACATTTAATCTGTGGATCAATTTTAGAAGAAGATATCTAGATACAAAACTAACGCAAAATTCAGAACGTTTTACCTTTTATTTTTTCTTTGTCATAGAGATGTCTATGTCATAGAGATGTCACTAGGTTGCCTAAGCTGGTCTCGAACTCCTGGCCTCAAACAATCCTCCTACCTTAGCCTCCCAAAGTGCTGGGATTATAGGTGTAAGCCACTGCGCCTGGCCCAAAACCTTTTTCTTAATGAAAATTATAAATCTTACAGAGTTTTTAATCCTGTCTTGAAAGACAATATAATTTTTAAAAGAGATGTACCTGATCTGTTTATAAGACTGTTTTGACATATATTAGATTATCTCAAGCTGTCCCTCATGTGTCTCAGTCTTTCTTGCATATTCCCCGATATTACCTCCACTTCTTGTTGTATCATTTCTTCCGTTCTCGTCAACTTCAACAATTCTTTCTTCTATTGTGTCTAATCTGCTGTTGGATGGATTTTTAATTACAACATTATTTTTCATTTAATGAAGTGTCATTTAGCTCTTTTCCTAATCCTCATGGCAATTTTTCATAGTATACAATTCCTAAGCATCATTTTGATTCATATATATGTGTGCATACACATGCACACACACAAAACGGTTTTATATTCCAGAATTATCATTCCAAAATCTAAGAACATGGAGAGTCTAATTCTGTTTTCTTTGACTTCTTCTTGGTTGTATTGTCTTATTCATAATGCGTTTTTTTATGTTTTCAGATGTATTCCTGTGATTTTACATTAATAACAGTTTATCTGTGAAACGGAATCTTCTTTTTAAGGTTTTCTTTAGAAAGAAACTGTGATTGCTTCTGCAAGCTATCCATTAAACACTACAAACCTGGGACTACATTAAAAGTAATTTACAGCTTAAGATTATTTGGAACAAGAAGTACAGAATATTCAGGTCCCAAATCTATTCTACATGATGGGGAGATTTGAATTCTCAGGAGATATATACATATGTCCTCTGTGTTTTTCTCCCCTTCTATGTAGAACATTTTTCTTATCTCTATGATTCAGTAAGATGTTACTCTCCAGGGCTGGCTTTATATAGGCAACTCCTATGAGACCCTCATCTACATGTGCCCTGGCTTTGTACCCTGTCCTCTGCACCATGTACCCATCAAACAAAATAAGCTCAACGTCTTCTATGACTACTTTATAGTTTTTATACAGCTCTAGCTTCCTATTTTCACTTGCCTTTTATGCCTTAGTCAATACTCATTCGATTCCTGAAAATATGTGTGCATGCGTGTGCGTATGTGTGTGGGTGTACATATGTATTGCCTATTTAAGACCATTTTTTTCATCTTTGTAGTAAGATGTTTCTTCAGGATATCTAGTCTTCTTTCTTGACAGAGAGAAACTCATGGATATAATTTAAATACATAGTTTCAATTACTATTTTGAGTGATTTTCAGAGTGGAGTCATCAAATTATTGATTATCTAAATATGCAAGTCAGATGAAAAATGCATCAGCACATATACACCATGGAATACTATGCAGCCATAAAAAAAGATGAGTTCATGTCCTTTGTAGGTACATGGATGAAGCTGCAAACCATCATTCTGTCGCAAGGACAGAAAGCCAAACACCACATGTTCTCACTCGTAGGTGGGAATTGAACAATGAGAACACATGGACACAGGCAGGGGAACATCACACACCGGGGCCTGTCGTGGGGTCGGGGGACGGGGGAGGGATAACATTAGGAGATATACCTAATGTAAATGACGAGTTAATGGGTGCAGCACACCAGCTTGGCATGTGTATACATATGTAACAAACATGCATGTTGTGCACATGTACCCTAGAACTTGAAGTATAATTTAAAAAATTTAAAAATAAAAAATATATATGTTTTAATTTGTTTTATCCCTTTTTCAATCTAAAGTAGATCAAGAAATCTTGTTAGTTATAACAAAATGAACTACTATTATCTTCATAAAACAGTATCTTATGCTGTTACTCTACATTAACAAAAAACACACCTACATTAACAGGAAACCCTCTACTGAATACATATTTGAAAAGATATAACCACGTTAGGTATTTCAAAAAAGATTAAGAAAAATATGTTAAATGCTTTTAAAAACTTATTCCTGAAGTAACTTTAATAAGCCATGATGCAAGAGTATGCCACTAATGAAATTTCATTAATTTGAAGTCCTTTCAAAATGTTTGGAGACTGAGACTCTTGGTCAGTATCTAAAATTGTTTCATACTAATACCAAAGAAAATGTATTGATACTTTCTTGCAGTATTATATTGGAACACAATAATCCAATACATTCATATTATTGCTTTAAAAGTTTTGCCTGTAAACAACCTTGATCTACAGTCTTCAAGAGCTGTAAATTATACTACATTTATTTAAAAGACAACAATATATTCTATCATGATATTTGAATTTAGAATAGGTAATAATTAAGTGTGAAACACGCCAGTTAGTCTATGCTCAGAGAAAAAAAAACTGAATACAGGCCCTGGATTTCAATATTATTGTTTGATGCTTTTTATTTGATGGTGGTTGTTTATTTAGGTATATTTACATCTATAGTAAAGTCACTTAAGCTGCAATACATTTTATTTTCCTTTGAATTTTTATATTGGAGTAAAATATTATATTTTTCTATTTAGGTAAAATTGAGACAAATCTACTTTTTACTATTGACAAAATATTAACTCAAAATAAGCTTATATTATCTTTTATATTTCCTATTATGCTATTTTGGCTTTTTGGCTATATGTTCCTAAAATTAAAATAAAATTCCAGGAAGATACAAGTAAATAAAATAAAACAGATAAATTAAGATGGGTGACATACAGTGTCATTCTTCACATACAAAGAGAAATTCCACACCACAGTTAATGCTATAAAAAGGACTGGCAGGTAAGATATTCAATAGGCTTAAAATATGACTAGGAAAATATTTGAAGCAAAATATAAAAAAGGAATTAATACATGGGAAAATAAATGTATGAAGTATTTCCCTGTCAACATCTTTAATAAACAGTGTGAAAAATGAGAAGTGATTTCAAGTTCTAGTCCTCAAAAATATAACAGAATTCCAAGTCTGGGTCCAAAAATGTACAGAGCAGGTTAGGTCATCTCATTTTGCCATATAAGCAAGGAAGTCTTCTGAGTTCCACTCAAAAGAAATTAGGAAACAACCAAAGGAATCTTTCACTAGCCAAATTTGTGTTAATTTCAGCATATTGATATTCAATAGGCAATCAATCCAACAGATATAAAATAAAATAAAATATATATTATGTTTGATGCTAGGAAACCAAGATATTCTGAAAACCAGCAAACAAAGGAAAATAATCAAACTTACAGTTACATGAACTGTGCCTAAGTGGAAGAAACAGTTGGTACGAGTTTTACTTTCTAGAAGACTTACAGCTAAGAAATAAAGAAAGAAAAATAAACCTAGAATATCACCACGTTCATATCCTAATGAATAATGACTCTCAAATAATGCTCAAAATATCATTAGGGAACACCAGATGGATACGTTTTTAACACATGTGTTAGGCTCACAATACATGAAAGCTCAATTCTTAAGATAAACCAGACACAATGTACCTCCTGATAAAAACAGTTGGAAGTACACAACGCTATCTATGAAGAATATTGATTTTAAAATGTGAATCTAAATCTTATCAAGCCTCTGTATCTTGTATCTAGCTACTAGTCCACAGGAAATACAATCAATAACAAAACGTAAAAAAAAAAAGGAATTCAGCAAAATCCATAATGGGAGGGATCAATATAGAACAAAGCAGCCTACTTACTTCAAGGAATTCCTGGCAAGGGAGGTGGGAAATGAAAATTCATAGACTTGAAGATACTTCAGAAACATCAACTAATTGTAATTCTTGGAATTTATTTGAATCTTGATTAGAAGAACAATCATGAAAAGAACCTTTATGAAGCAAATACGGAAATTTGAACAGTGATTAGATATTTGATTATATTAATAAGGTAATAGTAGCTTTTTAAGCCTGATAATAGTATCACAGGTTTGTTTTTAAAAGTTCTTAATCTTTAGCAATGAATGCTCAAATATTTACAGATGAAATAATACAATGTTAGAGATAAATATTTTAAGTTGTTGAATGAGAAGAGGCAGATGAATGAATAAGATTAGCCATTTGGTGATAATTATTGAAGGTGGATAATGTGTACTTGGCATTTATTATACTGTATTTTAAATGTATGTTTAAAGTTTCCGGCAATCAAAATAACAAAAATATTTAATATGCAATATGATATAATCCCTAAGAGAAATGTCTTCCCAAAAATAAAAACTTTATGAATATGGAAAAAGTACTAATATGAAATACTTTACTGTACATTTTGGTACTTAATTCATCATCTGTTTTAATATCAAAAATTGGTTTTGATAATTTGTTAATAGTTTAATTTGTATTGGCATATATATGTCATCTTATTTATTGCTCAAAACAGTTAACATGTATAAATATTTAGACATTAGCAGGTATTTAGTTTTTGAACATCTTTTAATTAGGTCAATACCTTCCCTCATTAACTAGTCATTTAGGGGCCAAGAAACTTTTGTGTAAAAGAATTAACAGTTAATATTTTAGTCTTTGGGGCAATATATAACCATTGAGCTCTACCAATGTAGTCCAAAAGCAGCCATAGATGATATGCAAATGAACAGAGGCATGAGTAAGTTCCAATAAAACTTTATTTACAAACATCAAGCAGGGGGTTGCATTCGTCAATGTGCTCTAGTTTGCTAACACTTGAAAATAATTAATTTAAATTAGTATTGTACTGACAGAATAACAGAAAATAGATTAAGAGAGAAAGTCCAGAAGTATATTTTAGTATATATAAAAGTAAAGTAAGTGGCAAGGTTCATATTTCAATTTAGTGAGAAAAGCATGATGAGTTTCATCATTTACTAATGCTAACATACTTAATAGCCATACAGACAAAATCTAATTTAAATCCTTTCATCACATTATTTGTAAAAATATACAAAGATTGATTATGCAAAATAAAGCAATATATCATCTTAGAAACATGATATTATCATATTCATTCAGTGACTTGGGAAGAATTCTTAACCAAAACATAAAACTTAAGAGGAAAAAGACAGATTTGACAGTAGCAGGTAGTACCCAAAATTTAATAAATAAGACAGATAATCCAATAGTAATGTAGGAAAAGGATAAGCATGGCAGAGAATGCCTCTGACCTCCTAATGTATATTCTTGCCTTCCACCTTAGTAAGATAAAATTGCATTTAAGGCAGGCCTTCTTCCAACAATGTAAAACACTACACTTCATAAACTATATTGTAATTATTTGTGGCAGTACCTACCTTCCAGTTAATACTATATAGGCAGGCAGAACAAATTTGTGCATTTAGGGAAGATTTATTTTAAAGGGAGGGAGCAAGTGCACCTCCTTTTCCTCCTCCTGTCTCTACATGCCAGGGATGTAGATTTAATGGTTAAAGTTCCAGCCCATTTTCGTGGATCAGGTAAAAGATGCTAAGCACAACAGAACACAGACTGGACCCAGGACCCAGGTTATAGTAGAAAGCCACCATTATAGGCACTGCTAACATCTAGATCTCTTTTATAACAGAAACTTATCTTTCTATATGGCTTTACATACTATTATTTACAGTGTTTTATTTAATGCAACTAAATCTAGCTCTACTTAACAAAAGGAAAAATATTCATATGAAAGCAAAACAAAAGCCCGCAAACACATAAAAAGATGCTCAATATAAAATTAAAACAACACTAAGATATTAGATAACATCCATCACATAGACTGGTATAAATTTAAATGAATGATAATAACTACAGATGGCCTGAGTGAGAAGACATACTCACATATGAATAAAGGAATGTGGATTTTGATAGGCTTTTTAAAAGTCAGACTGACAATATAAACAGAATCTTTGACTCAATAAGCCCTCTCCTGGGAATCTATTCCATTGAAGAATAAAAAATAAAAAATAAAAAATTTTAAAAAAAGCACTAAAATTTTTAGGATAAAGTACAGAAACGGCCGGACATGGTGGCTCACACCTGTAATCCCAGCACTTTGGGAGGCCGAGGTTGGAGGATCACCCGAGGTCGGGAGTTCAAGACCAGCCTGGCCAACATGGAGAAACGCTGTCTCTACTAAAAATACAAAATTAGCCAGTCGTGATGGCACATGCCTGTAATCCCAGCTACTCAGGAGGCTGAGGTGGGATAATCGCTTGAACCTGGGAGGTGCAGGTTGCGGTGAGCCAAGATCGCACCATTGCACTCCAGCCTGGGCAACAAGTGCAAAACTCTGTGTCAAAAAAAAACAAAAAAAAAAGTTCCGGAACTTTGTTGTAGCATGTTTGTAGTAGTAAAAATAAACAAACAGCATAAGTGATATCAATGTGCATATGGTTGAATCAATTATTGCCAGGTTTATTATGATGGGATAAAAAGGAAGAAATTGGAGGCACAGTAGTCAAGTTGGCAGGATTTCCACAAGGTATGCTTAAATGATTAATGTGTATACGTTGAACACAAGTTTACAAAAGCAAACAGTGATAACACATGTGTAAGTGAGGGGTGTGGGTGTGTTTGAGGGATATGAAACACGTTTGTATTGCAGAGAAAAGAAAAACAGATATTGTATAAACTATATAAAGATCGTTTACTATAAATGTGTAAACCCTGTATATAAAATACCATGTAAATGACATATGAGCATAATGAGACATATGGAACTATAAACATGTTGCTAGGTTACCTTGAGTAGGGATAGAGTATGATATGGATAAAGAACAGAAGAGCTGGACAAAGAAGAAAAAGAAAAGAAAAGTGTATTACCCTATCATAAAACAGTCTATACAATGTCTTATATGATCCTATCATTTTTATGTCTGTCTGTGTGCATGCTTATGTATATGTGCATATGACGTAAGAGTAATCACCAAAATATTAATGGCATTTCACAATTACTAAAATATTTTATAATGCAAAATAGTATGTATTATTTCATATATGTTCCTTAATTTCAAATTGTAATATTATCATTTCAAAACAATTCAAAAATTACCTTAGTCACCTCAAGAATTTTCACAATCTAGAACAAGGTACTTGGAGAACTGGCAGCTGTGGTGACATTAGTATTTATGTCACTTTAGTATCTTTGTTGTCTCTAAGAAAGCAACTGAGGCCATAGCACTGCGCAGAGTAGTGTGTTACATTGTTTAGTTTGGGGATTTTTTTTTTATTTTTGCATTTTCACCAAATAGATTTTGAGGCTCATTTGCAATTATATTAGTTAATTTATATGAAAAATTGTTACTCTCTCCTTTTGAAAAATGGTACATTTTAGTATTTAAGTGCTCCTAGAAACAAACAAGTGAACCAGTAAAGCCACATAATAACTTATCCTTATAATTAATGAGTGAGTGATACAGCTGACTAGCCTACATACATCACATCATTAAACTGTATCTCATTTTTATCTTTTATTCTTTAAGAGCATTTGGAAGATGAGCAGGTAGAATCCAGAAACCTAATTGCTTACAATAAGTTTATTTCTCCAGAGATGTATAATATATTCCAGCTAACATAATAGGTTTCTTCTTTATTTCCTCTCCCAAAATATCTTTAAAAGATACTTATTTCCTGTTGTATATACAACTAAGGAACGATAATAGGAAAGTGGCATGATCCTTCACTTTCAAAAAAACACAAAGCTAAGAAACACCTCTGCAACTAGTACAATAAGTGATAATATATTTTGACATGTGGATAGGAAAAATAATGACAACTATAAAAATAAGTCTATCCAGGTGTGGTGGCACGCATCTGTAGTTCCACCCGCTTGGGAGGCTGAGGCAGGATGATGGCTTGGGCTCAGGAGTTCAAGACTGTGGTACACTATGATTGCCTGTGAATAGCCAATGCACTGCAGCCTGGGCAACATAGTGAGACTTCAAATCTCACAGACACACACACACAGAGAGAGAGAGAGAGAGAGAGAGAGAGAGAGAGAGAGAGAAAAGTATAACAATAAGTCTAGAAAATGGAGGTCAAATTCTCACTGAAAGTGAGGTACAAGCAATACAAGGCCAGAGGTAAAGTAATGAGATGATGAGACAATGCCAGGGAAAAGAGAGAAAGGGAAATCACGTGGCTACTCTGGAAGTTATAAATAATTCCCCAACTACAGCTCTGGCTGCTGATGTCTAAAGATGGCCTCCATATTAGAGAAATATATTTGGAAAAGCATTCATTTAAATTCAAATAAGCGCAATGCAGTAGCCACTGGTAAAGGTCTGTTTTGGCCACTGTTAGCCCACACACTTCTTTTAAAAACATTATTGTCCTTCAGCTTCTTTTTGTGGAGATATGATCTCCTTGAGTCTAGAATATAGAAGGTCATATTGACAGGGTAAAAAATTCTGGGGTAAATAATGGAGCTACCTAGATCGGAGTGATAAGCAAGTCAGACACAGAATTTTGAAGATTTTCTCCATCCTTATGCTCTGCTTGACATTGTTAAATATGAGTATTAAGTCCCATTAAAAGAAGATACATGAAAGTCAAAGTCCCCAAAGAAAACAAATCTACACTATCAAGGTGTGATACAAAATTGTTACAATAATGCTGATAAAATACTTACATTTATTGTACCACCTGACACTATCATCTTTGAAGGCAAATGTGCTGATTTTCAAAGGGTTACCATGAAATGATCATCAAATCTGGGGCATTTACTCTGAGAATGTGCACATTATTGTAGGCAATTATTTATAAATAGTTATTCTCCCAAAAGAAAGAAAACAAGGAGCAAAAACTGATGTGTGTGGCAGCCTTTTTAAAGAAAACACTTTTGCTGGGAAAAAAACAAAAAACAAACAAAAAAAAACACTGTCTTACCTGTCATTGCTCTGAAGGCCATTCTGTTTAATAGAATAAGTTTAAAAGGAAAACTGAGAAAACTGATTAAATAGTCAGAATGGAATAATTAATGCAGTTTTTTACAAGCTGACAAAATGTTGTCACTTCATGGGTCTTGATTTTTCAGGAAAAATAAAAGGAAAAAGTCCAATGTTTGTTTATAGAAATCTTCTCTTCCAAGAAAAAAAAGCTATTTTTGAAGAAACCATTAATTTTACTAAATGTGTCCTTATAACATATGCACATGCTATGTAAATTAGAACCCATCATCAAATATTACTATATTTAAAGGGCTGGAAGAAATTAACTGAAGAATTAAATTAATTAAATTGTTTAATTTCTAATTAACTAAACAACGATATTCCATTTGTAGATAAATACAGACATTATCATCAGACTTTGATAGCTACACTGCAGTCTTAAAATATTCCTAGTTTATAAAATCTGAATTTTCATTTCATTCCTCTTTCATTTTTACCAGGAGAGCTAAAAGGATCTTTTAATAATTGTCACACATTCGAATTTGAAAGTGATAAAGGGGTGCCATGGTTTTAAAAGATACAGGTAAAAATACACTTTGAACTATTTTAGCCTCAGGAGGGAGTTCAGTACTGCTTCACCAACTTCTTTCTCTCTCTTAACTGAGAGATAGAAAATATATATTGTTTAAGTAGTAGTGTATATCCTTATCTCCAGAAAGTACTGTAGAAATTAGTGTGATTATGCTTATAAAACACATTCATTCTGGGTTTAGTGGCTCATGTCTATAGTCCCAGAGCTTTGAGAGGCCCAAGCAGGAGGATGGCTCTAGGTCAGGTGTTCAGGATCAGCCTGTGCAACACAACAAAACCCCATCTCAAAAAAATAAAAAATAAAAATTAGCTGGCGCAGTGGCATGTTCCTGTAGAGCCAGCTCTCTGGGAGGTTGAGGCAGGAGAATCCCTGAAACCCAGGAGTTTGAGAGTGTAATGAGCTACGATTGTGTCACTGCTCTCCACCCTGGGTGAAAGAGCGAGACCCTGTCTCTAAAAAACAAACAAACAAAACCTTCACCACCAACAAGAAGAATCACATTCAGCCCTTGAATAGAAGCTGCTTTAATTATAACCAGAATTATTGAAAGTATACAATGTATGGTGCCAGTGGCTTCCTATTGATTTAATTTAGAAGTGTGAACTGTATTTCACTTCAGCATCCTTGTATGTCGCTTCATGGATTCCCTGCATGTGCCACCTTGAGCAAGCTACTTAACTTCTCTGAGTCTTGGTGTCCTCATTTGTAACACAGACAAAAACCTCAATTTACCTAGGCTTCACTAACTTGTACTTACAGATGGAGTCATGCTAATAGCAATTAGCAGGATTTTATTTAAATTCTCTCTCATTTGCTCACATTGGGTCTGTATTCATCTACCTAATCAGTACATGATCTTCAGAATAAGTCCTATGCTTAGTCCTGGGCAAGTCTCCTATTTCTAATATTGCTACTGCTCCAGGAGGTTCTGCTCCAACTAACTGCTTAGCCCAAAGCACTACCTACCAGTGCTCCTCATACTTTAGGATGGGGAGCTTGTTAAAATGCAGATTCCTAATAGTAAATCAGGGGTTGGGCTTGAGGTTCCGCTTTTCTGAAAGGCTTCTAGGTGATGCTAATGCTGTTGATCCATCAGCCAAGTTTAAAAGGTCACAACTTTCAAAGTAGTGCTAATCTCCACTTTTCCCTTTGATATTCATGATGCTGTCACCATCATCCTGAGCCTTCTCAACAACGAGTCCTCTTGGTGATCTGTGTCAAGTGAGATAGTGGAGTTTCTCTTCCTATCACATTCTGCATTTCCCTGTGTATTACAGCATTTATTGAAGCAGCCTTTTTCTCTGCCCATAAAGCACACCTATATTCATGCAGGTAGGACAGGGACAGGGACAGGTTTTTATCTATCAAATCAGAAACGTCCACTTACCAATTAATGCTTTGTGATGAACCCACTTCGGCCTGACATCTTCTTTGTTTAAAGAGGTATTCTGTCCCAAGAGAGACTTTATCACACAAATTATCTTTTGTAACATCTGCCCAATAAGTTCACTATATATTTTTGGTCTGAGCTCTAGCAGTAAGAAATTGACAGTTTAAATACAAGCTTAGGTCCCCATTGGTATAATAATTACTTTCAAGAGTTATTACGAGGACTAAAAAATAATGTATGTACAGCATGTGGTTCATATTATGAGCTGAGTAAGTGTTATGTATTCTGATGGTCCATCAATACTTAGTGAATACTTGGAGTGATAAATGCTTCATAAAATAACATTCCCTTTAGCAGACTCATAGTTCTACAATAGCATCTAATTGATCAACATATTCTAAATTTTAAAAAGGTGTGTTTATTCATGTATTCTGCAAATATATAATGAGTATTAACTCAATCAGATATGTTACCAAGAAATAAGAGATGAAAAACCCCTGTCCTTACAGAGCTAACATTTTGGAGGGAGCATTAAAGCCAAACATTAATTTACCTTTCCATTTTGTATTAGCTAGGAACGAAGTTTTCTTATTTAATAAGCTCTTGGTATGTATGCCTACACCACTATGTTCAAAATCACTACCACCACAGCCATCATCTTTACTGTTACCAAGAACAAGGGAGGTTAACTACCTTGCATTCTAGTCCCAACCATTATCTAAGAGATAGCTGTTTCTGGACAAGAAATTTCCTCTCTTGGTTATGATCTTCCTCATCTATAAGTTATAGTATTGTACAATATTAGTTCTAAGTTTCTTCCCAAACCTATTACTCTATGATTTTATGATTATATCCCTCTTTTCAAATCCTCAAAGCTAGGATCCACTTTCTCCCTACTCGACAAGTTCAAAAACCGGTTTGCATGTTTTGTTTTTCTTTTCTTTTCTTCTCTTCTCTTTTCTTTTCTGTCTTACACATGCAGACATCTATACTACCTCTAATAATACATTGTGAAACCCCATATCATCCTGTTTTTAAAAAAGGAAAAGCTTCTCTCCTTCATGCTATTGATGATCATATTCACTCTCTATCACTCGTTTACGCTTCATATAACCATGCCTTGTAACTTGTCATCACATAGCATATTTCAAACCCAAAGTTTCAGATATTTTTTTGCCCCCATGTCTCACAAAGTAATTCATTTTTGCCTCTTTACATTCATCAAAAACTTCAAACTAAATTTCTTTCTAATTGACTCAACTCATTTGTTCCTTTCTAGCTACCTGCGCTTCTCCTAATATTAATAGTCAACTATTATCATGTAACCCTTACTGCCCCTCCATAATTATGTTCTGTGCTATTACCAACAGTGGTCACAAGTCCCTCACTACACAAAATCACCTACTTCTCCATTACCTTCCCTGGGCTGCAGCACAATAACATGTACCTTGCCCGCCACAAATTCATGTTTCTAGTAGCAAACAAGATCTTCACGTTGCTTTAAAAGGCTTTGTAATGTTTTACTGATCATTTTTTCCTGAGTTGTAAATCTTCATTTCTTTTTCTCATTCTTGGCAGATATCCCCTCCTCCTATTCTCTCAAGATGGAGGAGCCCTCTGACACACTTTCCTCGACCAGTTTTAGTTGTTCATCCTTGAAAGAGAAAAAATGGTCTTTTTCTCCCTGCATGGTTTACTTCCAACTCTAATGTTATTGTATTTCCTTCAGTGCTCCCTGAATACCTACACTTTCAAATGTTCTGTTGATGATATCTCCATGTAAAGTGGAGTCAGTTCCTGATTAGTGTCTGGGGTTGACTCAATAACTCTATCTCCTGTAACAATCTCTTCCACGGAGTGTTAGTGTCACATAAACAGATGAGTAAACGCATTTGTGAAGCATGTGGAGTTTTATATTGACTATGACCAAAGACAGCTGCAGATAAAACAGTCCTGCTGAACTTCTAAGTTCCTAAGCTCGTAAGTTCTATTAATCTTTTTAGAGAGGAATCAAATTCTTCTTCAAGTAGTCTCATCTTTATGAACTTCAGGAATTCCTCCCCCAAAACTCCTTCCACATAATCCTTTAACATGTTGTTCTATCTCTCACTGAAGTTTATCTCATTTTCATTTGAATTTTATAAGTTGTGTCTTATCCTGAAAAGGCGCAGTTACTAAGGCAACTGAGAAAGATGCATGAGCAGCAAGACCTTTGCACTACTTTTAGCGATAACTAGGTTCCAGCTCCTTGCTGCGGTAAGTGTGGACCCACAGAAAAAGCATTTCATCACCTAGAACCTTATTTAAATAGCAGAATTTCATAACCTACCCCAGAGACATACAAGGTAAGAATATTCATTTTAATAAAAATCTCCAGGCGATTCCTCTGTACGTTAATGTTCGAGAAGCACTGATCATGTTCTTCTCACTTTTGTAGTGGTAAAAATGAAAAAAAATTCTACAAGTCTGTCATGTACTTTGCCTGTTTTGTCTTTTCTCAAACTCATCTCAACTTACACTCTCATAAATTTATTGGCTTATCTATTTTTATTTCTGCAAACCAGTTTTGATTGCTTTTCTGTTTCTGATATAATTAAATTTTCTGATCACTACTGCTCACTCAATTTCTGAACAGTTACAGTCAGCACATTTTCTTACCATACACAAATTAATCCTATACCAATGATTACCACCCATTATTATATTTTGCCAAGTATCTCCTAAATTACAATCCATAGACAGAAAAATCACATAATTTTAGAACTGAAAGAGCATATTTGCTAAATATAATTTTAAAATATACAAAAATAAAATTGATTTATAGGGAATAAATGAATTAACTCTCAAAGAAACAACAAAGACTAGAATCCAGTCTCTAAAATCCTCACCATTTCTTAGTAATTGTGTAGTTTTGCTTTGTTCTCTTCCATGTGCCTACAGCACTGGATCTCAACCTTGGCTGCACAAGAGAACCACCTAGGGAGCTTTAAACATATAGATACCCGAGTGCCAAACCCACAGGCTCCAATTTAGTCTAGGGTATGGCCCAGGCAATGGTATTTCTAAAGGCTCCCCAGATGATACTAATATGCAAATAAGGTAGAGAACCAGTGTTCCATACATTGCTCAAATTCAATGTGCAAAAAACATCATTTGGCAATTATTTAATGTAAAATCTGATATAGTAGGCCTGGAGCAGTGCCTAAATTTTCACATTTTAAACAGGCTCCTAGAGAAAGTGAATGCTGCTTGTTCTAGGACCGCACTTCAATAATAAGAAGGCTTTATCATATTTGATAATATAAACCATCTAGTCCAGGAGGAAGGATTTCTGGATGTAATATATCCAGGTTCTCCTGTAATCTTTGATTCCTTCCCTATATTTTTATAGGAATTTGTTGCTTTACACATTTCTTAAATTTGTCCAGCACCTAAGTGTAAATCTATAGCCCTTCCCTTTTTAAAACAAAATGTTTACAACTATCCCCTTCATGTGCAGGATTCTGTTCAATTTTTCCCCTAGTCTCTATAATTCCTAGGATAGCAACATCTCAAACTATTAATTGTACCAATCTCCTGACTGATTTCTCTACCTCATCCCTTGCCTTCATCAGTGACATAGCCTACTTCTTCTATAACTCTCATATTTTTTAATTTCTAAAAATATTTTAATAACTCACTATATCTATGATATAAAATAAAATTGGATGAATACATTATCAACTACATAAAATGTAAACACACCATTATTTCATTTAAAATACAAAGACATTCTTTTAAAAACTAGTATATGCTATTTGTAATAGTCATATCTTAAGTAGGAGGACATAGGAATGTTGAAAATAAATAGATGGAAACAAGAAACTCTCCTATCAAAAAAAAAAAAAGAGCAGTGAAGCTATATTCATATTAGTTAATACAGTTTAATACAAAACTCTTAATAAAAAGGTAGACTTAATATGGACAAGTCAATCCACATGAAAGATATTAAAATTAACAAAATCTCTGTTTTAAATAAGACAGTCTCAAGATATTTAATCAAAAATTGACCAAACTCGAAGAAATAGACAAATCCATGATTATGATGGCATATTTTAACACATGTCTAACAGTAATTATAAAGTACTGAAACAAAATTATTAAACTAACTTCCACTTCTGATTTGAATAATTTTTAAAAGATTATTGATTTGTAAAGCAAACATAGTAACAATGTATTATTTTTGAAACAAAAGAAATTAAAAAATTAAAAAGCAAAATTTAATTTCTTCAAAATATTAATGCAATTGATAAACCTCAAGCAAGGATAGAAAAATCTTCCTACAAATAAAATTCTATGCCCAGATGGCTTCATATGTGAATTTATCAAACCTATCTATAAGAAAGAAATAATAACGATGTCTATAAAAATTATATTAGAAAATACTGAAGAAAAATAATACTTAACAAGTTTTAGGAGGTTATCATAACTCTCATACCAAAACCTAATAAGAATACTACTAATATCAAAAGTGCAGATTAACAATTGAAAGATACAAAAACTGTGTACACAGTATTAATATGTTGAATCCAATAATATCACTATTTGTGGTTTACTCCAGGATTCAAGGTAGGCATGTCATTAGAAAACAAATAATCTGATTAGACTATGGACAATGTGGTGAACACTTTTCAGAATTTCACATACAAATGGCCTACAGGTTCATGAAACATGCCTGGCATCATTAGTCACTAGAGAAATGCAAACTGAAGCCACGATGAGACGTCACCTCATACCAGTTAGAATGGCTTTTCTCAAAAAGATGAAAGATAACAAGTGTTGGCAAGGAGGCAGGAAAAATGGACTCCTTGTACACTGTTAGTGGGAATATAAGTTAGTTAGTCCATTGTGGAAAATGTTATGGAGGTCCCCCAAAAACTAACCTTAGAACTACTATATAATCCAGCAATTGCTCTTCTGAGAATATATCCAAATGAATAGATATCAACAGATTGTGATGTCTGCAGAATGATCAGGGAGGTAGCTGCTGAAGGGTAAAGTGACTGTGGCAATTTCTTAAACTTAGACAATAATGCCGCATCATTTGGCTCTATACGAATATACAAAATATTTCTCTGTAATATGTGATGCTGCTTAATAAAATTTTACCAACAGAACTTCTTTCAAAGTTGGAATCAATCCTCTCAAACCTTGCCACTGTTTAATCAAATAAGTTTATGTAACATTCTGTATCCACTGTCATTTCAACAATGTTCACAGCATCTTCATCAGGAGTACTTTTCATCTGAAAAGACTACATTCTTTGCTCATCCATAAGAAGCAGCCCCTCATCCATTCAAGTTTTATCATGAGATCGCAGCAATTTAGTCACATCTTCAGGCTCCACTTCTATTTTTAGTTCTCCTGCTATTTCTTTCACATCTTCAGTTACTTCCTCCACTGAAGTCTTGAACCCCTCAAAGTTGTCCATGAAAGTTGGAATCAAACTTCCAAATGTCTGTCAAAGTTATATTTTGGCCTCCTTCAGTGAATCATTAATGTTCTTAATGACATCTAGAAGGGTTAATCTTTTCCAGAAGCTTTTTAATTTACTTTGCCCAGATCCCTCAGAGAAATCACTATCAATGGCAGCAACAGTCTTATGAAATACAGTTCTTAAATAATAAGACAAAGTTTGAAAGTACTTGTTGATCCATGAATTGCATGTTGTTGTTAGCAGGCATGGAAATCACATTAATCTCCTCGTACATCTCTATCAGAGCTCTTGGGTGACTAGGTAATACTGTCAATGAGCAGTAATATTTTGAAAGGAATCCTTTTTCCTGAGCAGTAGGTGTGAATATTGGGCTTAAAATATTCAGTAAACCATGCTTAAACAAATGTGATATAATCCAGGCTTTGTCGTTCCATTTATAGAGCATAGGCAGAGTAGATATAGCATAATTCTTAATGGCTTTAGGATTTGCAGAATGATAGCTAAGCACTGGCTTCAACTTCCAAGTCACCAGCTGCATTAGCTCTCAATAAGAGATTCAGCCTGTTCTTTGAAAAACTGAAGGCCAGCATTGACTTCTCCTCTTTAGCTATGAAAGTCCTAGATGGCCTCTTTTTCCAATAGAAGGTAGTTTTGTCTATATTGAAAATCTGCTATTTAGTGTAGCCACTTTAATTCAATATCTTGTCCAGGTCTTCTGCATAACTTGTTGCAGCTTTTACAACAAGACTTTCTGCTTCATCTTGCACTTTTATGTTATGGAGACACCTTCTTTCTATAAGTCTCATGAACAAATCTCTGCTAGCTTCAAACTTCTCTTCTGCAGCCTCTTTACCTCTCTCAGTCTTCATAGAATTGACATGAGTTAGGGCTTTGCTCTGGATTAGACTTTGGCTTAACAATGTGCTGTGGCTGGTTTCATTTTCTGTCTGAACTGCTAAAAGTTTCTCCATATCAGCAATATGGTTGTTGTGCTTTCTTATTATTTGTGTGTTCAAAAGAGTAGCACTTTTAATTTCCTTCAATAACTTTTGTATTTACAACTGAGCTGTTTGGTGCAAGAAGTCTAGCTCTTGGCCTATCTCAGCTTTCAACATGCCTTTTTTACTAAGCTTAATCATGTCTAGTTTTTGATTTATACTGAGAGACATTGGACTTTTCTCTCGTTCAAACACTTAGTGGCCATTGTAGAGTTATTAATTGGCCTTATCTTGTATGGGAATGTTTTTTGGTCCCCCAAAATAATTACATAGTAACACCAAATATCATTGACCACAGATCCCCATAACAGATACAATAATAATGAAATATTTGAAATATTGTATGAATTACCAAAATGTGACACAGAGACATGAAGTGAACACATACTGTTGGAAAAAATGGCACTAATAGACTTGCCTGACACAGAGTTGCCACAAACCTTCAATTTATAAAAAAGAATATCTGTGAAACACAGCAAAATGAAATGTAACACATACAAGGAATGCCCATATACAGAAAAGAATATCACTCAGTCTTAAAAAAGAACAAAATATTGTTATTTGGGATACCATGGATGAATCTAGAGAACACTATGCATAGTGAAATAAGGAAGGCACAGAAAGACAAATACTGCACGATTTGTAGAATTTATATATAGTATCAAAAAGAGTAGGATTCATAGAAAGAGAGGGTAGAATTATGGTTACTAGAGGATGAAGGATTGGTAAGCAACGTACTGAGGAGTTATTGGTCAAAAGATACGAAGTTTCAGCTAGATAGAAGGAATAAGTTTTGAGATTTGCACAGCAGTGTGAGTACATTCAATGATAATGTACTGTATAATTCAGAATAACTAACAGAGTAAATTTCAAATGTATCTCCACAAAAAAAATCAAGTAAATGAGATGATGTATATGTTCATAGCTTTTATTTAACCACTCCACATTGTACACATATGTAAAACATTAAATTAAACTACATAAATGTCAATTAAAATAATAAAATTGGTATATTTCATGGTATTAATAAGCAAAAAACATATACAAACATTTCAATAGCTGCAGAAAAATAATTGCCAAAATCAAGACTCAAACATGAAAGAATCTCTCAGCAACTACTATTTATAGAAAATCCTTAAGTCTGGTAAAGGGCATTGAAGTGGTCTGCAACTCATAAAGGGCTAACATTAAACCAATGGAGGACACTGAACGCTTTCTCCCTAAGATGTAAACAAAGCGAGCATTTATTCTTTCTGTTTTTAATCAACAGTATATGGAGTCTAAGCAAGAATAATGAAGCAAGAAAAAGAAAAGTTATAAAGATCAGAAAAGAAGAAAAAAGTTATTATTCTCAGAAAACATGACAATGGCATTCAAAAAATCCTTTATGAAGCCTATCAAAAAATCACAGAATACAAAGTTAATATGTAAAAGCCAACAACATTTCAATACATGTTAAAGGAACAATTGGAAGATGAAATTTAAATATAAATTCAATAACAGCAAAGAAAAATTAAATTTCTACAAAAAAACTAATAAAATATATACAAAACCACCACATTCAAACGTCCAAAACATTGTTGAGAAAAAATAAAACACACCTAATTAAATGGAGAAACATAACATGTATTTTGGAGTTTACAAAACACGTTGAGTAAAATACGTGTCAATGAAAGGTCCCATAATAAAAGCAAATGGAAGACTCTATATTGTTAAAGTACGTTTTAAAGTATCTTTTATGCCAACAACAATTTATAACTTCAATGCAATCTTAATCAAAATTCAGGCAGGGTTTATTATAGAAACTGCCACACTGATTTTTCATAAGTTATATTGAAATGCAAATGACCTAAAAGACACAGAACAACTTCCAAAAATATTTAAACATTATTTAAAACACTTGCACTACTTGATTTCAAGACTTGCTCTACACTTAAATAATCAAGATTGTATAGTGTTTGAATAAGAATATAAAAATTCATCAGTGAAATAGGAAATGAAGTCCACAAATAAATGCACACACATATAGTTAATTGATACTTAACAAAGTTAAAAAAGCAACTGAATGAGGAAATAAAATTTATATGACATATATTGATGGTTCCAATGGATATCTACAGGAAAAAAAAGTAAACTTTAACCTGTAGATAACTCTATACAGAGAAGCTTGTTTGATGTATATCATAGAACTAAACATGAAAGCTACAATGATAATGATTATAGAAGAAAAAAAAATTGAAGAGCTTTGCCATTTTAGAAATAGACAAATATTTCTTAAAGAGAAGACAAAAAACACAATTCACACTGTAAAAGAAAAATCTGATACACTGTCTTTACCAAGTTAAAAACATAGGCTTTTCAAACCATCATTCTCAGCAAATTATCGCAAGGACAAAAAACCAAACACCGCATGTTCTCACTCATAGGTGGGAATTGAACAATGAGAACCCTTGGACACAGGAAGGGGAACATCACACACTGGGGCCTGTTGTGGTGTGGGGGAAGTTAGGAGGGATAGCATTAGGAGATATACCTAATGTAAATGACGAGTTTAATGGGTGCAGTACACCAACATGGCACATGTATACACATGTAACAAACCTGCATGTTTTGCACATGTACCCTAGAACTTAAAGTATAATAATAAAAAAAAGAAAATTAAAAGGGTAGTAACCATTTAGAAGAAAATATCTACTGTATATATCTTTAATGAGGAGTACATATCCAGAATCTATAAAGGACTCACATAAAGCTACAATAAAAATTAACAAAAAAAAGACAGCATTTATTCCAAGAACAGCTAAAATTTAAAGAAAAATAATGACAAATAGTTACAAATATTGGCAATGATGTGGAGCAAATAACACTTTTGTACAAGTTGGGAGTGTAAAGTGGCACAAGTACTTTGAAAAATGATTACCAGTTTCTTACAAATTTTAATATACATCTACCCTATATTCAACATTTCTATTCCCAGATGTTTGCCCAATACAACTGAAAACATATATACATCTAAAGATTGGAGAAAATATGTTCACATCAATCTTACCCACAAGAAGCCTTTCTTGAAAAATAACACAAATATCCATTGACAAAATAATGGGTAAAGAAATTGTGGTATAAGAACACCATGGAAAATTACCTAGCAATGAAAAGGAGCAAAATACTGATATATACACTAATATTGATGAAACTCAAAAAGGTTGATGATTATTCATATGAAATTCAAAAATAGGCAGAAACAAGCAAAACTAATCCACAGTGTTAGACATCAGAAAGTATTAGTCTCTGGGAATAGTAAGGAATGGGGATAATCTGGAAAGTGGAATAAGGAAAATGAAAATATGAAATTGTTCTATATGTTGTATAGTGTGGTGGTTAAATAAAGTACACAATTGTTAAAAAATCGCCAAACTCATCATTTAAGATCTATGTATTTTAATGTCTATAAAATATAACCAAAAATTTTAAATGTTACGTATAAATTGTATATGTATATGTATATATATGTATATGCACAATTGCACCAATAACATAAACATTCTTTTCAAATACATATGGGAAGTTTAGCAAGGTTGACCAGTGATGGGCTTCTAAATATCATTAAGCATTGAAATCATAAAGAGTTTGTTTTCTGACAACTGTAAAGTTGAGTTAGAAATAATAACAGACAACTAAAAGTTCCAAATATACATGTATATAATTCATAGGTAAAATGTGATAGCTTGATGAAAGTTAGAAAATATTTTGACATGAATCCTGATGAAAATTTAAATTATAAGGAATAGATGTAAATTAATTGTATGAGGAAGTTTGTAGCTTAAAAGCACATGTCAGAACAGAAAAATGATTTTTAAAAATCAATTATTTAAGTATAGAGCTGAAAAAAATGTTCAGAGTAAATTAAGCCTAAAATGAGGCAGAAGAAAGTGCATAAATAATAATGACAAAATTTAATACAATCAAAAATAAATGCTCAACAGAGAAAACAGCAAACTCAAAATCTGTCTCTATAAACAGACATAAAATTGATTAAATGCCTAAAACATAGGAAGAATAAAAGAGAAACAGTATAAGTGTTTCTCTTTTATTCTGTGTCAGGAATGAAAATTGGCTTATCACTAATAAGCCTAAAAATATTAAAAATATAAACAAGAGTTCACACAAAATATGAGCAATCAAATGAAAAAGATAAAATGTTTAAATAATAAAACTTACGAAGTTTGATATAAGGGTAAATAAACAATCTGAATGTCTTTTATTTATTTTTTCTCACCAAATTGCTCCGGTTATAATCTCCAATACAGTGCTAAATTAAAGAGAAAGAGTGGACTTTTCAATATTTTACCTGATTTGTAGGGAAACTATTCTTTCACCAAAAGATATAAATTTAGCTGTGGGTTTTTCATAGATGTCCTTTATTAAGTTAAGCAAATTCCCTTCTATTATTTATTTGGTGAAGGTCTTTATCCTTAAAGGACATTAAATTTATGCTAATTTCTTTTCACTTTTTTTGAGACAGAGTGTTGCTTTGTCACCTAGGCTGGAGTGCAGTAGTGAGATCTCAGCTCACTGCAACCTCCACCTCCCAAGGGCGCAAGTGATTTTCATGCCTCAGCCTCTTGAGTAGCTGCGACTACAGGTGCACACCACCATGCCCGGCTAATTTTGTATTTTTAGTAGAGATGATGTTTCATCATGTTAGCCAGGCTGATCTTGAACTCCTGGCCTCAAGAGATCCACCCATCTTGGCGTCCCAAAGTGCTGGGATTAATTCCAGGGGTGAGCCACTGCACCTGGCCAAAATGTTTATTTCTTTATTTACTTTTGTATTTATTGAGATGGCCTTTTTTTTCTTTTAATTATACATGCCTATGATGAATAGGACTTGGTTATGAAGTACAAACTTTTTAAAAATATTGCTACATTTGGTTTGCAAGTACTGTGTTCAAGGTTTTGGCATCTGTATTCATAAAGGAGAGTTTAAAATTTATTTACTTGTAATGTTTTTGTTTGGTTTTGGTATGAGGGTAATTCTGGCATCCTATTTTGAAAAGAGAGTTTGTAAAAAGTTAGCATTCATAATTCTTTCAATGTTTTTCATAGTTCAAAAGTGTATTATTAGGGACCTAGCCCTTTTTGGTGGGTAATTTTTTTTTTTTTTTTTTTTTTTTTGAGACGGAGTCTCGCTCTGTGGCCCAGGTGGAAGTGCAGTGGCGCAATCTCGGCTCACTGCAAGCTCCGCCTCCCGGGTTCACGCCATTCTCCTGCCTCAGCCTCCCGAGTAGCTGGGACTACAGGCGCCCGCCATCACGCCCGGCTAATTTTTTTGTATTTTTAGTAGAGACGGGGTTTCACCGTGTTAGCCAGGATGGTCTCGATCTCCTGACCTCGTGATCCGCCCGCCTCGGCCTCCCAAAGTGCTGGGATTACAAGCGTGAGCCACCGCGCCCGGCCAGTAATTTTTAAAATACTAATTTTATCATTGTACTTGTTATAACCTTAATTAGACTTTATTTCATCCTGAGTCAATTTTAATAATTTTTGTCTTTCTAGGAATTTATTTATTTCATCTAAGTCATTTAATTTGTTTGCATAAGCTTTTAATAGCATTCTTTTAAAAAAATTTCTGTAAGATCAGTAGTGATTTTCTCTCTTTTGTTTCTGTTTTTCTGTAATCAAAGTCATGTTTTCTTTTTATTGGTCAATAAAGTGAAAGATTAGTCAATGTTGTTAATCTTTTCGAAGAACCAAATTTTGGTTTTGTTGTGTTTGTCTATCGTTTTTCTGTTTTCTATTTCATTTATTTATACTTTGCTTTCCGTATGACTTTCCAACTATTTGCCGTGTTCAATATTCTCTTCTCTTTTCTAGCTCCTTAAGGAATAAATTTAAGTTATTGATTGGAGAGCTTTCTTCTTTTTAAAATTCATTATCATTATCATCATCATTTATTATTTATTATTATTATTTTAGAGATGGGTTCTCACTCTGTTGCCCAAACTGCAGTGCAGTGGTGAGATCTCAGCTCGCTGTAGCCTCAACCTCCCAGGGTCAAGTGATCCTCCCACCTCAGCCTCCTAAGTAGCTGGGACTCCAACTACAGTCATACACCCCAACACCCAGCTTTTTTCTTTTTCCTTTTTTTTTTTTTTTTTTGGTAGAAATAGGGTCTCACCATGCTGCCCAAAATGGTGCTTGAACTGCTGGCCTCAAGAGATCCTTCTGCCTCGGTCACTGACAGTGCTGAGATTTCAGACATAAGTCACTGTGCTTGGCTTCTTTAAATGTAGGCATTTCCAGGTCTACATTGACCTCTGAGCATTGTGCACTGCTTTAGCTGCATCTCATAAATTTTGGTATCTCATGGTTTTTTTTGTTTTGTTTTGTTTTGTTTTTTTTCCCATTGATCTCGAATTATATCCTAATTTTCCTCATTTTTTTTCTTTGACCCACTGGTAATTTAGAATTGTTTGGTTTAAATTTGTGTATTTGAACTTCACAAATTTCTTCCAGTTGATCATTTATCATTTAATTACATTGTTATTAGGAAAGATATTTTGTAGAACTTCAATCCTTTTAAATTTACTAATTTATTTTTAAATTTTTTATTTTTAATTTTTGTGGTGGATATGTTTATGGGGTACATGACATATTTTGATACAGGCATACAATATATAATAATCACATCAGGGTAAATAAGGTATCCAGCACCTCGAGCATTTTTCCTTTCTTTATGTTTCAGACAATCCAACTATACTCTCTTAGTTGTTTTTAAACGTACAATAAATTATTATTGACTATAGTCACCCCATTATGCTATCAAACAGTAGATCTTATTCTATCTAATTATATTTTTGTATCCATAAAGCATCCCCGCATACCCACCCACCAACTACCTTTCCCAGGCTCTGGTAACCATTATTCTACTGGCTATCTCCATGTGCTCAACTGTTAATTTTTAGCTCTCACAAATAAGTGAAGAAATGTAAAGTTTGTCTTTTTGTGCCTGGTTTACCACACTTAACATAATAATCTTCAGGTCCATCCATGTTGTTGCTGACAAGATCTCATTATTTTTAAAAGCTAAATAGTACAAGCTTTTCTTTTTTTATTGTTTTTATTTATTTCTTCTAAAAAAGGGGGATACATGTACAGATAGTGCAGGTTCTTTACATAGGTATACGTGTGCTCTAGTGGTTTGCTGCATCTATTAACCATCCTCTAAGTTCCCTCTGTTCAAACCCCAACCCCCAGCAGGCCATAGACTGTGTTGTTCCCCTCTCTGTGTCCATGTGTTATGAGTGAGAACATGTGGTGTTAGGTTTTCTGTTCCTTTGTTAGTTTGCTGAGGATGATGACTTCCAGCTTCATCCATGTCCCTGCAAAGGACATGATCTCATTGCTTTCTATGGCTGCATAGTATTCCATGGTGTATATGTAGCACATGTTCTTTACCCAGTCTATCATTGATGGACATTTGAGTTGGTTCCATATCTTCGCTATTGTAAATAATGCTGCAATAAACACATGTGTGCGTGTGTCTTTATAGTAGAATGATTTACATTCCCTTGGGTGTATACCAAGTAATGAGATTGCTGGATCAAATGGTATTTCTGGTTCTAGATCCTTGAGGAATCGCATTACTGTCTTCCACAGTGGTTGAACTAATTTACTTTACCACCAACAGTGTAAAAGTGTTCTTATTTCTCCACAGCCTCACCAGCATCTATTGTTTCCTAATTTTTTAATAATTGCCGTTCTGACTGTAGTGAAATGGTATCTCATTGTGGTTTTGATTTACCTTTCTCTGATGATCAGTGATGTTGAGCTTTTATTCATGTGGTTGTTGGCTGCATAAATGTCTTCTTTTGAGAAGTGTCTGTTCATATCCTTTGACCATTTTTGATGTTTTTTTATTGTAAATATGTTTAAGCCCCTTGTAAAGTATAAATATTAGACCTTTGTCAGATAGGTACATTGAAAAAAATTTCTCCCATTCTGTAGGTTGCCTGTTCACTCTCATGTGCTGGTAACTTTCCTTCTGAAACTATTCCAAACAATTGGAAAGGAGGGGCTCCTCCCTAACTCATTTTATGAAACCAGTATCATCCTGATACAAAAACTGGGAAGAGACACAACAAAAAAAGAAAACTTCAGGCCAATATCCCTGATGAACTTTGATGGGACAATCCTCACTAAAATACTGGCAAACTGAATCTAGCAGCACATCAAAAAACTTATCCCCATGATCAAGTCAGCTTCATCCCTGGGATGCAAGACTGCTTCAACATATGCACATCATTAAATGTAATCCATCACACAAACAGAATCAATGACAAAAATCACATTATTATCTCGGTAGATGCAGAAAATGCCTTTGATAAAATTCAACATCCGTTCATGTTAAAAACTCTCAATAAAGTAGGTATTCATGGAACATATCTTAATATAATAACTGTGACAAACCCACAGCCAATATCATATTGAATAGGCAAAAGTGGGAAGCATTCCCTTTGAAAACTGGTACAAGACAAGGATGCCCTCTCTCACCACTCCTATTCAACATAGTATTAGAAGTTCTGGCCAGGGCAATCAGGAAAGAGAAAGAAATAAAGGGTATTCAAATAGGAATAGAGGAAGTCAAGCTTTCTCTGTTTGCAGATTACAATATTTTATATTTAGAAAACCCCATCGTATCAGCCCCAGAACTTCTTGAACTGATAAGCAACTTCAGCAAAGTCTCAGGATACAGAATCAATGTGCAAAAATCACAAGCATTCCTTTACACCAACAATATGCAAGCAGAGAGGCAAACCATGAATGAACTCCCGTTTACAATTGCTACAAAGAGAATAAAATACCTAGGAATACAGCTAACGGGGGATGTGAAGGGCCTCTTCAAGGAGAACTACAAACGCCTGCTCAAGGAAATAAGAGCGGACACAAACAAATGCAAAAATATTCCATCCTCATGTCTAGGACGAATCAATGTCATGAAAATGGCCATACTGCCCAAAGCGATTTATAGATTCCATGCTATTTCCATAAAACTACCATTGATATTCTTCACAGAATTAGAAAAAACTATTTTAAATTTCGTATGGAATCAAAGAGGACCCCATATAGCCAGGACAATCCTAAGCAAAAAGAACAAAACTGGACGCATCACACTACCTGACTTTGAACTATACTACAAGGCTACAGTAACCAAGACAGCATGGTAGTGGTACCAAAAACAGATATATGGACTAATGAAGCCGTACAGAAACCTCAGAAATAACACCACACATCTACAACCATCTGATCTTTGACAAATCTGACAAAAACAAGCAATGGGGAAAAGCCCTTTTATTCAGTAAATGGTGCTGGAAAAACTGGCTAGCCATATGCAGAAAACTGAAACTGGACCCCTTCCTTACAGCTTATACAAAAATTAACCCAAGAGGGATTAGAGACCTGTATGTAAAACCCCAAATCATAAAAACCTTAGAAGAAAACCTAGGCAATACCATTCAGGACATAAGCATGGGCAAAGATTTCATGACAAAAATGTCAAAAGCAGTTGCCAAAAAGCCAAAATTGACAGATAGGATCTAATTAAACTGAAGAGCTTCTGCACAGCAAAAGCAACACATTTTTCTCTATCTGTTTGTCTGGTAATAGGCATGTGGGTTTCTTTAAAATCTTGGTTATTGTGAACAGCGCTTCAATAAATATGGGGGTACAGGTATCTCTTCAAAAAAAACTGATTTCCTTTCTTTTGTGTATATAACTACCAATGAGATTGCCAGATAATATAGTAGTTCTATTTTTAGTTTTTTTGGGGAACCTCCATACTGTTCTCCAGGACTTGTGCTAATTTACCTTCCCAACAACAGCATATGGAGGGTTCCCTTCTCTCTACATCCTCACTACATTTGTTATTGCCTTTTGGATAAAAAGCATTTTAACTTGCACAAGATAGTATCTCATTGTAGTTCTGATTTGCATTTCCCCAGTGATTAATAATGCCTAGCACCTTTTCACATACCAGTTTGCTATTTGTATGTCTTTCTTTGAAAAATATTTATTCAGGACTTTTGCCCATTTTTAAATCAGGTTTTAGATATTTTCCTATAGAGTCCTTTGGGCTTCTTACATATTCTGGTTATTAATGTCTTGTCAGATGGATAGTTTGCAAACATTTTCTCACATTCCCTGGATTACCACTTCACTTTGTTGACTGTTTCCTTCACTGTGCAGAAGGTTTTTAACTCACTGTGATCTCACTTGACAATTTTTCCTTTGGTTGCCTGCGCTTGTGGAGTATTACTCAAAATACCTTTGCCCATTCCGATGTCCTACAGTTTTATTTTACTAGTTCCATTGTTTTACGTTTTAAATTTAAGTTTTTAACCCATTTTTATTTGATTTTTCTGTATGGCAAGTGATATGGTTTGGCTGTGTCCTCACCCAAAATCTCATTTTGAATTGTAATCCCCATAATCCCCACATGTTAAAGGAGAGACCACGTGGAGGTAACTCAATTATGGCGGTGGTTTCCCACATGCTGTCTTGTGATAGTGAGGTTTCACAGGATCTGACAGTTGTATAAGAGTTTGGTAGTTCCTCCTGTGTTCATTCTCCTTCCTGCTGCCTTATAAAGAAGGCGCCTTACTTCCCCTTTGCTGTCCACCATAATCGTAAGTTTCCTGAGGACTTCCCAGCCATGCTGAACTGTGTGTCAGTTAAACCTCTTTCTTTTATAAATTATCCAGTCTTTTACAGCTCTTTATAGCGGTGTGAAAATGGAATAATACAGCAAGAGATAGGGGTCTACTTTCACTTTTCTGTATACGGATACCCAGGTTTCCAGGCAACATTTATTGAAAAGACTGTCCTTTCCTCATTGTATGTTCCTGGCACCTTGGTCGAAAATAGTTCACTGTAGATGTATGAAATTGTTTCTGGATTCTCTATTCTGTTCCATTGCTTTATGTCTCTGCACTATGTTGTGTGGGATACTATAGCTGTGTAGTATAATTTGAAGTCAAGTAATATGATTCCACCAGTTTTATTCTTTCTGTTCATGACAGCTTTGGATATTCTGGGTCTTCTGAGGTTCCACATAATTTTGGGGATTGTTTTTTCTATTTCTGTGAAGAATAACATTGGTATTTTGATTGGGATTGCACTGAATCTATAGATTACCTTGGGCAGTATGGACATTTTAATAATACTGATTCTTCACATCTATGAGCAGAGAATATCTCTCTATTTTTGTATATCTTCTTCAGTTTCATTAATCAATGTTTTATAGTTTTAATTGTAAAGGTGTTTCACTTCTCTGGTTAAGTTTACTCCTAAGTATTTTATGCCATTTGTACCTATTGTAAATGAGGTTACTTTGGTGATTTTTTTTTCAGATTGTTTGCTATTGGCATATAGAAATGCTACTGATTTTCATATGATTTTGTATCCTGAAACTTTATTGAACTTGTTTATCAGTTCTAATAGTTTTTGGTGGAATCTTTAGGTTTTTCCAAATATAAGATCATATCATTTGCAAACAAAGATAGTTTGACTTATTCCTGACCTTTATATCTTCCTCTTATCTGCTCTAGATAGGACACCCCATACTATGTTGAATAACAGTAGTGAAAGTGGGTATCTTTGTCTCATTCCAGATGTTAGAAGAAATGTTTACAGTTTCCCCCACTCAGTATGATACTAGCTGTTGCTCTGCCATACCCAGCTTTTATTGTGTGGCATTATCTTCCTTCTATACTCAGTTGTTTGAGATATTTTATCATGAAGAGATGTTTAATTTTATCAAAGCCCTCTCAGCATCAATTGAAATGATCATATGGATTTTTTCCTTCATTCTATTGATACGATGTATCACATTGATTGGTGTGCAAAAGTTGAACCATCCTTGCATCCCAGGGATGACCCATTTGGTCTTACTGAATAATGTTTTTAATGTATTGTTGAATTTGATTTGCTAAAATGTTGTTGAGGATTTTCATATCAATGTTCAGTAGGAACACTGGCCTGTGTTTAATTTAATTAATTTATTTATTTACTGCTGTGTCTGTCTGGTTTTGGTATCAGGGTAATACTGGCCTCACAGAAGGAGTTTGGAAGTATTTCCACCCTCTCCATTCTTTGGAATAGTTTGAGTAGGATAAATATTAGGTCTTCTTTAAATGTCTGGGAAAATTGATTAGTGAAATTATCTGGTCCCTGGCATTTCTTTTCCAGGATACTTTTTTATTATGTCTTTAATCTTGTTACTTACTGCTCTGTTCAAGTTTTTAATTACTTCTCATTCAGGAAGAACCAGGAAGAACCTTGGTAGACTGTATGTTTCTAGGAATGTATCCATTTCTTCCAGATTCCAATTTATTGGCATATAGTTGCTCTAATAATCCTCTGAATTTTCGTTACAGTTATGCCTTCCTCTTCATCTATGATATCATTTATTTGGGTCTTATCTTTTTTTCTTATGCAGTCGAGCTAAATATTTGTCAATTGTTTGTCTTTTCAAAAAAATAACTTCATATTTTGTATTAGTTACTTTCATTTCAATTTCATTTATTTCTGCTCTGATCTTTATTATTTCATTTTTCTACTAATTTTGGCTTTGCTTTGCTTTTGTTTTTCTAGTTTTTTCCATAAAAAAATTAACTAATAAGTAAACAGATAACTAATAAAAACTCTAAACTTTAACTTTGTCCTCCCACTTTTTAATGTTTTGTTGTTTGTTTGTATCTTATTATACTGTCTATGTCTTGACAAGTCGTTGTTGTCATAATTATTATTATTATTATTATTATTTTAAGATGAAGTCTTGCTCTGTTGCCCAGACTGGAGTGTAGTGCCACGATCTTAACTCACTGCAACCTCCTTGTCATTATTTTTTATTGGTTCATTGGTTAGTCTTTTTACTTATGATAAGAGTAGGTTAGGCTGGGTGTGGTGGCTCATACCTGTAATCCCAGCATTTTGGGAGGCCAAGGCAGGCGGATCACTTGAGGTCAGGAGTTCTAGACCAGCCCGGACAATATGGTGAAACCCTGTCTCTACTAAAAGTACAAAAATTTCCAGGCATGATGGCGCACGCCTGTAATCCCAGATACTCAGGAGGCTGAGGCAGGACAATTGCTTGAATCCGGGAGGCAGAGGTTACAGAGAGCAGAGATCGGGCCACTGCACTCCAGCCTGGGCGACAGAGTGAGACTCCATCACAAAAAAAAAAAATAAATAAATAAATAAATAAATAAATAAAATAAAATAAAATAAAAGAGTAGTTTATATATCACAGTTACAGTGTTATAATATTCTGTGTTATCCTGTGTACTAACTTTTACTAGTGAGTCTTGTACCTTTAGATGATTTCTTATTGCTCATTAACATCCTTTTCTTTCAGTCTGAAGAACTCCCTTTAGCATTTCTGGTAGGACCCTTTTGTTATTTATGAAATCCCTTGGCTTTCGTTCATCTGGGAAAGTCTTTATTTCTCCCTTATATTTGATGGATATTATTGCTGGATATACTATTATAGGATAAAATGATTTTTTGTTCCGTTTGGTTTTGTTTTCCTTCAGCACTTTAAATATGTCATGCCACTCTCCCCTGGCCTATAAGGTATCCACTGAGAAGTCTGCTGTCAGAGGTAGTGGAGCTACATTTTATGTTAATTGTTTCTTTTCTCTTGTTATTTTTAAAATCTTTTCTTTATCCTTGATCTTTGGGAGTTTAATTATTAAATGTCTTAAGGTGGCTTTATTTGAATTAAATCTACTTGGTGTTCTATAACCTGCTTGTTCTTAAATATTGATATATTTCTCTAGGTTTGGGAATTTCTCCTTATTTATCCCTTTGAATAAACTTTCTACTCACATTCTTTTCTTACCTCCTCTCTAAGGCCAATAACTCTTGGATTTGCCCTTTTGAGGCTATTTTCTAATAGGTGTGCTTCATTTTTTTAATTATTTTTCTTTCCTCTCATCTGATTGTGTATTTTCAAATAGCCTGTATTCAAACTCGCTAATCCCTTCTTCTACTTGATCAATTTGGCTGTTAAGAGACTGTGACACATTCTTCATTATGTCAGTTGCATTTTTATTTCCAGAATTTCTGCTTGATTCTTTTAAATTGTTTCTATCTCTTTGTTAAATTTGTCTGATGTGATTCTAAATTGTTTCTTTTTTTTAACTTAAATTTTGTTGAGCTTCCTTGAAACAGCTAGTTTGAATTCTCTATCTGAAAGGTCACATATCTGTGTCTCTTCAGGATTGGTCCCTGGTGGTTTATTTAGTTCATTTGGTGAGGTCACGTTTTCCAGGATAATCTGGATTTCATCAGTTTCTGGAATTAAAGAGTTAAGTATTTATTATAGTCTTCACAGTCTGGGCTTGCTTGTACCTGTCCTTGGGATGGCTTTCCAGGTTTTCAAAGAGACTTGGAGGTTGTGATCCAAGCTTTTGGTCACTGCAGCTATATTTGCATTAGGGGGCACCTGAAGCTCAGCAATGCTGTGGCTCTTAAAAACTCATAGAGGGACCACCTTGGTCATCTCCGATAAGATCTGGAAGAATTCCCTTGATTACCAGGAAGATACTCTTGTTGTCTTCCCTTTCTTTCCCCCAAACACATTCTCTCTGTGTGTCTCAAGCTGCACAGAGCTGAGGGAGGAGTGACACAAGCACCCCTCTGGCCACCACCATTAGGAATGCACTGGGTCAGACCTGAAGCCATAACAACACTGGGTCTGGGCCAAAGGCTAGAGTAACCAATGCGTGGCTACCGCCTATGTTTGTTCAAGGCCATAGGTCTCTACAATCAGCAAGTGGGAAAGCCATCTGCTCTTGTGTTCTTCCATTCAGGGTGGCAAGTTCCCTTTGGTCCCAGGCAGGTCCAGAGATGTTGTCCAGAATCCAGAGCCTGGAGTTGTAAACCTTAGGGATCTACCTATTGTTCTATTCTACTGAGGCTGATCTGGCACCCAAGCCACAAGAGTGAAGTCCTTCCAACTCTTCCCTCCCCTGTCCACAAGCAGTGGGGTCTCTCCTCATGGCCGCCACCACTCCAGGCCCTCAGCCACTACTGCCTGGCTACTGATGATGTTAGTTCAAGGACCAAGTGCTCTTTAGCTAGATTTTGGTGAATGCTGCCAAACCTGGGACTTTCCCTTCAGGGGAGTGGTCTCCCCTCTGTCCCAGGGAAGGTCCAAAAATGCCATCCAAGACCCAAGGCCTGGAATCAAGGACTCCAAGTGCCTGCTTGATTCTCTACTCCATTGGTGCCGAGCTGGTACCTAAGCAGTAAGAAAAACTCCCCTTTACTCGTCCTTTCCTTTTTCTCAAACAGAAGTGTCCCTTTCCATAGCTACCACCGCTGGGAATGTGCTGGGTCACACCTGAAGCTAGCACATCCTTGAATCTCACAGAAGGCCGTAACAAGCACTACCTGGGTACCACTGCTTATTATTCAGGGCCTAAGGGCTCTTTAGTCAGCAGGTGATGAATTTTGCCAGTACTGGGCCATTCCCTTCAAAGACAACATGTTCCCTTCTGGCTCAGGATTTGTCTAGAAATGTCATCTGAGACCTAGTGTCTGGAATAGGGGTCTCAGGACTCTGCCTGATGCCTTATCTTACTGTGGCTTAGCCGGTATACAGGTTTCAAGACAAATCCTCTTTACTCTTCCCTCACTTCTCCTCAAGCAGAATGAAGGAGTCTCTCACAGAGCTGCTAGCTGTGCTGCCTGGTGTTAGGAAAGTGGTGTCATATTAACTCCCTTAGCCACCCTGGCTTGTGTTTCACTGCGTCGCATGGCTGCTAAGTCCATTGGCTTTGAGCCCAGCACAGCTCCAGAAATTGCCCAGGAATTGCAGTCCTTGTGGCCTAGACTGCCTTTCAAGTTTATTTAGAACCCAAGAGTACTTTAGTCCACAGTGGTGGGGCTTGCCAGAACTCAGGTTCCAACCCCTGGGATTGATGATTCCCCTCTGGCTAGAGAGCTGGTGTAAATACTCACTCCATGGACACCAGCTGAGTTCTGCCTGGTGTTGCATCCTGCTGTGACGGAGAAGCACTGAGTTCCAATGCAAAGTCTCATAATCACCATACTCTACCTACGCCAAGGTCACAGATTCTTTCTCTGTGCCGTGAGACTGTTGCAAGAAGATGGGGGAGGTGTGTGTAGGTGATTCAAGACTGTCTTTCTTACCCTTTCCAATGACTCTTTCAGTAATATGAAGTTAAAACCTGGTACCATGACTGCTCATATGATTTTTGGTTTTTAGAAGGTGCTTTCTTGTGTGGATAGTAGCTCAATTTAGTGTTCTTACAGGGGTCAGGGATGATTTTTGGAAGCTTCTATTCAGACATCTTGCTCTGCCTCGCTTTCCTCTTTTAAATTTATTGAGACTAGTTTATCCACCTAAGATGTTATATATACTGGGAATTGTTAATATGCACTTTAGAAGAACTTATATTCTTTCATTGTTGCGTGGCATGTTCTATAAATGTCTGTTAGGTGTAGTGGGCAAATGATATCATTCAAGTCTTTATTCCTTTGTTGATCTTTTATTGTTATATCCATTATTGAAAATGGGGTATTGAAATCCCCAACTATTATTGCTGAATTGTCTATTTCTCCCTGCAATTCTATTAGTTTTTGCTTCATAAATTTGGGCCTCTGTTGTTAGATGTATATATATTTTAATCAAATTTGAGAGGTTTTCAACCATTATTTGAATATTTTCATATATATGGCATATACATATACGGAATATATATATATGTATATGTATATGTATGTATGTATGTATGTATGCATGTATCTTCCAGGTAGAGTGATCTTTTTAACATTATAAAAAGTCCCTCAGTATTTCTAATAACATTCTTAAGTGTATTTTGTCACATATTAGTATATCCACTCTAGCTCTTTTTTAGTTGTTGTTTGCATGATATAGCTTTTCCATCCTTTCTCTTTTCACCTAATTTGAAATGTGTCTCTTATAGACAGTGTTTAGTTGAATTTTTAAGTTTTCTTTTTAAATTATCATGACAATCTCTGACAATATTTTCATTAGATTGCTTAATTCATTCACATTTAAATTTATTATCAATATAGTTGCGTTTATATTGCCATTTGGTCTTTTGTGAATTTATCATACTTAGGGTTAATTGTACTTCCTGAGTTTGTAGACTGATTTTTTAAAAATCAAATGTGAGAAGTTTCAACCATTGTTTGAATATTTTCCTATCCTACCCTCTCTCTTCTTCTTTTGATACTCACAACATATATATATTGTATGTCTAATGGTGTTTCACATTTCTTATTCAATTTTCTTTATTGATTTTATCTGTGTTCATTGGATCACATAACTATTATCTATCTCAAAGTCTGCTGATTCTCTCTTCTACAAACTCTAATCTACTGTTAAGCCCTCTAGTGAAGTTTTTGTTTTAATTATATTACATTTCAACTTCAGAATTTCCATTTGATTCTTTCAAACAAGTTGCATCTCTTTATTAATATTCTGTATTTTATGAGGCATTTCCATTATACCATCCTGTAATTTTTTAAAGCGTGTTTTTTCTTAGTTCTTTAAATATAATTATAATAGTTTCTTTGATATGTTTATTTACTAATTCCACCTTCAGAGGAAGTTTCTACTGCCTGATGTGTGTGTATGTGTGTGTGTGTGTTAGATTCTTCCTGTTCCTTTGAATGCTTTATAATTGTCTTTCTTTAAAACTTGATATTTTGCTAATAGATTGTAGTGACTCTCGTTATTCATCCCCTGCAGGTGGTAGCTGTTGTCTACTTGGCCATTTTGTTTATTTGTTTAGTTACTTGACTGAACTAATTCTCAAAGTCTATTTCCTTAACTATGTTTAGCCTCTCATATCTCTGCTAGATTTTTTTTCCCCTTGTTTTTCCCCCCTTTCTCCTTGTTTTTACTTTTTTTGCTCTGCTACCTAGGATGTGTTCCTGGATTGGCATAAGCCACTTACTGGTCAAAACTTATGTTTAATTACCAGTTATATTTTTACCTTTTGTCTCTGGATGCATGTGTGTTGTGCAGGCTGATAGCACATATCAGAAAGTTTTCATTTTCTGGTCCCACATTTGGTGAGGATCTCAAAATGTGTAGCATATTTCATCCCTCTCTCATTGCTTCCAAGAAGGTACAGCTTGAGAATGCACAGTCTTCCACATCCACAGGGATGTCTGTGATGATATTTTAAAGACTAGCTTCTCAGGAGTCACCCTTGGGGCAGAATAGCCTATTTGTACAATAATGCATGATCAGTGGTTTTAAACCCTTGAGTCAGGAAGACTTTTTGCCCCATATTTATAGGTCTTTTGTGCAGGTTGGTGGATGCTTTCGAGTCTGTTCCACATCTTTCTCTAATTGCTCTTAAGTGGATGCTGCCTAGAACATATGAACAACATTCTCCAGACCCCGAGAGTTGACTGAAAACCTAGGAGGGTTCTTCTTAGTTGTCTGTTTCCCTGGTTCTCACCACCATTGAATTTTTTGTTTCTTTGACATTTTGTTCATTATCAAAGCTTCCAGCCTCCTCTTAGTTTCTCTCAACCAAGATGCCCACTGTTCTTGACACACTCTTAGGTAAGGAGTTCTCCACTCTCTTTTGCAAAGTCAAATCCTTCAACAGTGGCTTCTGAGCTTAAGGTCTGCCTTTTTTTTCTAGGCAGAGCCATATAGGCCACTGCTGCTTTTCTCAAGGTAATACTCTTGATCCGCAGAGTGGGCACTAGCAGTGAGCACCACAAGGGGAAGTAGCCCCTGGTCTTCTCAGCTTGCTTCTTCAGAAATGTGGAACTTCTGCTGTAGAAGGTTGAGAGAGGGGAATTCAAGAGACTACATGCAAAAAGAAGATACAGTCATTGAAGGGGCATTTGCTGAAATATGGCTTCTGCAACATTTGGCAAGAGGGTGATGAGAGACACTATCAGCCTGCCCCTCCCAGGGTGAAACCATAGCCCCAGACTGGATGTAGGGAAAAGGGAGCTTTCCCTTCTTGGTTGCTCACACCCATCTGTATCATGGAGCTGCTGGTGGTGGGGTGGTAATAACGAAGCAAGTCATAAACAAAGCAGTCCCTCGCTGTTTTTATAAAGTTATTGTAGATTTTCTCAAATGAATGTTTATCTGTTTGCTGAATGCCCTTTAGGTAATTTTCACAGGCTTTAGGTGATTATCATTTTTATAATTTTCACTGGTTAAATTATTGTTTTGCTGGAGAGAGTTCTGCAAAGCTCATTATTACATTATGTTGGAAGCCAACTGATCATCATTAATATTTGTAAAGCAGAAATTTCATTTAGTCAAATGTGGGCAGGGAAATAAAGGCTTATTCATTTAGGCCCTCATATGCAATAAATACAATAAATAACAAAATCGCCTCTCCCCTCTCCCCTCTCCCCTCTCCCTCTCCCTGTCCCCTCTTTCCACGGTCTCCCTCTGATGCCAAACCGAAGCTGGACTGTACTGCTGCCATCTCGGCTCACTGCAACCTCCCTGCCTGATTCTCCTGCCTCAGCCTGCCGAGTGCCTGCGATTGCAGGCGCGCGCCGCCACGCCTGACTGGTTTTCGTAATTTTTTGGTGGAGACGGGGTTTCGCTGTGTTGGCCGGGCTGGTCTCCAGCTCCTAACAGCGAGTGATCCGCCAGCCTCGGCCTCCCGAGGTGCCGGGATTGCAGACGGAGTCTGGTTCACTCAGTGCTCAATGGTGCCCAGACTGGAGCACAGTGGCGTGATCTCGGCTGGCTACAACCTCCACCTCCCACCCGCCTGCCTTGGCCTCCCAAAGTGCCGAGATTGCAGCCTCTGCCTGGCCGCCACCCCGTCTGGGAAGTGAGGAGCGTCTCTGCCTGGCTGCCCATCGTCTGGGACGTGAGGAGCCCCTCTGCCTGGCTGCCCAGTCTGGAAAGTGAGGAGCGTCTCTGCCCCGCCGCCATCCCATCTAGGAAGTGAGGAGCGCCTCTTCCTGGCCGCCATCCCATCTAGGAAGTGAGGAGCGTCTCTGCCCGGCCGCCCATCGTCTGAGATGTGGGGAGCGACTTTGCCCTGCCGCCCCGTCTGGGATGTGAGGAGCGCCTCTACCCGGCCGCGACCCCGTCTGGGAGGTGAGGAGCGTCTCTGCCCGGCCGTTCCGTCTGAGAAGCGAGGAGACCCTCCGCCCGGCAACCGCCCCGTCTGAGAAGTGAGGAGCCCCTCCTCCCGGCAGCCGCCCCCTCTGAGAAGTGAGGAGCCTCTCCGCCCGGCAGCCACCCCGTCTGGGAAGTGAGGAGCGTCTCCGCCCGGCAGCCACCCCGTCCGGGAGGGAGGTAGGGGGGTCAGCCCCCCGCCCAGCCAGCCGTCCCATCCGGGAGGGAGGTGGGGGGATCAGCCCCCCACCTGGCCAACCGCCCCGTCCAGGAGGGAGGTGGGGGGGTCAGCCCCCTGCCCGGCCAGCCGCCCCGTCCTGGAGAGAGGTGGGGGGGTCAGCCCCCTGCCCGGCCAGCCGCCCCGTCCTGGAGAGAGGTGGAGGGGTCAGCCCCCCGCCCGGCCAGCCACCCCGTCCGGGAGGTGAGGGGCGCCTCTGCCCGGCCGCCCCTACTGGGAAGTGAGGAGCTCCTCTGCCCGGCCAGCCGCCCCGTCCGGGAGGGAGGTGGGGGGGTCAGCCCCCCGCCCGGCCAGCCGCCCCATCTGGGAGGGAGGTGGGGGGGTCGGCCCCCCGCCCGGCCAGCCGCCCCGTCCGGGAGGTGAGGGACGCCTCTGCCCGGCCGCCCCTACTGGGAAGTGAGGAGCCCCTCTGCCCGGCCAGCCGCCCCGTCCGGGAGGGAGGTGGGGGGGTCAGCCCCCCGCCCGGCCAGCCGCCCCGTCTGGGAGGTGAGGGGCGCCTCTGCCCGGCCGCCCCTACTGGGAAGTGAGGAGCCCCTCTGCCAGGCCAGCCACCCCGTCCAGGAGGGAGGTGGGGGGGTCAGCCCCCCGCCCAGCCAGCCGCCCCATCTGAGAAGTGAGGAGCCTCTCTGCCCGGCAGCCACCGCGTCTGGGAAGTGAGCAGCGTCTCCGCCCGGCAGCCACCCCGTCCGGGAGGGAGGTGGGGGTGTCAGCCCCCCGCCCAGCCAGCCGCCCCATCCGGGAGGGAGGTGGGGGGATCAGTCCCCCACCTGGCCAGCCGCCCTGTCTGGGAGGGAGGTAGGGGGTTCAGCCCCCCGCCCGGCCATCTGCCCCATCCGGGAATGAGGTGGGGGGGGTCACCCCCCGCCCGGCCAGCCGCCCCGTCCGGGAGGTGAAGGGTGCCTCTGCCCGGCCACCCCTACTGGGAAGTGAGGAGCCCCTCTGCCCGGCCAGCCACCCCATCCAGGAGGGAGGTGGGGGGGTCAGCCCCCCTGCCCGGCCAGCTGCCCCGTCCGGGAGGGAGGTGGGGGGGTCAGTCCCCTGCCCGGCCAGCCGCCCCATCCGGGAGTGAGGTGGGGGGGGTCACCCCCTGCCCGGCCAGCCGCCCCGTCCGGGAGGTGAGGGGTGCCTCTGCCCGGCCGCCCCTACTGGGAAGTGAGGAGCCCCTCTGCCCGGCCAGCCGCCCCGTCCAGGAGGGAGGTGGGGGGGTCAGCCCCCCCGCCCGGCCAGCCGCCCGGTCCGGCAGTGAGGTGGGGGGCGGGTCAGCCCCCTGCCCGGCCAGCCGCCCCGTCCGGGAGGGAGGTGGGGGGTCAGCCCCCCGCCCGGCCAGCCGCCTCGTCCCGGAGGTGAGGGGCGCCTCTGCCCGGCTGCCCCTACTGGGAAGTGAGGAGCCCCTCTGCCCGGCCACCACCCCGTCTGGGAGGTGTACCCAACAGCTCATTGAGAACGGGCCATGATGACAATGGCGGTTTTGTGGAATAGAAAGAGGGGAAAGGCGGGGAAAAGATTGAGAAATCGGATGGTTGCCGTGTCTGTGTAGAAAGAGGTAGACATGGGAGACTTTTCATTTTGTTCTGTACTAAGAAAAATTCTTCTGCCTTGTGAAAAAATAAATAAATAAATAAATAAATAACAAAATCATAAAAATCTCATATATTTAACTTAGTGTAGATCTTTCATAAGCATGGTGTAGAAAAATAGGATATATTTATATAATATGATACAATATCCAGTGTTGATTAAATTGTATATTCTTAGTTTTGTCCCTATTTATTTTAAAGGCATAGATAAAAACAATAAATCATTAAAATAATTCCTACTATTCTGTGTGTCCATCATTTCTCTTGAAGAAAATACATGTTGTTTACATACTCAAAAGTCTATAGATAGTTTCAGAGGCTTTCTGTGCCTCTTGAAACCCATCCACAAATCCCAGGGTAAGGATTCCTATATTTAAGGGAGATTCAATGAGTTTCATGTAAAAACAGAGAGACATTTTGGTTGAGAGAGTGATAAAGATTAAAGGTTATAACTTTTTAAAACTGGAGTCCATGAAATGGGTGCATGACACATAAGAAATTTGTTACTTTATTGATTCTAATAGTCTACTTCTGAAAGACATCTGAGCACCCAGACATTAGATGAAATCAAATAACTAAAAACATCATCACTACTCCTAAGAAGTATTTGATTAAAAGCTAAGTATAATTTTCAGTCCAATGCCATTAGATATCTAGTTGAAGTACACAGAGAAGTATATATCAGAAAGGAGGCACTTAAACTATGTTCTGAAAAAAGAATAGAATTTTAATAAATAAAGAGAAGGAGGAATGATATCTTACACGAGACACAAAGGAACCTATCGGAGAAATCAAACAACTTTGACACTTCAAAAAAGAAGGTAATAAAAATAGCTAATAAATCAGAGTACTTCCTAATGCCAATTGTATTTCTAAAGCATGTTACATGTGTTATCCTAACTTAATCCTAACGTCTAGTGAGGTAAGAAGGAATGCTTATTATTCCAATTTAAAAAATAAACAGAAAGAGGAAGCTAAGAAAGGAATATGTGCCCTAAGGCACCTAGTAGAATCAGAATTTGAATATAGATTAAACTTCTGGCTTATGGAAAGATAACTATTAAGAATCAGGTAAATAAGCATGGTTAGACCTTGAACATGGTTAGATGCTTAGTAAATAGGTTTTGAATCAAGATTTGGCTATGAAATATTTGATCTCATGGCTGGGCGCAGTGGCTCACATCTGTAATTTCAGCACTGTGGGAGGCCAAGGCGGGCGGATAACCTGAGGTCAGGAGTTCAAGGCCAGCCTGGCCAACATGGTGAAACCCTGTCTCTACTAAAAATACAAAATTAGCCGGGCATGATGGTGCACACCTGTAATCCCAGCTACTCTAGAGGCTGAGAGGCAGGAGAATAGCTTGAACCCAGGAGGCAGAGGTTGCAGTGAGCCTAGATAGTGCCATTGCACTCCAGCCTGGGCAATAAGAGGAAACTCCGTAAAAAAAAAAAAAAAAAAAACGAAAAAAAAAAATCTCTCCTCCACATCCACACAATGGTGAGCTATTGGAAGTTCTTGAGCTTGGAAGTGATACCACGAAGTAATATTTTAAGATTTAATTAACCACTTTGAAAAGAGGTGAATTGTTCAAAGTGGTACTGCAAAGAAAATAAAGATTAATTGCTTGATGAGAGACTGGAGTGAACAAATAAAGATGACAAGCTTAAATAGCTAGAAAGATGTCAGAGCAACAAACAAATTGTTAGGAATGGGGTAAAATATTTTAAAGAGGAAAATATTAGTGTGTTGCCCTTCACTTTTAGATTAAAGATAATTATTAGTTTGCAATTGACATTATATTTAAACTTTAGGAAGATAAGTCCATATTCTCATCTTAGATGATTACGATATTGAGAACTTAATTTCTTTTTAAACTATAAAATGCCTTGATAATATTAATTTCTTTTCATGACTTTGTAAAGTAGACAAATAGACATTCTATTTTCAAAGAAATCTCATATTAGAAAATAAATTTCCTTTACAAGCATGACTTTTGCAGTCTAATAATTAGAAGAAAATTAAATATTAATTTTATATTCTAAATATTAATGGTTACTCTAAAAATAGATGTTAATATATCTTAGTTTGAAACTTTCACATTCTATTTTGCTAACATTGTTGTCCTCAAAGAAAAGTCAGTTCAAGGTTTTTACAAAATAATAAAACAGAAGCTTTTAAAAGTGAAATAGAACATATAAGAAATAATAGTGTAGTGTAATGTAACAGAATTCATCATCATTAAGGGAATAATGGCTGGAAGTTAAAAAACAGAAAATTTAGTGTGTTTTCTCCTAGTACTTTGCTTTCTGACATTATGCAAAAGTAATTTTCCTGGGTCTTATTTGGCTATCTATTGAAATAAAAATGATGGATAAATCCTGAGCCTATTTCAGTGAGGAATTACGATTTTATAACTCAACTGGATACAACCAAAGATGAATTTCAAAAAAATTAAATTCAGAGGCCAAAAGGTTCACTCTACACACATAATAAATAAAATTAATAGTGTTATAAGTGGCTTGAAAGATAAGCTACATAAATATAATTTTTATTTTGAATTTCTCAAAGGGATATTTTCCTAATTAAGCATTCTATAATTCAATTTATTGATTTTTAAATAGGTTAATGCATTTAAACTGTCATAAATCAAAAACATATACAAATTACGTAGTGAAAAGTTTTCATCTCATCTCTATGCTCATATAACTAATTGTCATGTATCACCTTTAATAATATATATTCTTCCTTCCAGGGGTTCTTTCTGTGTGTGTGTATATATATATATATATATATATATATATATATATATATATATATATATCTGTGTGTATGTGTGTGTGTGTGTGTGTATACATATATATACACACACACACAGAGAATGTATATATATATAGAGAATGTGTATATATACACAGAATGTATATATATACACACACAGAATGTATATATACATGTATATATATGAATGTATAGATATGTATGTGTGTATATATGTGTATATATAGGTGCATATAGTAAAACATTTTATTATACATTTTTGTATTATGTTATATTTTATATACTGCATAGCAAATTTTTTTAACTATATTTTTAACTATATTTTTAACTATTTTTTTCTTTAATATAGCAAATTTTTTTTATTTAACTATATAGCTTGAATGCTTTTCCACATTTCCAAATAGTGAATTTCTCTACTCCTTTTTTCAATTATTAGAGTCAGAGAGCATTCCATTTTATGAGCATACTTTAATTGGTTTAACCATCAAATACTATGGAAATTTAAATTATTTCTGATATTAAAATAATGTTAAGTGAAAATTTCTGTGCCCATATTATTTTATGCATATGCAACGATAGAACTGCAATAAATTCCTACAGTAAGAACTGGCTGGGTCAAAGTGTGTACATTGTTTCACTAATTATACTTCTTTCAAAATTGTCCTACATGTGGAATGTATTGCTTACATTCCCACAAGCGACAACCATGCCAATAGTATGTGTTAAGCTTACAGATGCTTATCAATCCAACAGACAGAAAAACAGTTCAAAAAAAAAGTTCAATCATTGTTGCTTTAATTTGAATTTCTAATAGGATTCTAATGTTAGATATAATTTTCTATATGAAATAACTATTTTACATTTTCTTGTATTAAATATCTGTCTTTTTTGTATTGGTTTAAACTTTGTTTTGTTTTTGACTTCTAGAAAATCTTAGTCATATTTTCCCTTTCTGTGTTATTAATTGCAAATAATTTTTCATCTTTCCTTTAATTTTTTTTTTCTGGACAGATTATTTCTAACTGATTTGTATGGGTTCCAGTTTTGGAGTTGCAGTTATACAACTGCAAGATTATAAATGTCCTCATGTTTTCCTCTTATATTAGTAAGGCTTCATATTTTACATATAAATGTTTTACCTCTTCACATTGGTTTATGGTTTCAGCTATAGATCCTTTTGTTTTGCTATTTGGCTATCCATTTTTCACAACACCATATACAAATTAGTCACTTAACTTCATGAACAAAATTACACATTTCTATTACATAGCTGCCAAGATTATTCATCCTGATTTTCTACTTTTTTTCTCTTCTTTATATAGATCATAATTGCTTAAGTACATAAGCAATTACCAAGGTGTATGTGCATGCACATTTATATTTATATATAAATCGAATTTTTAGAAGAATAAAAGTCAGAGCTACGTTCAACAGATAAAATCCATAGTACTGAATGAAGATAAGCTCATGGGGTTCTTGGCTTCATTATTCTTCAGGATATCCAATTATTACAAAAATGCTGCTTGGTAACTGGTGAAAACATCAATTATAAAAAACTTATTTCAAATCTGAGACTTACTAATTCTAATACAGATGGGGAATTACATAAAGAAAATGTATTCTCACATAAGCTGATGTGAAAAGCAGTCTTGGGGACAGCATTTTGTCTGAAAAATTCTGAAGTTTTATGGAGTCATGGTTAAAACCCATAACAGCATGTGTAATTAACAGCAGATGTTGTTTGAAACTGCTTCCTAAGAGGATTTTGCTGACCCAGGATTTTTTATTTGACTACGTAGTAATGTGGGATAGGAGGGGTGATACAACATGAGTGAAGGAGAAAAAAAAAGAATGCATAGATATGTGTGATTGTCCAAGGTTATAAAGTAGGGAGCTTGGGATAAAAATTGAGTATTGAAAGCAAATTTCAAGTTCCTGAAATTGAATATATAAATATGATCTCTTTCCTAATTCTTCCTACAAAATTTTCAATCTAGATTATAAAAATAAATATAAAAGAGGCTTATTTTGTGATACTCAGACACATAATAAATGTGAAGAGTTAAGTGAAAATAATCAAATAGTTTTGATGGGATGTGATGTACTGATGCAAACTGCAGTAATATTGTTATTAATGGCTATATCTACACAGCAATCACTATATGCTATTCTAAGCACCTCCCTTATATTAACATTTATTTCTCAAGTGACCAAACAAGCAAGATACTGTTATTGCCTCCACTTTATAAGTGAGAGAGCTGAAGCACAAGGTTCGACCTTCCCAAAGTTCTACAGCCAGTCTTGACCCAGCTGTGCAATAACAAAATGAAGAATAGTAACTTCATCACCAGGTTTGGTATGCAGGGATCTCCTAAGGAGCACAGTCAAGATGCCATTGCACACTGAAAAATACTTGTATGTTCAAGAATCACAAATAACTAATTATAAATAGGTATAAACTGTCAGAAGCCATGCTCAGTAGTTGTCAGTGTGATTCAGCATTGGGAAGAATAGGATCCAATCTTAATTAAAAGAGAAGGCAGACAGACAGGCCACCAGCATTCCAAAGCTACAGGCCCATTAACAGATACTGGCTAATCAAAGAATTTTATAGATAGAGGTCTACCCATTCAGGATAGGCTGACACTAGGGAAAAAGGAATGTTTAAATTCATCAATGAGGCAGGGATTGATGAGTCTTACCAAAGAACTAGCAATCTATAGATTCAGGAAAGGGGCAGGAGCGTGGACACCAGCAGCCTCTTCTGAGCACTAGAGCTACACATTTCCCTGTCCAGCATGTTAGCCACTAACCACATGGAGGTGAACTGACAATTCAGTTCCTCAGTCACACGAGGCACATTTCAAGTGCTAGATATAGCAAACATGGCTATGGCTGCTGTATTAGACAGCACTGCTAAAATATAACAACTTTATCAGAAATCCTCCTTGCTGAATATAGGATGAATCCATTGATTTAATTCAGGTTTTATCAAGAATTGACTACAATCTAGGTGTGTGCAGTAAAAATACCCATGAGAAATTCAGGAATGTAGCGTGAGGAAAGAACAAAGCAGAGTGATAGCCTACATTACAAATTGAAGCCATAAACATTCTTCTCTAAACTAACAGTTCATCGCTTTCCTTACATTGATCCTGACTACCCACTAATTCTTTGTCTTGTTTTAACCAAAAGTATGAACTATTACGAATTCTTAAAGCTTAAATACAGCTTTTGCTCTAATTGTTAAAATAAAATTGTTAAGACTGTAAAGTAGACTTTTAAAAAGTGAAATAAGAAATAGAAATACAATAAAAATCCTACAAAACTCTATAACGTTGTATAATCATTATGTTCTTATTCTTGTAAAGAAATATCAAAAATAAATTGTGAATCTATATGGGTCAAATTGAAGGAAGAGTCCATTTATTGCAATTTAGGTTAACTATCACTGTTGCATAGCCTTCCCTCCTTAGATCTAGCTAGCACTTCTCATCTCTCTTTTCTGTCACTCTTGGGCAGTGAGAAATGGCTGAAGAGCTCATCCAAAGAACTTCATATTCCACAAAAAAATTTAACAGGAACAAGACTTTATCTTGGCCTTTTTATTTCTGTTAGTTGGACAATGCCTTAGCCACGAAATTGAAACCTTAAAAGAATGAAATCCAAGTATAAAATGTTTTATCCATTGAAAATTAACTCTATCTTGCATTTTTCCACATAAATGTGCATGCTTCCTACTTAAAAATAGCCATGAGGAATTACAGAAAAAAATGCAAAATCTATAGTATGAATCATTTTGCCATTTAGCAGGAGTAGTCATGATGATTTGAAATATTCATCCAGAATGCTAAACACTAAGATGGATCATCTTTGCTGAGTAGTGTGGCCCAGTGCAGGATACTTTAAACATTATAAATATCCATTTCCGTTGCTGAAAAATGGGGATAATACTAGTAATTTTCACTAAGGCTAGAATTTTTTGAGATTTTTTTTAATTGGGGAGCTCTTTCAAATAATTACTAATGTCTTGTAACCACAAGTGCTCTTCAGGGCTGCAATAAAATGAGAAAAAGTAGAAGTAGAGATTAAACACATCACTCATCAGTTTTATTTCAAAGGTACCTAGACAAATTCAGATAAGATAATTTTTAAAACTCTTGAAATATGTGACTTCTGTTGCTTCTAGCCCCTTTTTAATGTTAGTAAAATGAATTTTTATGTGAAGAGAATGCTAGTTAAAATTTAAAGGAGAAATGGTCTCTGAAAGAAACTGTCTTGTTTAAAATGAAATATTCATACACTAATACACAACTATTTAATACACGAAATACAGAAAATATTCCTTGACAACAAAGTTAGTAACCCAAGTTTGATGAAATATTCAGTCATAATTGAACATAAAACAGACATAAAAATAAAATTTTACATAGTAATATAATTGGATTTAAATTATAATTAGAAATGGCTAAATATATCTGTTATTATAATTTAAGTGAATAAGATGTATCGGGTCTACACATTAAAATTGAAGTGAGCACTTTAAAAAATGCCCAGTTTTCCTCTACGTATGGAGTTTTAACTTTATCCTAGTAGTAGCTTTTGAAATAAGAGATTATATATTTATGTTAAAAATGTCAGAGCAGTAAGAGACACAAACCTAAACAGGATACTATTATAGTAAAGTTTACTTGTTCGTGAGCTGAAAATCCCAAATACGTCTGTCTTATTATGATACTTTTGCTGTAACTATGATAATTATAATTTCGTACCCATATAAAATGTGTTTCACTGCTTAACAATTAATGCTGTCAATCAAAGGAATGAGTTAAGTGCTGGCAGAAAATGCCCAGATGAGTTTCCTGCACTGGATGGAGGGTAGTCATTTCTAAAGTGCACCTAGTTACATGTTCTATAAATTATCTGAATGTTACCTCTCATCCCTCATTTGTTAATCCCTTATATAAATTTCTAATTTCTAATTTGTTACTCTTTTTTTTCTTTGTTTTCTTTATCCTTCACATACATAAATTTCTTCATTGGAAAACATTACAGCAAGTGGGTCATTAGTCTTATATCTGGCCATAAGCACCTTCTTGCATAAAACAATTTTGGAAACCAGACAGCATAAGAAATTTGAGACCATTTTTTTTTCTAAAAACAAAAAAATTGTCAGAAAAGGATGCCAAATTAAAAAATAAAAATTTTCAAGTTTTCTAGTCTTGGATACATATAATATTGATATAATAAGCAAAATATATATTTTGAAGAAAATAAGCATTTTAGAAGTCAAAGACAGCAAAATGGTTTACTGACAAATTATCATGTGCTGACCAGCTGGCTGAAATACAATCATTGGTACCCAGATATTTGGCAGTTATCCTGTGGATAGAATTACTGTCATCACATACAACTTGTCTTCTTGTGTATTGATTTGTGTGGCCCATACCTCAAATCAATCAATACCAACATGTTAGGAGAAAGAAGCTAATCAGAAAAGAATTTTTAAAGAACTCTCTCAGAGTAGAAAAATAATCATTTTTGTGATTGAATGTATATTGCATAATTTTTTGCCACTTTTTTTTGTTTATGTCATTGGATTAGAGAGGAAATTTTATTTATTTTTCATTATTTCTCAGAGATAGGTTCTCACTTAATTGCATGGGCTATGTTACAGTAGTGTGATCATAGCTCACTGTAACCTTGAGCTCCTGTCCTCAAGCAATCCTCCCATCTCAGCATTGCAAAGCACTGGGATTATAGGCATGAACCATTCTGCCCAGCCTAGAAAGAAAATTTTAAAATGATTTCATGCTAACATACCCCCAAGTTCTTAAATAAGGACTTAGTTAATTCTCAAACTGGTGAGATTCAAACCTGTTAATATCAGGAGTAGATACCACCAAGAAAAATTGTCACAAGGAAAAATGTACAAAATGATGGCACAGACAACTGAAAATTGATATAAGCAATATCCTGTGTCATCTGTTACCACTTATAACTAGGGAAGTAGTAGAAATTTAGCAGTTTTAAATATGATTTTATTAGCTATTCTTGATAGTATTTTAAGTTAAAGGTACAACATCACTCATAAAATTTAGCAACTTCCCATGACAGCAAATTCTTATTATAATTTTTACTCCCTCGTGTCTCACCTACACATGATTTGCAAACACTTGTAGGGAGAGTTTAATTTTGTAGTTATGTTTCTGGGAATGAGGGAAGGTGAGACAGAGGGTATACACTGAATGTTTATAACACTTGAGACTATTAAGTAGGAAATGGGGGATGAGGACAAGAAACAGAAAACATTGCAATTCATACTGTGAATACGATGATTGTAATCCAATATAAGTCTATTTCTAGTTGTTAATGTGTATTGATCAAGTTATCTCTCTCCTATATGAGAGGTTTTTCATTTAAAAAAACTATTTATTTCATTTTTATATGAGTTCATCTTATTATTTAATATTTTTCTCCTGAAACTAGCAACTCTTACCATGTTTTCTAACTCCAAGTCTATAAATATGTGTTCCCCTTTGTGAGACCAGGTTGCAGAGTGCAGAAGAATAAATCACTGCCAAATCATCACTAGGTTATCGATGCATACATAACTAAGTATGGGCTGCCAGGATATGCTGGCAAATGAAGAATGAGGTAAGTCTCACAAGCAGCTGCTTTACATATGAGTAATGTCTTCACGGAGGAAAATGAGATTCCATTCAAGGTAATCCTCCCTTATTCTTATTTTTTTCTAATAACTAAATCTTGGTAGGCACTCTTTCCTCTCTATTCTTACACAAAGGGTTCATAGTAAATATAGAAGTTAGAAGACTTACTTCCCTGTAAACACCAATGCATAAAATTCACCTCCTATCAGGTCTTACAGTCCTGTGAGGCTCTTTCTATACCTCAAAGTCCTTTTTGCTAAGCTGTGACCTTCTGGTTGGCTTTTCTGTTAAACACCAATCTACTGACATCAAAGGATGCAAGTGAGTCCTCTCTGACAAGGAAGTGTAAACACCTATCTGAACTCTGAACATTCTTCTCACCACTATTTGGGTCAATCATCAAATGCTGATTCTACTCTCAACAGCACGGCGGTTTGGCTACGCCCCTTGGCCTAACAAATTAGCATTTTTTAAATAAAAAGACATGTTAGAAAAATAATGTTAGTCACCTCTCATGTTTCTATACATATGAAATTAGATTAAACTGCATGTAAACAGTTTCCACAGTTCTTAGCAGATCCTAAGTAGCTAATAAATGCTACTTATTTTTAGTAGTAGTGGTGGTAAACCACCCTTATGATTCACATGTCTTATCAAGGTACAATTTCATATGATATGTGAAACCACTCTAACTCATAAATGTAAAGAAGGTGGTTGGCAATGTCAGTAATGGGTATATTGTGCTGTGCAACTTGGTTAAACTGGGATCAATGGATGCAGAATTTGAATTCCCTTCCTTGTGTTGTGCAGGTTAGTCAGTTGTGGAATTTTCACAAAATTTAGAAAGCAGAAGTGAAGCAGTTGTCAGCACTCCCTGAAGATCTTTTCATAGACTGATGTGATGATAAACAGCTGCAGAGATGCTTCATGGGTTCCAGGTAGTTTACACTCTCCTCTACTCCATGTACAGCTGATTTTCCTGATTGGTGGCCCTGCTGACCAACTGCAACTCCAGGCCCACAATAGATGCTTGGCTGTGGACCCAGCCATATTTTTTTAATTATCCTCCTGTCTTGCTTTAATGACAAATCTTGTTTGCACTTGTTTTATCTCCATTTCCTCTTATATCTGTACTATTTAAAATTTTACAGTTGGTTGTAGTCCTATCATGTAGCAAAATATATCTATCTCTCTAGTTTACTGGTTCTTAAGTTCCAGGGTACAAAATAATCTCTTATTTTTTTAATGGATATCCTTAAGTCACATACCCCAGAGATTCTAAGTTAATAGTCCCGAATTAGAAGGCAGGGATTTGAATATGTATAAGCATTCCTAAATTATTCTGACGTAGGTGGTTAGGAACAATGTCATGAATAACTAACTACCAAATGTGAAGGAGACGTCTCAGCTCTTATTCATATTTGACCTTTCTACAATATTTGATACTCTTAATGATCCCTCCTTGAAATTTCATGTTCTCAGAGGCTCAGGCCCAGGCCCCTGAATAAAGCTGGCCCTGTTATCTGTGAGTTCATAAAAGAGAGTTACAGACACCACCTACCCTAAGTTTGTGCTTGCTGCTCAGTCTGAAGCTTCAGCAGCCCCCACCCCTTCTCTTGTCAATGTCATTCATGGGATACTCTTCTCTTTTCAGCCCTCTGCTGAAACAAGTAGTACAAATAATGATAAGTAGTTAATGAATGCTTTTAATCAGTGCTAAGTACACATATTAACTTCTATAATAACCCCTTATGTCAGGCTTTCTCTCATTGCAAATTTTTCTTGGTATAGGTTTATTGTTGTTCTATTTTTTCCCACAAATTACTCTCAAAGGTGCCTAGGGCAACCTTCCCCACATTCTGCTCCTGCCACTAGGGTCACCTTCTCTGGGATGTTTTTCCTAAAGGCCTTATTGACACTCTTCACTACTGGAGGCTCCTCTCTCTGTGCTCCACATCACCTAACACGATAAGTGATTGATTTTCTTATTTGCCACCACTGCTAATCAGCGGGCTTCTTCAGTCATAAGGACTATGAGTATTAGCCCTAGGGCCTGTCATAGGGCCCAGCTAAATGACTTTACTCTTAGTTACTTGGCCCTACTTTTAATTATTTATTTATTTAACTCTTCAACCCTTCTAGCAGGATATTGTACATTATTTCACAAAATGTAGGCCTTGAACCACTTACATTCAAATCACCCTTGAGGGTTGTTAACAAGATAGATTTATATGCTTCTTTTACTACAGCAGTATTTTGAACCCAGGAATACTCATTTTGAAAAGCATCCTGGGTGTTTCTTATGAAGAGCAAAATTTGAAAAATATTGCTTGAATGAGAAGAGTTCTTACTGAGATTAAGAGACCTATCTTTTCTACTAGTGACAATACCAGTGATTAGATTATGTTTCATGAATAAATATTTCAATAAGATGAGATTTTAGTTTCAATTAGGAAGAAGGGATTAGAAACAAGTTGTCTACAATATCTCTTTAATCTCTAAAGGATTTATTTTGTGTTGGTAAGTTGAAAGAACTAGTACTATACATGCAAGTAAATTTGCTTCTGACCCATACGAGATTAGCATCTATTATTTGTACCTCATAGGAATGAATAACAATAATTCCAAATCATGCAAGGGTGCAAAAATATATAAGCGCAATAAACCCAAGATTGGAGCTATAGCTATTATAACTAAAATTAGGTAGAGAAAAACAGTAATGGCTGTTTGAACTTGGCCAAAGTATCTTAATTTATTTAACTATGCATTCTAAATAGTTCATAGAAAATTATATATATATATATTTAAAGAGAATATATATATATTAAAGAGAGTGATCCATGGGCCACATGCATCAGAATCACTTGAGATTCTGATTAATACTGTAGTTTCCCAAGTCACATCCAATACTTAACTGAGTTGGAATGTTCGGCCAACAATCAGTATCTTTACAAGCACTCCAGGATAGTTATTCATCTATCATTTCAGAACCACTGATATATTTAAGCTGTTGAGATATACACGAATAACAGACAAACTGTTTCCAATGTCTACAATAAAGGGATAACTCTTTAAAATCCTCTGCAAGCCAGTCTTCTAAACATGCATAGAAAATGCTGGCACAGCTATGTAGACAACAACAGCATGTTTTCTAATATTAGTAATTGTAAATTCAGGTTTGTAGACCAGGATACAATTGTAATCCATCGCATAACTACTGTTTGCAAACGTTCAAACATTTTGATCCAGCAGGGTTTGGGGTTGAAATAGAAGCACTGACTAAGATATAAGAGTTAGTCATATGGCTGGGTGTGGTGGCTCACACCTGTAATCCCAGAACTTTGGGAGGCCAAGGTGGGTGGATAACCTGAGGTCAAGAGTTCAAGACCAGCCAGGCTAACATGAAGAAACCTCCTCACTATTAAAAATACAAAAATTATCTGGGCATGGTGGTAGGTGCCTGTAATCTCAGCTACTCAGGAGGCTGGGGCAGAAGAATCCTTTGAACCCAGTAAGCAGTTGTTGCAGCGAGCCAAGATCATGCCATTGCATTCCAGCCTGGGAACCAGGGAGAAACTCTGTTTCATAAAAAATAAATAAATAAAATAAAACTATTATCAGAGTTAACAGGCAACCTACAGAATTGGAGAAATTTTCTGCAATCTATCTATCTGACAAAGGACTAATATCCAGAACCTACAAAGAACTTAAGCAAATTTACAAAAAAAAAAAAAAACATCAAAAAGTGGGTGAAGGACATGAACAGACACTTCTCAAAAGAAGGCATTCATACAGCCAACAACATATGAAAAAAAGCTCATCATCATTGGCCATTAGAGAAATGCAAATCAAAACCACAATGAGATATCATCTCACGCCAGTTAGAATGGCGATCATTAAAAAGTCAGGAAACAACAGATGCTGGAGAGGATGTGGAAAAAGAGGAATGCTTTTACACTGTTAGTGGGAGTGTAAGTTAGTTCAAACATTGTGGGAGACAGTGTGTTGATTCCTCAAGGATCTAGAACCAGAAATACCATTTGACCCAGCAATCCCATTACTGGGTATATACCCAAAGGATTATAAATCATTCTACTATAAAGACACATGCACCCATATGTTTATTGTGGCACTATTCACAATAGCAAATACCTGGAACCAACCCAAATGCCCATCAATGATAGACTGGATAAAGAAGATGTGGCACATATACACCATGGAATACTATGCAGCCTTAAAAAAGGAAGAGTTCATGTCCTTTGCAGGGACAGGGATGAAGCTGGAAACCATCACTCTAAGCAAAGTAGCACAGGAACAGAAAACCAAACACCACATGTTCTCAATCATTAGTGGGAGTTGAACAATGAGAACACATGGACACAAGGAGGGGATTATCACACACTGGGGCCTGTTGGGGGTTGGGAGCTAGGGGAGGGATAGCATTATGAGAAATACCTAATGTAGATGATGGGCTGATGGGTGCAGCAAACCACCATGGCAAATGTATACCTATGTAACAAACCTGCAAGTTCTCAACATGTACTCCAGAACTTAAAGTATAATAATAATAAACATTACATAATAAAAAATATAAAAAGAGTTGGTTGTAATAGAGCCAAAAGAAATTTTAGGGGCTAAGAAAAAAAGAAAACACGGTAGCATACAGAGAGGCAGGCAGGAAAAGAGAACAATTAAGGAATGAGATAATGAGTTAAGTAAGTGAAACTGAAGTTTTGATAAATTAGATAAACCAACTTTGATCTTCAGATCTATTATTAGGAATCACAGATTTAGTTAATAAAAATTACACATATTAAAATATATTGACCATTGATACATCATATCCAAGGTCATAGTTAATATTAACTAACAGTAAATATATTTTCACTTCTTCAAGAAGAAAAATAATCAGTGAGAAAAATTTTATATGACATTAAGGTATTTGGGAAAATATGCTAAAAATTTCAAAGTAGATGTAATGTAACCTTTTAATAGGATAATTGCGTATCATTGGCTATATGGGTAAAACTTCTATGAAGTGCATTATAAGTTTTTCTTATTTACATATGAGAAAATTTGATATATTAGAAATAAATTATATGCTACAGATGGAAAGAAAAATAACTTGAAAAATATATTACAAGTTCATAGAGGTTACTTTCAAGAAAGTGAGAAGTGAATGTCTGAATCATCAATGAATTATTATTCACCTCTTTCCCTGGACAAAGTTCCATGTATTAATTAAGTCATGATTAAAGGAAGATGGTATAAGTGCCAATCACACACTGATCAGGAATGTATCAAGTAAAATTATAGCTTAATTTTCTTTTTACACTCCTATGAATAAAAATGCCAGTCCCTCTTCATTGGAAAATTAGTCTGGTGTTTTTGCAAGGTCAGTCTTTCCTGACAAATGTGTTTTCAATACCTTATTGAAATAACAAATACAAAAGCTATTGTCTCCATTGAGACCAAAATGATTTACTAATTCCTGTAACATGACTTACCCTATCAGCATGTGACCTTCAAAAAAATCATATTTTAGCTATAAGATTTAAGAAAAATGTTTTCATTCCTTTAATTACTCATAAGGTATTTTTAAATGTTTGATTAGAGCTTTGTAAACAGGTAGAATACACATGAATTTAATAATAAAGACTTGAAAAAATGTTGACATAGGTCAGAGGTTTTTTTTTTTTCTTTTTCTCCCAAGCTGGTTTTCAACAAGCTCTTTTACCTTACTGAAGCAATTCCTAATTCCAGTTTCTATGCGAGAGAAAGCAAGAATATTCCTTATGCCAAATATATTTAAGGTTCACCAACAATTCCACAGGATGCCCTTGACAAAGGAGATGAATTGGGAAGGTTTATTAAATAATTTCATGCCTTTAATAAGAAAGCTTTTAAAAATGACTATGGGTATGTACGTTAGTTTGGTTTTATTATATCATCACAAAGGTGTCTAACAAGTCATAAGTCCTTAAATACTTTAAATGGCTTTGACTATTTCTCACATATTATAAGGTGCCTGTAAAATCAAAAGGTTTTAAAAGGCATTTTTCTTAGTTACAAAGAAATTTTCCAAATTACCTTATGAGCTTCCTATCAAATGCAATAACTATTTTCGTAGAGACTAATTTTAAAATGTTGCCTTTCTGATGTCCTTCTGAGATGGGTCAGAGCACAGTGTTAATTCCAGTGACAACCATGGGAATCTTCCACTCGCTTTTACATCATTCAAGATAAAACCGAAATGGACAGTATAAATATACAGGTGTCCTCCAGACTCTTACTAAGAACAGGATGTTAAAATTATCCTGTATCCATCTTGTGGGTAAAATTAAATAAAAACATAGCCCCACTTACCTATAAAACATTTATAAATAAACATAAAAGCTGAAATATCAACTTTTTTCTGCTAATTAGGAAAATCCTTTTACCTAACTGGACAATGTTTCATAATGCAAAACATGTAGATCAGAAACATAGCAGAAAGATATAGATGAGAGGCTGGAAAACAAAGATGTATTTCATTTCTTTCCCTTGAAAACAAATGATCCTATGACTTAGTCTCTCTTGGCCTCAATTCCCTTTTCTATATATTAGGAATAATAATATATGACTAAGAAACATAACGATTGAGGATAAGGGTTTTTACTTTAAAACGAATCCACGTGGAGAACTGTCTATGAGTGGTAAAATGATATAAAAAAATGAACAAATAACAGATAATGCTACGTATTCCTATCTGGCTGAGGAAAAACATATAGAATTGTTCCCACCTTCAGTCTCAATATGGATATAATAATTGAAATAAAATAATGTCACACTTTCAATCCCTCAGTCTTCTCAAGCTTTACATAAGCGATCAACGCTCTTCCTCCCCTATAAAGGAAATGACTTCTATGTTCCAGTAATTATGGGACACTGATTTGCTGAGCATTTGAATCATAACAATGGGTTTGATCACTGTACTCTGGGAGTATCTATCTAAAGTACACTAAGGTATGAAGCACTCTTCAGTTGAATGCCTTAGACAGATCTCGTCTAAATTGTTCCCCTCCCCTATACTCCCTTCTCATGCCCAATATTCATCCTGACTGGAAGATTTGAATTCATCAAATCTTTTAAAAAGTGGCTCAATAAAGCTGATCAGGTCTCAATAAATCTCAAACTGTGAAATATAAAAACAAATCTCACCAAGGAAAACATTCAAATACTACCAAACAAGAATAAAATTCGGTGTGAATAACTAATGCGTTCAAATTCATTTCTTTCATGCCTTTAAGTGGGTAGGATTAGCATAAAGAGTCTTCTCAGAGTGTAGGCAACAATAAAAACTGCAATAACTCATACTTTGCAGTGACTTTCATTTTTGAATCTGGATATTTTTTAATTTTCATAATAGCCTTGGGAGGTAAATATCATTATCCTCATTTCAGAGCAGATGAAATTGAGAGATTAGTGATTTGCCCATAGCTACGCAGTAAGTGAACTATATGCCAATTTCAGTCCAAGGCAATGGCACTAAGATTACTACATTACTCAAGTTTATTTAGCTAGATGGTTACCACTGAAAGGAAATGGCATTAAGTTTACACTCAACTTGAAATCTAGAAGTCAAAAGCATTAAAACAATACATAAAAGTATAAAAGTGCAAAATAACTAATAAGCACTTAAAAATATTAAATGCTAATATTTATTGAGCACTTATGTGCTAGGCATAATTTAATATGCTTTATATGAACTATGTAATCCTTATCATCATCTCAACAACAGAGCTCAAAACTGTGAGATCATGCTTGATTTCTTTCATTTTCCTGCACTCTACGTCTAACCCATCCACAAATCTTGTGGTCTCCAGCTTCAAAATATATGTAGAATCTAACCACCTCCCACTGCCTACATCACATATGTATCTTCTCTTACCAGAATTACTGCAATAGCCTCCAAACTCCTCTGTTTTTTCCTAAGCAGGTCCCCTTAAGCCTATTCCCTAACCCAATACCAGAATAATCTCTTTAAACCATGTCAGATGGTGTCACTACTATTCTCAAAACTTTCTAATGGTTTCCCATCCTACACAGAGTACAAGCCTTAACCAAGTTCCAAAAGGCCCTCCATGATCTCTTCATTTATACCTCTTGATCAGGCCTCTCTTTGGTCTAGCTCCACTAATCTAGCTGCTTGTCCTAAATCATTCTAGACATGCTTTTTTTCTAAGGGGTGTATGCTTGCTGTTTTCTCTTCTAGAATACTTACGATTTAGTCTCTAATCTTCTTCAGGTCTCTGTTCAAATATTATTAGTGAGGATTTCTCCCACTAGTCTATATAAAATAATAACCCTTCCAACAGCTTCCCACTCTGATCCAGATTCATTTTTCCCTAGAATCTATTAGCAGCTGCACATGTATTTTATTTGTTTGCTTGTTTGGAGAGGAGGGGAGTCTATCTCCCCTACACCAATGGAAGCTCCATAGACAGTTTGTCTTGTACGTAGCTATAAGAGTATAGGTCACAAACCAGATGCTCAACATAAACATGTTGAACAAACGACTGAATTAACAACCCAAACAAGGTAAGCATTACAGTATACATCCTTTAGAGATGAAGAGACACAGGCAGTGGCATACAGAGACAGAATAACTTATGTGAATCACAAAAGTACAGAATGGCAGATATTGAAGAAAACCTGTGCCATGTGGTTGCAGAGCGTAGCACCTAACCACTAACTATACTACTGTTCATGTGGTATCTCTCTAAAAATAATTCTGTGACCTAAAATTACCTATGCTACTACAATATCAGTACTGTGGGAAGGTCCAACCCTCCCTGGTTTCTACTTGTTTTTATAAGACTGCTGTTTAAAAAAGACACTGATAAACCTAGAGAACACCAAAGATCTACATTTTGCCAAAGCTAATGATAAATTATCTCTTCTTATTCTACCATGCAATAAAATTTGACACAATTGATTATTCTCTCTTCTTGAAAATGTATTGAGTTTTCCTAGTCCCTATACTCAGGATTCTTTTAGTTCATGGAATGTTTTTTACTGAGACCTCCTTCTGCTCCAAACCTGAAAAGTGTTCTAAGCCCTTCAACTCGATCCTAGAACCCTTTCTTTTTTCTTTCTGAACTCAAACTATGTGATTTCTTCCAGTTTCCTATGGATTTAATATGTACATATTAAAAACTATGTACATACAAATATGCACTATGTACATACTATGTACATGCTAAAAACTCTCAAACTCAGACTTCTTGCCTGGAACTCTTCTCTGAGAACAAAGCTCACATCCTATTACCTATTGTCTTCTCCATTTCAGAATTAATTTGACAAAATAAAACATGTCATGTCTCCTCCAATCCACCCTCACTCAGAATATCTCCCAGGAACTGGTTCTACTTTTCTTTTTTTTTATTATTATTATACTTTAAGTTCTAGGGTACATGTGCACAACGTGCAGGTGTGTTACATATGTATACATGTGCCATGTTGGTGTGCTGCACCCATTAACTCATCATTTACATTAGGTATATCTCCTAATGCTATCCCTCCCCCTTCCCCCAACCCCACGACAGGCCCTGGTGTGTGATGTTCCCCTTCCTGTGCCCAAGTGTTCTCATTGTTCAATTCCCACCTATGAGTGAGAACATGCAGTGCTACTTTTCATACAGTTATTAAAACCAAAAAGAAGTCAGATTCATCTTGGATTACTTCTTTCCCCTTACACAACACACCTGATTAACCTGTTACTCCTGTCAGCTGTATCTTCAAAGCAAATCCCAAATTCGATGACTTCTCCCCTTTTCTGCTTCTCCAGCCCTTCTTAAGGCCATCTTTTCCTCTTCCCTGTAGCACTATAGAAGCAATTTCAGTGGTCTACCTATCTCCCATCCTGCCTCCCTTCTATGCAATAGTGATGTTTCTTAAGTATTTATGCAGACCAGTTACTCTCCTGCCTCAAACTTTCAATGCGACAAAATTTTACTTAAAATAAAATCTAAACTTTTTAGTATAAGCCAAAATATTTTCTGAACTCAGTTTCTCCCTCTACATACTTTGTTTGCTTCATTTCAGTCACAATCACCTTGTTTCCATCCTTTAAACACTTAAGGGAACTTAAGAAAAACTGCATGTTGGCTTATAAAAAACAGAAATTTATTTCTCATAATTCTGGAGGCTGAAAGTTTAATATTAGGATTCTCTATTTAATAAATGGTGCTGGGAGAACTGGCTAGCCATATGCAGAAAATTGAAACTGAACCCTACCTTACACCTTATACAAAATTAACTCAAGATGGACTAAAGACTTAAATGTAAAACCCAAAGCTATAAAAACTCTGGAAGATGACCTAGGCAATACCACTTAGGAAAATAACACAGGCAAAGACTTTATGATGAAGATGCCAAAAGCAATTGCAACAAAAGCAAAAATTGACAAATGGGATCTAACTAAACTAAAGAGCTTCTTCGTAGCAAAATAAACAATAAACAGAGTAAACAGACAACCTGTAGAATGGGAGAAAATTTTTGCAAAGTATGCCTCTGACAAAGGTCTAATATCCAGCATCTACAAGGAACTTAAACAAATTTACAAGAAGAAAAACAAACAATCTCATTAAAAAGTAGGCAAAGGACATGAACAGACAGTTCTCTAAAGAAGACATACATGTGACAACAATCATCTAAAACACTCTCAACAATACTGAGCATTAGAGAAATGCAACTCAAAACCACAGTGAGACACCATCTCACACAAGTCAGAATGGCTATTATTAAAAAGGAAAAAAAATAACAGATGCTGGTGATGTTGTGGAGAAAAAGGAATGCTTATACACTGTTGATAGGAGTACAAATTAGTTCAACCATTTTGGAAGATAGTGCAGCAATTCCTCAAAGACCTAAAGACAGGAACATTGCATTTTAAGAGAAATTACTCTTGTTATTTTTGCCTAAAAAGCCTACTCATCAGGTAGGTCAGAACTCCCAGCTCATCTGCTGAAGGAGGTTTTCCCTGGTCCTAGTAGAAACCAGCCTGTCACTCCTTGTCATATTTTTCTATTTTATTCTCTTCCTTGTAGAATATTAAATGCTAAACTTATTTTATTGATTGGCTTGCACATTTATTTACTATATTCTAATTTGTTTGTTAATGCTTTGAAGGCAAGGCCTCAATCTCCTTTATTTATTGTTACGTTAAGTAATGAGAACAGCGCCTAGCCCACTCTACAATTATTTGTTAACTGACTTATTGATTTAACAATGATTGCATATCACAAAAAAAATTCATCTTTATCCAAAATTTTTCCTTACATTTTACACTTCTAGGAATATCATAGAAATGATATAATATTGTCAACATGCTACATTAAAATATGATGTTGAAAGATTATATCACTAATTTTCAATAATTTATTAATATTTATGCATATTTAATTGAATATATTAAAAACAATTTTAATATTAGAAAAATTAATTCATTTATCTATACATCAGTCATTCATTCCTTCAATTTGTTTGTGCTCCCCTCAAATTCATATGTCGATGTCCTAACCCCTAGTATTCCAGAATGTGACTGTATTTGGAAATGGGGTCTTTAAAGAGATTATTTAAAATGAAGTCACTAGAATGGATCTTAATCCAGTCTGACTGGTATTGATACAAGAAGTGGAGATTATGACACAGACAGACATATTAAGACAAAGGGAGAAGAAAGCCATTTACAAGCCAAGGAAACACGCCTCAGAAGAAACCAACCCTGCCAACACGTTGTTCTTGTACTTCTAGTCTCTAGAATTGTGAAAAAGTAAATTTCTGTTATTTAAGCCATCTAGTCTTTGCAAATAAGCTTCGTAGCTCTGGCAAATGAAAATAGCTGAGAATAGGAATCATCCAATATAGTATGCTTTGCTTAGTAAAATTTGTGGCTCAGTTACACTTTTTGGAATTAACAACTTCACAACAAAAGTGTTAAGATTCACATTAGTATTTGAATGTCTATTTTTAATTCTTTCTAAAGGATGGTTTATTCTAGCAGCATTTTCCAGGCTTATCAGATACATAACTACATGGAGAAATTAGAGAATCATGTAAAGAATTACCTACACTACAACTACCTGGTAATAAATGTGAAAGGTTTTTGTTTTTGTTTTCCATTTCAAGTTCTTTCTGTAAGTGTACATCAAAATTTAATCTTGTTTTTCCATTTTTTGCTCACATACATTTTCTCAGGGACCATCTCAAAAGCATAGTTTGAGAGTGTTCTCCTTTTGAGATTCAGTACTTGTAACAGAAAACTCCAGAGTTAGAGAACTACCATTTCAGGTTAGCTGAGTGACCGGGCATTTTTGTAGCATAATTTTAATATTCATTTAAAGTTTCCACAAAGGAAGCTCAAATTGTTTCTGGTTGTTAAAAATCCATGAGAGTGCTGTGATAGCAAATAATATACACAATTTGCTCCCTTGCCATGAGCTTGAGCACAAAATGTATCTGTTGTCTTCATGTCTAAATATATGAGACAATACATAGAAATAGCTTTATCTTTTTCCAAATTCAAATTAAAACATGCTTATTTCATATATAGAAAAACACAAGGAAGAAAATGAATTTATAGACTCAGCATCTTTTTTGTAAGATTTTGGTATGTATCTTTTAGTCACTGCATAAACGCCATATTCCTCTCCCTCTCCCTCCCTCCCTCCCTCCCTCCCTCCCTCCCTCTCTCTCTCTCTTTCTCTGTCTCTTTGTTGCTTAATGAGATTGCATTACATGTGTAGTCTATCATGTCTACTTTTACTTAAGAGCATATTAGTGAACATGTTGGTTTAAATATTTGATGGCTACACCACATTCTAATGTGAGTAGCAATGTACTTTAACTTAACCAGGAACAAAATACTTCAAGATGTTTTCTTCCTTTTTGTTCTTTATAAATATTCCCATATAAATCTACATAAATATGTAATTTTTAAATCATTTCCTTAAAAGAGATTATTCAATGTGGATTTTCTGAATTAAAGCCTTACTAATATTTAAGTTTTATACATACTGTCAGGTTGCTTCTTAGAAAGGTTCTATCAATGTATCCTCTAACAAAGAGTTCATGTAAATTTCCATTAGCTCACCGATTTGTTGTCACTGAAGCACATCTTTAATTGCTAACAAATTTAATTATATTTTCACTCTGATTGACCTCAACCATTTCACCTATTACATATTGACCTCAACCATTTCACCTATTACAAATCACCATATCCTCATTGGTCTTTTTAATATTGGCAATTTATATTAATATTATAGGTAAATTAAACCTCTATCTCTCATCTGTGTTGCAAGTATCTTTTTTTTTTTTGTGTGTGTGTGTGTGTGTGTGTGTGTGTGTATTTTTGTAGATACAGGGTTTCACTATGTTGGCCAGGCTGGTCTTGAACACCTGACCTCAAGTAATCTATCACCTCAGCCTCCCAAAGTGCTGGGATTACAGGTGTGAGCCACCACGCTCGGCTTGTGTTGCAAATATCTTTTACCAGCACATAATTTGTTTATTGACTTTGGTTTTTATTACTTTTAACTAAAACGCAAAATAAAATGTTTACACAGTGAAATCTTTACATTTTTTCTTAATTATTATTGCCTTTGAGCACTACAAATGTTAAAAATACATATATTCTATGAGACTTATTAAAGCCCAATAAGAAAGATTTTATTCAGTAGCATCAACATGGCTAGAGGAACTACTGAAACAGAGTATTGCAATGGGGGAGAGTGGTTGGGCTCTACTCCAAATACAGCAGGGTCAAGTAGGAATTTATAGCCAAAGAGCAGTGTGGAGTTCAGTGAATTGAAAATTACTAAGAGGAAACGTCAGGGGTAAGGAGAATTTTGGTTAAACCCACCTAACAGGATTCTTGCTGAAGACAGACCAGGGTGATCAGGTGTCATTTGGGGATGTGGAGGATGAGGAACCTGATAAAATATCAAAGATGATCAGATATTGAGGATGGGGGATTCTTGCTAAACTGACGCAGCAGGGTTCTTTGCTAAAACTGGATTTTATAATGAAGTGCACAGATGGGCCTAGGAGAAGATTCAGAAGCCTGACTCAAGCTTAGCCAAGCAAATAATTTTTGTCACCAAATGTAAAATGTATTATACTTATACCATTTTATTATAGTATCTTAACAGCTAAATATTAAATATTTGAGTATTTATTTTGATCTACAGTGGTAATATATTTACTCAAGTGCTTTTCCAAACTTAAAACTATGACAATATTAATTATTAAACAATTTATCATTTTCTCAATATTATTAAAATTCTAGCCTAAAAACTAAATTGATATACTTACTGGTGCTTACTTTTTTTGGGGGGTGGGGGTGGTGGGGAGACAGACTCTCGCTCTTTTGCCCAGGTTGAAGTGCAGTGGCGCAATCTCAGCTCACTGCAACCTCCGCCTCCCGGGTTCAAGCAATTCTCCCCACCTCAGCCTTCCGAGTAGCTGGGATGACAGGCGCCCGCCACAACGCCCAACTAATTTTTGTATTTTTTTAGTAGAGACGGGGTATCGCCATGTTGGCCAGGCTGGTCTTGAACTCCTGACCTCAGGTGATCCGCAAGCCAGCGCGCCCAGCCTGGTGCTTACTTCTTTAAAAACGTTTAATTTTCATTATATTACTTGTCAACTTTTCACCAATATTTAATTACACGTTTTCAATTACATGATAGAAGTTTACAGGGCAAGTTCTAGAATATTATTTCTATAATAATTTTTATGATTAATAATTTCAATTAAAGGTTTGTCCTTCAAATAAAATTGAGAATTATTTCATTATGTTCCAAAAAAAAACAAAAGTGGATGCCTCTGTAAGGGGAGGGCGGAGTGGAGGGGAGGTGAATTCTAATAAACACATTAAAGAGTTTTGGGAAAAGTGGCATGTTTAAAATATAGAGTCATCCCATGCAAGAGATTTGTTAATGCCATTTATTTGTTTTATTAAATTTCTCTCAGAAATACTTACAGTTTTATTAATAAAGTTTTTATACATGTCTTAAAATTAATCCTGAGCATTTTTTAATGTTTTAAGGTATTTTGACGACACAGCCATTTTATTTTTCAATTGGCAACTGCCAATTTTTATTTATTTTTATTTTTTAGAGACAAAAGTCTCGCTTGGTTGCCTAGACTAAGATTACTGCCAATTATTTAAAGCAAACTATTGAATTCTATATGGTTATATTATCACCAGGCACAATAATTAATTATTATTATTTTGAAAACATTTATTGATTTGGAAGATTTCCAGGTTGATAAAATAATCTGGAAATAATATTAAATACACCTCTTCATTTCCAATGTCAATTTTTTTCTTGAACACTTCAAGAACAATTTTAAACAATAATGGTATATTCCATACTAGAGCCTTCTGAAAAATTACTGGTGGTAAAAAGAATTATTATATTGTTTTATTGTAACAATAACAGATTTGGTGATTTCTCACCAAATAAGCAAAATGCTGATGGCGCTTGTATGTTACCTCCAAAAGCATACTATTGAACAAAGGATGCAGCTATATAAAAAGATATAGATGTAGATATGTTAATATAGGGTTACATAGAGATATACTGCCTCAAAATGTTAAATTGGCCATATTCTTCTTAACTATTACTGTAATAACATCTATTTGCCTATGTAATCTTTATTCTTCTTAAAATTACCTGAGTTTAGATATTGTCTCTCCTGTTGTTTAAAATTTATCATCACACTCCCCACCATCTTGGTCTAGTCCTCTCAGTTTTTTCCCATCTGATTAGCTCCTTCATCCAATCACTTCAAAAACTGGATGACTATCAAATCTCTTCTTGGTCCAGAGTTGGCATCTCTTCTTATGTTAAGTTTTGAATCCCTGTTCTTATCCCATGTGGAACTCAAAGTAAACATGCCCAAACCTGAACACTTTATCCTCCTGATGAGCCATATCCTTCAGCCTTTCTTACCCTTGTTAAAATTATAATTAATATCCATATTATGACCTCCAACTAACCTAACCCCTTCCTCCACTTCTCTGCCCCCTTCAGTTACCAATGCTTGTAGATTGTACTTCTACATGGCTTCTTCATAAACAGCCTCATGCCCACTGCAAAAATCTCCTGACGTACCTACATCCCACCTACTACGTACTGCTATCCATCTGATTTTACTAGCCATGTTATTTCTTGTCTAAATTCCTCCATGAGATGTAACATTTATAAAAAATGCCCAAACTTCTTTGGGTGGCATTTGATGACTGATTTGCTTTCCCAGATAAGCTGAGGCTGGGTCTTCATTATATGGGGCCTAGACAAGGAGTAGGCATTTGTCATATTGTTTCTGTGGTATGGTGATTGGTGACATCGAAAAAATTTTATAATATGCAGAATCAAAATCTATGTATGTTATCCAAATACACTAAAATCACATGAAAAGGATGAGAGGAGCTATTGGTTAAACACCAACAATATAAACATCAGGGGAACTTGATAAGACTTGGGGCTAATGTTAGGTGCATAAATTGATATATACCAATAAAAGTGTCATATAAACATTCAGTCTTCCAAAATTTTTCACCAAATTTTACTTCCTCACAGACTCCTGGAAAACAAAAGGACTCTCTTGTTCTCTGAATACTCTCCATCCTTGCCTCAATTTAGATATGCTCAAGATGGAAGCACCCAGAGTGTGGCTTGATCTGACTCCAAGCTGATCTAGAATTGAGGCTGTTAGGAAGACTGTTCTCACACATAGTTGTACTTTGAAAGGTGGCTCTGGAAATTGTCTGGAGGCCCATGGCCAATATCAACAGAGCTTTGTGAGGAAAGAGATCCCCTTAGTACCAGTGAGCATTGTCATGCACAGCATGAATGCTCAATAAATGTACAAAATTGAACTAAAATGTTTTACAAATATGAGGATATACTAACATAAAATCAAAAACAAAAAAAAGTAAAATGATGTTGCGAGCTTATCAGGGCATAATTAATAGAAAGATATTTCATATTATCTTCTCAAGGCTAAAGGAAGCATTTTGGGAGTTAACTACAAGGATAAGTGATTCTAGGAAATGGGATACAGAAAAGGGGTCTGTGTCCCTGAGACTTCTCCCTTGTCTGGGGAGTGCCGTTTCTACTTCATGTTGAATATCCTCACCCAAAAAGTGAGACAAAGTTTGCTTTAGTCCAGCAATAGACAGGATAGTACCAGGAGCTGAAATTATTTTTATAGGAATAGGAATAGAAAGAAATTTCTGCAATAAAACTTAAAAATATCAATTAAAACAAAGACAAATATACATGATGAAACATAACAGCATCCAATCAATGGGATAGGAGATTAAAAATCATTTCATTAAGGGTTACAAATTATGCTGGACAGAAGGAATAACTTCTAGTGTTCCATAGAACTATAGGATGATTAACAATAATATATTATAGTTTCAAATGGCTAAAAGAAGGATGTTGAATGTCCCCAACACAAAGAAATGATATTTGAGATGACGGATATGCTACTTACTCTGATCTGATCACTATACATGATATATATTGAAACACCACTGTATACTCCCCAAATATGTACAATTATTGTGTCAACTAAAACATGAAATAAAATAAAATAAAACAATTTTAAAATCACTTCAGGTTTTGTGTTGACTGAAGGGTTAATTTTCATGAAGTTGCTGAAAATGTAATTTGTAACTGCCCCAATTTAACATGAAAATGTAGCCCCAAAATAATAAGAATGGAACCTACATCACCAAAAGCAGATTACACAGAAGAGTATGTGAAAATTCTGCTTCACTCTGCCCTTCCAATCTACAAGAAATATTGCAATCAATTTCTAGGAGAACATTAACAAATGTTCAGTCCCCAGAGGAGAATAGTAAGAAAGATGAATCATGACCCATGAAGAGGTGAAACAACTGATTATTTTAGTTTAAGAGGAACATGTGACCTTAAATGCTTAAATGGCTCCCATTTGAGAGAGACAGTCCTTTTGAATACCATCTACAAGGTATAAACTCTTCTAACATGTAGGAGTAACAAGATTCTAGTTTGAGACTTAAAATGTGGGGAAACAAACTTTTTAACAAACTCTCAAAAAATGTAAGCATATAAAAATAATTGCTGGCTGGAAACCAGCCTGGCCAACATGATGAAACCCCATCTCTACTAAAAATACAAAAATTAGCTGGGTGTGGTGGTGCACGCTTGTAATCCCAGCTACTCTGGAGGCTGAGGCAGGACGACCACTTGAACCTGGGAGGCGGAGGTTGCAGTGAGCAGAGATTGTGCCACTGCGCTCCAGCCTGGGTGACACAGTGAGACTCCATTTCAATCAATCGATCAATCAATCAACAGGTAACATTGCTACTAGTCATTGAGCATTTCCTTCCAAGCACTATGCTACACTTTACATGCATCATCTCTTTTAATCCCCTCAACCAGACTGTGAAATAAGTATTATTAATAACTTCATTTTACAGTTGAAGGAATTGAAGCATAAAAGACGCTAAGCTCATTTAGCTAGGACAGGTAGAACACACAGGCCCAGTTGGACTAATCCATACCAAAAGCTCTCAACCATTATGCTTTAGTTACCTTACTGTGGTTGTTCTAAAGGAACTAGACAGCTGCTTTTAGACCATAAAAAAGAAACCATGTTTTAATTTAGAATGTCAAATATGATCCCTGAAATTTATTCCCATCTCATTTTAAAGATTCTCTGATCTTGTGTTCTTTGCAGAAGAGAAACCCACATCTTCAGCCAAGATTCTCCCAGAATTTCTGCATCCATCTGTTCTGATCCTCAGCATCTGAGAATTAAACTATCAAATAATGGAGCGACTGAAAGTTGGAGGACACAGGGGAAGGACATAAAATATATCCTAAAGAAAGATCTTTATACATTTTCTTAGGATAAGCCTTGATTCCTTTTTTATCACAGGGTTTAATTCAACCTCTGCCAGTACACACACATATACATAACACACACACACACAAAACACACACTCCGACTATCTCCTTACCCAACCCTGCCAAACTGTGTGGTACATGGTTCATGATAACTAACAAAACTGGACGCATATTAAGTAAAGTAGGATAGGTATATAATTTTCAGATATTACACTATCAAAACTTTAAACAGCAGCTTGCAATTATATTCCTAAATGCATGATAGATTTAAACAGTTAGTGAAAGCAACATAAATGGTCTTCATCCCTTCTGTATGTTCTTAAAGATGTAAGACATTATCTAATAAATTCAACGACCAATTTATAACTCTTGGAATCTGCCTACATGCATGTTGTAAATGCAAATGATTTAAAGTCCATTAGGAATCTTGGATCCACACATGAAGTATCTATATTATCAAAACTGGTTATAATCATTTTATAAAACTTTTAGAATCTCAAGGCATCTATTAACTTTAAAACCCTCAAGTGTTTGCAAAATAAAGCAACCACAAAAAGTATCAGAAACAAAAACACACTTTCATTTTCAACCATGACTTCAAACAAGAAAAAGTATTCTAATTACTTTTCATTTCAACTTTCAACAGCAGTAGTTTATTTTTATATTACCACATGTTATAAAGGGTAACCTACTAAACTGCATTGGTTACAGAGCTTTCTCTCTGAGTAGAGAAAGATTAGTTTGGGCATATTTAGTAAAGAATTCACTTTGAGACTTACAGAGATTATGAACAGAAGTGGTTTATTGTAAGGAAAAACATGACCATAGGAAGAGAGGGAAAGATGGTTTCATGTGTAGAGAAAGATGAGAAAATCAGAGTGTTTAAAGCAGAGGGTTAAAAGAATATATGGGAGTAACGGTAAATAGCTTTAAACAGTCAGTGTGTGTGTGTGTGTGTGTGGTGTGTTTATGTCTATGTGTGCACTCTCACGTGCATGCCAGTGGGGAGAGATTGTGCCCAGGAAAAATAGTTTATAGATGAATGTGAAATGATGTTATCGAATTTGCCTTTTTTAGTGCATCATGGGAGCTACTGAAGATAGAGCCAGAATCTTGAATCAACCCAATGATTCAAAGACAAATGATTTTCAAATACACAAGATAACTTAGAAGCTAACACACATGGTTTGTGTGCCGAGAAGATATGTATGTGGGGGGAAAGGGGATTTATTTCAAAAATACTCCCTGAGAGGAAATCATTCCAAAATATTTTCCATTTCAATATCTCCACAGGATATTGCATATGTAAAAATATAAAACTTTAATTGCACTAATATGTATTCAACATTCCATTGGTTTTGATTATTTAATTTCTGCTGATATTATTTAGTCAGCTTTATTCACTCAAACAGTTTGGAAAAATGTAATGGAATTAAGAATGTTTTTGATTCCTATTTATACCTTTTTCTCTTGATTTATTTTATAAAAGAACCACAGAATATCTACCTAGGTAATCATTAATTAGCTTATCAACAAAATATGTAGGGAGTCAAAAATATATGATTTTTCTAAATGCTGTATTTTGCTCCTAAATTATAAGTCAGTTAAGATGAATTTTTAACACTGCATTCAGTGAGACTCTCTCACACTGATTATGTAAAGCTCTTAATCCCATTTTTATTACTTGCGCTAAGATATATGGTATAAATTGTGACAATGAAGTATGAAGTAACAGTGTACAAGTATAACAAATTATTTGGATTTAACCAGCTAACTATGTGTCTCTAATCTTTAACATTTAAAACCTCTGTGTTATATTGTGTACAATTTTATATAAAACAACTGGACATCTTATTTAGCCTTTTACGCTACAGTTCAATATGTTAAGAAAAAAAGAAAGAAAGAAAAGGAAAATACAGTGTGAAGTAGCAAATGGAAGCCCATGAATCATGAGATGTATTGCCTTTCTGTCAATCCATGCTGGCAGTCTTCATTTGATCCAGGTCACTATGAATGCAAAAGCAGGAGTCAGGGCTCAAGTCCTGGAATCTATGCCAGTTCTTCATGATAATCCATGTCTTTTGGCAAGCAGCCTATTTTGCCCTTAGAATGGGAGAAACTAAATAACAATGAGGAACCACTTGCCTCAGCCAGGAAAGTTGACCTATGCATTACCTCAATTTGCAAAGCAACTTTCTTCGAAAGCTTTGGGAACTATTCACATATGCTGCCTCATGTATTTTCATAACAGCCATTGAGCTAGAAGAAGACTAATGTTATCACTATTTTCCAAATGGAAATGCTGAGGTGCAAAGGAATGATATACTAAATCTGAGAAAGAGTGGAATTCAGGTTATAACACAAACAACCTTTTACTCTAGAATTTATTTTCTCCACATGTGCACTAGCCAGATTGTACTTTGTGGTCCAATAGATGATTCAGTATGTGTATTTATTTCAACACATTATTGAAGGATGAAAGTGTTATAAGAGTTATGTTGGTTAATCTGTTAGCTCTTATATTGAGTATAATGTGTTTGATGTTTTCTTAAAGCTACAAACAAATTCAAATAGTAAGACAAGGTCTTACATGTGTTTTTCATAACAGAAATTACTTCTGCATCTCTATTAAGCTGTAAATCAATAAATAACACATGAAAAGAATCCATTGTCAGAAATAGAACATGGTTTAGGGTCAATTTCAATAACTTCAAGGTATTACAGAAAAGCACTTACAGTGATCAATATACATTTTTCTCGCTCAAGAGGCTTTTATGCTGATGCACTCATTTTCAAAAAGGAGAAATATTTTGCACTATAAAAACAAAGGAACATCAGTTGATTTGTGTGACTATAATAAAGTTTCAAAACTTCATTTTCTGATATTTTAGGGTGGCACAATTACCCTTCATCTATCTAAATATTTTAAATATAAATCATAAAGCCATTATCAAACCACAAGGAACTATGTTAATATCAGGTTTGGGACACCATGGATCTGATCTCTATTACTGTGGCATTATATTTATGGAATTTAAAGAGCAAATTGGCATTTAATTTTGTGTTTTCTTCCCAAGCAAACTACAAATATGTGTATAGAAAAGTATAGAAAAGCCATTTCATGCTAAAAGTACTGATGTTTATGTAAAATGGGAAAATAGTAATTTTATTACTATAGTATGGTGTTTCAAAATATCGAAAAATGTGTTATAAAATAGCTAAAATTTGAAACTTAAATTAACCAAAATGTTAGTCTTCCCATCCAACCAGCAAGCAATAAAAAATGGTACGGGAAAAATTGTCTTAATGATGGTGAAAGAGAAAGATGAATTCACTTCTTTCATCCATTTTACGAAATCCACCACCAAATGCATTTTCATTTCTGTAGAGTGCTCTAATACCTGAATTTATAGTTAATATTTTATATGACCCATCCAATGTCCTTTTAGACCTTCAGAATAGCGTTTTCAAACGCCCTCTAAAGAGATCTTCCTGTCTCCGGGAATTATCAAATATGTCTCAAGTTACTGTGCTGTGGTTTTACATTAGGAGGGGTTTATCTGCCCACAGTTCATGTAATTTGCACTTTAGAGAGTGTGAATTTTTTTTTATTCTTTGTCTACTCAGCCATTCTATATCTTTGAAAAACATCAAGATTTTTGTGGCATTTCTTTGAATAGTCATCCTTGAAATACTAACACCAGGGATTCACATATAGTTGTTAAGGTAATGTCCTGTGTGTTCTATTTATACCTGAGTTTTCCCATATTTTGCTGATACAAGCAACCAAAGATAAAAATAGGTCATTAAGATAGAGAATCCCAGAAGCATGCAAGACAGAAGCGTGAAATTATGAAATATGGGATAAAGGGCAATAAAATTCGAGAAAGAAACTTCTTAACTAGATATTATTTGTTTGTTACAGTTTTGTGTGTACAAAGTATTTATTTGTACAATAGTTTTTGCAAATAAGGAAGCCTCAAGAATATCTAATATCCAGATACAAGTTAATCAGTGACTATAATGTATAAATTTAATTAAGAATGAAATGACCTACTTCTGTGAATGCTGAGGACATTTAATTTTTTATGAGTGCTCCACATGACTCTATCTCCACAGTGTCCTAATCTTTCCTGTGTATTTCTCCTTCAAAGATATAAACACAAGTACAATCTGATATAAAAAGGTCATGATAGAAACCATTTGAGAATGGAAATGCATCCTCAGTTTGCTTATTCAAAATTAGGTTTGCCTTCCATGTAGAGCTACACGAATATATGGTTCTTTGACGTCCATTACTGTTCTGAAAATCTGAAATCATTATAGGTTTCTAGCAATAACTTATCCCCACTTGGCTTGACATAAAAAGTGTATGTTTTATATTAACAGCCTAAGGCAAAGCAAAAGTGGCACTCCAATCTACCTCAGCCTATAAATTCATATTGACAAAGCTTATTTGGAATGTCAGGGCCTTCAGACGGACAATGAAATATGTTTCCACCTCTGATATTTTCATCACCTAAGTTTACTTTTCCCCCAGGATCCCAGGGGTATGGCCCGATTAAAGAATATGGGCTGGGCATAGTGACTCACACCTGTAATTCCAACACTTTGAGAAGCCCAGTCAAGAGGATTGCTTATGCCCAGGAGTTTGAGACCAGCCTATGCAATATAGGGAGATCCCAGCTGTAAATAAAAAAAAAAAAAAAAAAAAAAAAAAAAATTAGCCAGTCATGTTGGCATCCATCTGTAGTCCCAATTACTGTGGAGGCTGAGGTAGGAGGTTCACTTGAGCCAGGGAGGTCAAGGCTGCATTGAACTATGATTGCATTACTGCACTCTAGCCTGGGAAATGAAGCAAGACCACATCTCAATAAATAAATACATTAACTAGTTAATTAAAATTAATAAAAGTAAAGACAAGAATGTGCTGGATACCATCAATGCAACAGTTTTTATTATAACTCTAGTTATTTGATAATAATTGTTCCATACAGTCCAGAATTAAACATTGTTATCCTGTATCTGTTCAGTCCTCCTACATTTTTCAATTTTGATTTTACCTATGAAATCATATTTTTCTTCCTCACATTGATCCTGTGAGGTAGGTAGGTCAAGTTTTATTTTAACTATTTCATAAATGAACAAACTAAGGACTAAAAAGGTTAAATGATACTCTCAATGTTACACATAACGTTAGTAACAAGGCAAAAGTGGAAGCCAGGTGTCCAGTTCTTGGAAGAGTTCTCTTTCAATGAGAACCTCCACTTCATCTGCGGATAAAACAAGTTGAACCATGACCTTCTTTTTGGTCAATCAATAACATTGTAGGGGAAAAGAGAAGACTGCATAATACTGTTATGTGACTTCTAAATTAGAGTATTTATCAGACTGTCCATCCTTTGAAGGCAAACCTACTCGTTAACGTTGTGTTCCCTGTGCCTTGCAAGATACCTGGCCAAAAAGAGAAACACAATGGATTCCTGCTATTGAGCAAATGATTCATGAGCCCTGTCTTTAGTAATATATATATTATACATATATAATTTCAGCATTTCAATAGAGACAAACTAATACTAGGAGTCATAAGACTCTAGCTCCATTTCTGTCACTTTTCAGGTATGTTTTATTGAACAAATTTCTTCTATTTACTGTAAATATAATGACACCAACCTTTTCTACCTCACAGCATTTTTGTAAGGATTAAATAAGAGAAATATTTTCTAGCAGATGCCAAAGTTATGTACAAATATAAATTACTTCTATCTATAATTGAAACATGTCCACTGTATCACTGATGCTGTATTTCTAGAAGAATATTTTTAAAACTCTAATTAAAATATTTAATGATGTTAACATATTTATCATTATTACTATGCTTTATAAAAATTAATCTGTTTATACATTACATAATTTAGTTTATGTTATAAAAGCTATAAATTATCATATTAGGTTACATTAATTTTAAAACTAGCATCTATTCATTGAATTGGCTAAAATTATTTTATTAAAGAACTAATATCTTTCTCTCACAGAACATGAATTTCAGTAAGCAGAATCAATATACAATACTAGGAGAGTTACAAGCTAGAAACCTGGTAAATCAGTTATTTTTAAACGTCTTTTTCCCATTTAGCAATAGAAAGCGATTAGAATTTTATACTACATGTTCACAGTCCATTTTTCTTCACTAAATTGCTTTCATCATTCATTCCCTAAAAGTATATTTAAGCAATAATGGGAAGGGCTGTCCTTCAGTAATTCCTTGGGACACACAGCTGCCCCTCTGACAGTATAGAATTAATTATTGACACTAGAGAGATGCTTCCACTGTATTCTAAGGAGAATTGCACAGCTCTTGCTTGGGCCAATCTTGGTTTCTAACCCTCTATCATTTTAATTAGGAGGAACAAGTTATATCTAGTGTGACATGAAAATATATTGACATTTTCAAAGTCCTCACTACTAATGGCAGAAATCCTGGAGGTCCCAAGGTCTTCAGGGTACATAATTTCTATGAGCTGAGTAGAGAAATTGGGGTGCTGTTATCCATATGGATAGGTTACTGTCATACTATAGCATGCATTTAGGATATCACAGCTGTCTTGTGGTTAGTGTTGTCCAGTCACAAAAGGTGATAACCAAGAGGATCTGGTGTTGCTGCAATAGGCAAAATGGGCCTGGAAATAAGAGAATGTTTTTATATTAAATCCAAGGGACTAAACAGAAAGTACAATTTGAAGCAAAACCCAGAAAGCTATCTAGGTACCTGCAGTGGAGCCCATGGGCAGAGAGGAATTGTTCAAGGTGCTAAATTCACATGACAATCTGATCTTGTCTAAAAGGTTCTAAGGACTCCCTCGAAATTATGAAGAATGCGGTCATATCCCTGGTGCTTAACAAAAATGCAAATCAAGAAGCTCTTATACTTTTTAGACTTATCCTTAGATACAAGCTGCAAAATTCACTTATCTATAAGCAACCTATAATATTAATGACCTCCAAATAAGGTGTACAGAGCTCAGAGCAAAAGAATAACACGGATCCACCCAATGAGTTCTGGGCTTGACTGAAATAGACCTCAAACATGAGTGAATAGAATCATTCCAATTCTAACTACTGCGCTGTGATAACAGGATAAGGGTAAAGTGTGCAAATTTAGAATGGAGCTCTTTAAGAATTCAACACTAGTATAGAAAAATTCTGGATTTAATAAAGACCCCTTAATTTATACCTACATAGGAGTAAGGCAGGTTTGGAAAAGGGAAAAAAAAAGTTTTCCTTCCTCCCTTGATTCTAATAGTTTTAATTTGCTTAAATCACTAAATTAAAATGATATATTTGAACATACCAAGCTGAAAACCATGTAATTGGCTGACTGCAAGATGATGGAAGCACAAGAAAAGAGAACAACTCTCCCTAGTTACAATCATGAAATTAAACAGCCTGACTAGGATAGGGCCTCCTACAGAACAGTTCTCTGGGTGACCTTGAACTAACCCAATTCTCCCCTCTTTCTTGTTTGTAGTTCTCAAGCATATCTACAGAATGAACTGGAAATGGAATATCCTGAGATAGGGAGAAGCTGCCTGACACAGTTCAAGCCTTGTTCATGTCTCTCTTGTGGAATGTAACATCTTGAGTTAGAAAGGAATTGCCTGCAATATTCAAGACTTAGTTTCTCATTCTCCTGGATGCAGGATGTCCTTCAAATATTTACTCAGTGATTCATGCTGCCGCTGAGGTATATAACCCAAGGCAGTCTGCCTCTAGGGGGGTCCCACAGCTCTGGTGCAAGTGGGGCCTGTGCAGTCAAAACTCAATCTGCCCTAGTAAGCTTTTTTGAACCTTGAGAAATGAGCTCACATAGGATGCTATGCTTCTTTTGTCCCTTTCTGCTTATCTGTAAGTAATAAATCCACTTCATGTGGCTTGCTGCATATGAGTGTGTTCTGTCTCATTGGAATCAGGCAAGTTGGTAACCAGTGCACAGTAAACCTGCTCCACACCTCCTACTGGAGACCATAGCCTAAGCACCTACTTACTTTTTTTTTTTTAATTATACTTTAAGTTCTAGGGTACATATGCGCAACCTGCAGGTTTGTTACATATGTATACATGTGCCATGTTGGTGCTAAGCATCTACTTTCTATCTGGCCTAAACAATGTAACTGGTGCTGAGGGGCCTGCAAGCCATAACAAATACCCATAGTAAGGAACAGTGCAAGAGACCCATGAAATTAACTCCTCTTTCAGACCAAGAGCTTGAGATTAAAAGAAAGTTCATTATTCACCTCCATGATATCAAAAATGAAAATGTTTAACTCCTAATTTTAAAACTCCTAATTGCTAAATTCTAATGGAAGTAAACTGAAGTTCACTGAGCCATATGTTTATGTCCATTTGTAATACCAACTCCATGATGTATTTCCTCATTGCCTCCACCCAGAATGTTTTAACTGCCTTTTAACCAGTCTCATTGCTTCAAATATTTCTCTTACTCATCAGTTGAACCAATATCTGATTATACTCGTAAGTTCCAACAGTATAATTTCTCAACAGAGAACCTCAGTGGCTCCCAAATGTCATCAAAACCTAATATGAATTCCTTATCTTTAAAATATTTCAGGTGTTTTTCCCCATTAACATGGAGTCCACCCAGTCAGTTCTGGGCTTGAATGAAATAGACCCCAAACAGGGTTGACTAGAATGTTCCAATCCTGACTGCTCTGCTGGGATACCAGGATAAGGGTAAAGTATGCAAATTTAGAATGGAGCTCTTTAAGAATTAGAAACTAGTATGGACAGATTCTGGATCTAATAATAACACCTTGAGTTATGCCTACATAGGAGCAAAAAAAGGAAAAACATACATAAATATCCTATTTATGTCCTATACTGAAGCAGTAGTGAGACTGTTCCTTATACCCAAACATGATTTGGACCTCACCTGTTGTTGTTTTATTCATACTGTTCCCTTATTCTAAAATACCTGCCCTTATTTTCAAACCACTGTAATCTAACCTGTTCTTCAAGGACAACCTCAGGTGCCTCCTTCTCTGTGATATTTTTCTGGATTCCTAACAACTTGATCTTATCTTTCTTTCTTTATACCCCATAAACACAGTAGTCCCCTACTGCACGCTTAGTATTCTGATTTGATTAGAATCACGAGTGAGGTTGTTGTAGTTCTCAAGGATATAACAACTTAATTTTGACTACATGTATTAACTTTTAAAACTGGACTCAAAATTATGACACTTGAGTATTTGGGTTCTTTGGTTTATAAAGTTTCAGATAAATTATATGTACTAGCCAACACAGAGGCCTGTGAATACATAATCTTATTTATGTTTTTAAAAATAATGTATTCAAACTAAGACATTTTAAGGAAATACAAAAGCACATTCTAATTTTTCATCATTTTGAAGGCTGTATCTAGGTCAATAGTCAGAATTCAGCATGGTTTCTTAACAAAATACAACGTATTGGACAGTAATATGTTCCAGATTCACTATAAATCAAAAATGATGTTTCTCTAAGTTCTAAAATTATAAAAATATCAACATGCTGTTCTTTTATAATTGTTATTTGAGAGCAACTTACTGATTATACTCATAAGTTCTAATGGTATAATAATTCCCCGATTGTAAAGATTGCCTTCTATAGTTAGAAAATTTTAAAAAACAGCATAAAATAAAACTGTTTAAATGTAATTATGTTTCATTACATAATTAAATTATTTCTCAGGGAATAATTATTTATCAGGGGACTATAATAATGCATTTTTCATATTATATACCATATTTAAGAATAATTTAAAAGAATGTTGATCCAGTGTATGTAAAAGCAAAAGAACAAACTTCACTTTCAAATGATTTTCAATATGCCAAAAAGGAATCAAAACTGAAAATGATACAAATTAAAACAGACCCAAACCCTACAGCATTAGGATTCAATTTAAGCAGAGGGTCGTTAGTACACATTGGAACATACAGGTCTTAGAATCAGTTTACAAGATATATTATAGTTAACCAAGCCCTGAAAGAAAGTTTCATACTTCAACTTTTCAGGACCTATGTCTATCCAGATGGTGTATCAGGGATGATTACAAAATCCTTCCCTAGTTACCAAATTATATGATTCTACTATTTTATTTCTACTGTTGAAGTACAGAAGATCTCGTGTCTAGCCAACAGCACTGCATGTCCTTTCTCTGTATGAAGCTATTTGCCTTTATGGCTTTTTGAACATCGGGAGACTCCACGGGGAGAAACTGCATTAGACAGAGGGCTATCTCTGGATGATTCCATCACTAGAAGAACTTCCTAACTTAGTGACATATTTTTGGCTACTATTCAAAAAGGAGTATGGCTTCCAATATATTAATAGAAGATGCTGAAAAATCTAATTTAAGAAAAGATAGGCTCATTGGTGATTCACACAGATCTAAAATTAAGTGTGGTGGAGCTCATTATGATGCATACCCTTCACAAACTCAGCCCAGTTTTACTGAGAACTATTACATAGTATGAGTTTATTTTATAACAGTCACTGTACTATGAAGAATCCTGTGACACTGAAGGAAATTGAAAGCTAATGAGAATAACTTATAATAGAGGCAAAGCAAATGTTAATAATATAATTATATGGCGATAATTCATTAGAACTGATAATTTTGAAACGCTGCAGAAGATTGGATTTTTTTATTTCTTTGTTCCATATCTCTAGGAAAAATGCAATTGAGTCACACTAATTGGTATCTAGCAGTCTTTTATTTGGATTGCTATAAAGCATAGGGAAAAAACATACATACATACATACACTTGTGTATGAGGAAGATAGGGTCTATTCCATTATTTTAGGTGTGCACATAATTACATTTAAACAGTTTTATTTTATACTGTTTTTTAAAATTTTCTAACTAGAGAAGGCAACATTTACAAAAATTACAGAAAACATTTTTGTTTGATGTTTTTAAAAATGTAATTGAAAAAAAGAATATCTTAATTTACTTTGTGACACATAATGTCATAATTGCAATGACTTTTATGGAATTGGACCTGATCCTAAAACTTCTATTTAGACAAAACAGGCACTGACATCAAGTCTGTTTGCAACTGATGTTAGCAGATTGTTTCACTAAACACTGGCCCATGTTAAACCAGTATCTAAGAGTAATCCTGAACTGATTATTCATAATTTTTCAAAGTTATTGAAATGTATCTGCTAAGGCATTTATAAGTAAGTGACAAGAAATTAATGCATATTAATTATTTAAAAATGAAAATAAATGCCATCTACAAAGTTCTAAAATCAAGTCACAAAATTGAAGAATTAAACAGTGAAATTTTTTAACATTCTGAATTGAAATTCATTTTCATAGTAATTTATTAGTTATATACAGCTATTTGTTTATATATATTATAGTACTATATATTTTTTCTTATCTGCTGAAAAATTTAATCTGAATATCTACATAACATGGGCATCATAATAGCAGTCATTTATTATGCTGTATTTTGTGACAGGTATTGTGTTTAAGACTGTCATTTGGTTTCCACTTACATCCTGAAAATAAGTCTAAAACCTTGGGATTTCAGTTTACAGATGAAGACCCTGAGGTTCATAGGGTCTAAATTATTTGTCCAAGGTTATAGAATTGGAAACCAAGTCTGACTGCAAATTCTGTACTTTGTTAACTATAAAATAGCACAGAAAAATCATATAAATGGGGTATCAATTCATAATTCTTACATTTAATGGTTATGAGATTATTAAGGCAATATCCTTATTCACCAAAATATAAGAATTTTAAAATAAGTAGAAGAAAAATCATACATTTTCTTGAAACAGATGCAGATAAACATAAAAATCTAAAATATTATTTATTATTCTACCACTAGTAAAATTCTAGTGTATTTATTCCTTGCCTTTTTTTCCTGTTCTACTAAGACTACAGGAAGATTGACACATACAATATTTTCTTATAACTCAAACTCTCTGTATTCTAAGTTCCTCATCTGTATAAATGTAACAATAACAACACATACTTTTATTTTTGTTTTTGAGACAAAATATCTCTCTTATTGCCCATGCTGGAGTGCAATAGTGCGATCTCGGCTCACGGCAACCTCCACCTCCTGGGTTCAAGAAATTCTCCTCCCTTAGCCTCCCGAGTAGCTGGGATTAAAGGTGCATACCACCACAGCCAGCTAATTTTGTATTTTTAATAGAGATGGGGTTTCACCATGTTGGCCAGGCTGGTCTTGAACACCTAACCTGGGGTGATCCACCAGCCTCAGCCTCCCAAAGTGCTGGGATTACAGGCGTGAGCCACCACGCCCGGCCAACAACACCTACATTTTTAAAGGGCCGTTATGAGATTAACATATGGATGATGGAAGTAACAGCATAGTAAAGAAACTGTTACAAGAAACAAACATAATAAAAAGGAATGATAGTTATTAAGATGAAGTACTATTCCCCGAAATGCTACGTTTTTTTTTTCCTTGTGACTTCTTATTCACCCTTTATACGTACTTCCTTATTTTATGATAGTTTCCCTGAATCTAGTCACTTCCTACGCCAGAACTCTGGTTCAATTTACCACTAAGTCTTGATCAGCATAGACTTTAGTCCTCCCTTGTTTTTCCTTTGTGTCATTAGAGTCTATTCAAGGGCAGCAGCCAGAGCAATCCTTTATAATATAAGCCATTTCAGGTCATGCCTCTGCTCAAAACTCTCCGTGGCTTCTCATCTCTTTCATAATGAAAACCAAAGTCCTTTAACTGGTCCCCAGGACTTACTCCTCTCTGACTTCAGTGACTCTTCTGCTCACTCAGTTCTGTTTAGCCGCATTTGCCCTTTGGCTATTTTATAACCATGCTAAGCTTGCTTCTGCCCCAAGGTTCTTGAACTCACTCCTCTCTCAGGCTCTGTTCTTCTGGATATACTCATGACTTATTATTTCTCTCAGTAGGCATCTCTGAAAAATACCTTCTCATCTGAGATGACATGTTCCTGATCACTTTCAATAAAATATCAGCCCTCCCTCTCAAATTCCACACTTGATATCTTACATTCACTATTTTCCTTCATAATTCTTATAACTTCATATTTTATATATTTAAATCTTTATTTTTTATTTATATGTTTCCTCATTTATTATCTACCTCCCCTAGCTAAAAAGTAAGCTCTGGATAATAGGGATTTTTGTCTTTTTCATTCACAGTACACTTGACTAATGCCTGGGAAGGTACATACTTGTTGAATAAATAAATCAGGAGAGGCTTCTCACAGACATGGTTTTCTGAGATAGGTTCTGAAGGATCAATTAGATTTGAACAGTATGGAATGATACAGGAACAAGTGTTCCAGGAAGAACAAGCCCAGAAAAATACACAGAGTGGAAAAAAATAAAATAGAGTCTGTGGAAGCCAAATAATTCTGTCTTACTGTTGTGAACAGTGTAAACAGAGGAATAGTAATAGTTGAGATTAGAGCTGGATTATATTGGGGTTTGGAGGGCTATGAATGTCAGAGAGCAAGTTTGAGTTTAATTTAGTAAGCAATGAGGGACCTCTAGAGGTTTTTGAGTGGGGAAATTACTTGACTGAAGCATTTTACGAAGATTTATCTTGCAGGAATATACAGTATAAATTAAAAGAGGGAGGATTAAAAGAAGAGAGTCCAGAGCTTTACATAAGCCATTCCAACCTAATTCACCCCAACAGTCGGTAAATCAGAAAAGATCTCCAGATTATAATTGTTAAGCCTTCCAGTTAAATTCATTTAATTAAAAGGAAATACCTTTATATAAATAATTAGCAAAACGATAAAGAACTAATATAAATATCAAAGGAAACTCTCAAGAAAATATAATTTCTAATCGTATATAAAAGACTTTACAAGTGACCGATGAAAACTCGAGCAGATAAATTTATGTCCCATGATTGAAGCAGTTATGTGTTAAATGAATAAAGTAAAAGAAAATTATCTTTTCCCATTTATGTTCTCTCAAAAGTATATAGTGCAAAATAGCAATGCTCTTAAATAAATGAAATTCTACTCAATGTTTCATTACTGCACATCTAAATTGACAACAAATAAATAGTAATTACAGTATATAATATAAAACATGGAATTAGAAGTTCTAAGCAAACAATACAGATTGATATTAAACAAATGAGAAGAATGTAATCCAAGAGCATATTTTTAAGGACATGCATTTCTCAAAAGCAGTCTTCAGAAACCCTTAAATAGGATCAGCAATTCCCATTATACTTTTGAAACAATAAATATTTACAGTATTTATTGAATTTACATGATCCAACTGCCAATTCAGACAGGTATCTACAAAACTGAAAAAAAGTCTTTGCCCTAAAGTGATTTAATCCAGAGGAATGCTTTAATTTAACCAAGATGTATATAGGTCCTTCCTAGCTCTTCCCCTTACTTCTTTATTGATAAAAGTTTTTTCAGATATCATCCTATAGTGAATCTTTTGCTTAGCATTAACAGGGTCAGAGAAAACCTCTGAGAAAACTGTCACCTGTGTTTTATGACATCATTAATGCCTTTACACATAACTGAGTGCTTCATGTTGACAATATCTTAAGCACCTTTCTAGGTACTTGGATAAAAAAATTGAAAGAAGCTAAATATATCCCATACTCAAAGATATCAGTGACTGTCTCATATGTAAATAGAAGGATAAATGATTTAAATATAATGTGTGTGACAACGAAATAAAGCTCTGATACAAAACAGCCACTACATAAAAAAAAGTAAGGCTCTCAGAAAAAACAACTTCTCAAAGATTCTGGAACTGATTCTGCAACTTATGAAGCTACTTAGAAGAAACTCCCCTGTGGTCTCACCAGTACATATGATTTGAGTGCAGTATGGGAACTAAGACATGTGACACTAACTTCAACTTTGAAGCACTGGGAATGCCTCCTTCCAAAGGAGATTTTGGAAATCTTGTTGAATGACTAATTAAAGGATGATCAGGAAAATGACATTTTAGCAGAATGAGGAGCAAAAGCAAAGACACCAAAACATGAAATAGCTTACTGCGTTTAGAGAACTACAAACAATTTAGTTATCCTTGAACAATATTTGTATCGGCTACACTGACTATACAATTAGGAAATTTTATTCAGAGAAATAAAATGGTATTTGTCTAACCTAAGTAAATGCAAGAAACTTTGAATATCTTAGTGTGTTGAAGAGAGTGAAATAAAGCAAAACTATGCCATTATTTTACAAATAAGTAATAGAAAACCCTTTCAAGGCCATAAAGCTACATGGACATGTAACCCACAAATAAGTAAGCATGAAGCTGGTTGAACAGTAAAATCCCATTCTCCTGTTGTTGGATAAATTATCTGATGGCGCAATACAAGAAACAATCATAGGGCAGTGAGTTTTTGATTAATGAAGAATAACCTTTAAAGACATTCTCAACCCAACACTTGAGCCAGAGCAGTATATATGATCTAAAATAAAAGTGGGAAAATCCCCAGAACTTATAAATAACTGCAGAATGTATTTTTTTTGCAAATGTAGAGACATATGGCATCTTCAATGCCTTTAAATATCTATATAGATCTATAAATATCTACAAATATCTACTTTTTAAAAGCAGCTGGTGATGAATCTAACCTAACAACTGGATTTTAACAGTTTACACACTAAATGGGAAGTTGTGAGAGTCAGAAAGGTAGATTCGACATAAACAGCAAGTCCAACATGCACCATCTCTGTGCCTTATGTAGTATGCGCTGACAGGAGACACAAAAGAAGGTGAGTCTGATGTTGAGATGTCACCTTACACACTGCCAGGGCACACGAAGTTTCCTGTTTTATCACAGTCCCCACACGTGCAAATCCACTCTATATCTTCAATGCTACTATCCATATCAGACATCATATTGGTGCTCAATACATTTAATCAATGAATGCTTGGGAATCTGATTCCCTCCTAATCTGTACATTCAACCAAGACAACAATCACCTCTCTCTTGTTTACTGCTAAGCTTTTATTTATTTATTTATTTATTTATAGACAGGGTCTTATTCTATTGCCGAGGCTGGAGTGCAGTGACACAATCATGGCTTGCTGCAGCCTGGCCCTCCTGGCCTCAAGTGATCCTCCCACCTCAGCCTCCCAAGCAGCTAGAACTACAGGTGCATGCCACCACACCTGGCAAGTTATTAATTTTTTTTGTAGACATGAAGTCTCACTCTATTGCTCAGTCTTTAGATCCTACCACTCTTTATGGAACAGGAAGACGTTTAGCAATAAATATTTGTTGAATGAATAAATCAATGAGTTAAAGATGCAAAACCTGACAAGAGAAAAAGAGGACCAGCCTAAAGATAGAAATCTTTTATTTTTGCCTACTCTGATAAATGACTTCACTGACAGCTTAGTGAGAAAAAGGCAAGATATTGTTAAGAATAAATGAGGGGTAAAAGAAACTTAAAATTATAGAGAGGATTCAAGAACTCACTGCTGAATGATCAGATTAGCTTCACCTTTACAGAACAGTCTCTTCCTAGAGTTTTCACCACATATTACAGAAGCAGTTGTGAAAACAAACAAAAAGAAACTCAGCATCCTTGAAAGTACCTATCAGTTAAATGTCACTAAAGCCTAGAATAAAAACTAAGTAAATGCTAATTTTCCTAGCTGCAATAAATAAAATTAATTCCCTCAGTCATCAATTGCACAAATAGAAACTAAGTACATTTCATTGTTTCTCAAGAGAAAAAAAAATGTATACAATTTCAAGTGATATATAAAGAGGCCCTTAACCTAGTATTATTTATTCAAGTCTCTGAAATAACAAGATTGCTTAAAGCAGAATATTGTCACTACAATATCCACTAAAGAATTACTCATGTACATAATTAGCCCCATTCAAATGTCTCTTCATATTATACCAGCATAGAAAAATGGACACATAAATTAACATAGAGATATCTATATATTCGACCATGTTGTCGATTCCTTTATCAATACTTTTGGATAACAAACATAAATATAGCTATGGAAAAGTGGAATGGAAATTTCATTTATAAAGGTTAGGATTTCATGACGTCAATGAGAATTTTGTTGGATAACTCCTAGACTCAAATGTATAGCTGCTAATAAATGAGAATCTGGCAAAATCAAACCACTTGACAAAAGGAAAATATACCTAGAGGAATGCTTCAAAAAATGGTTTAATTATCCTAAAGATTAAGAAAAAGGCCCTTGGGGAAATGAATTTTTTATAAAGTTTCATTTTTGTGTATGTGTGTTTGTTTTTCTTTTGCTTGTTTCTCATTTCCCAGAAATAACCTCCTGAGAGGTGGAATGGTGTGTGACTCCTAACAGATACGGAGTTCCTTTTAGGGATAATGAAAACATCCTAAAATTAGATGCTGGTGATAAGCTGCACAGCCTTGTAATTATAATAAAAACCACTAAATTGTACACGCTAAAAAGATGAATTACTTGTTATGTGAATTATATCTCAATATAAAGTGAGAGATTAGTCTTTAAAAGCTAACCTCCTTAGAGTTCTGCTGTGAAAGTTAAATGTGAAAACTATCCTTTTATACTGTTGATCAAGTTTATTGAAAATGTACAGAGCAAAGATATGATTTAAGTATTTCTTCTGTTCTAGGAATATGCATCAATGCAAATATATTTCTGTTAAATATGACATAAAATGTTTTCAAAAGTGTAGCTTCATTCTTCTGTACAAACCCAAATAAAACGTTTATCTCTGTTAATGTGGAATTCAGTGTTTTTTTCTATTATTAATTTTCTAGAATAGCATCTTAGCAGAACCTATTAACCTTTTCGTTTCTTTGTCTAATACATCAGAGTAAATTAGAATACACAGTTGTATTATACGAACATAATCTTAAAATTACGTTGAAATTGTAGGAAAAAATGGTATTTTTAACTTAATTGTGTAATCATTAATCTACATAGTGAACATTGTGCCAGGGCCAGACGTAGAGATGCACAATACACTCAACATTCCTGTCTCCATAAACATAACACTATGAACATAAATAGAGCCCCCAAATGACATATCCTTTATCACGTAAGTCAAAAGTTTAGTATTACTTTAATTAAATTAGATGTTCAGATTCTACAGGTACTCTCTCCATAAAATTACATTGTAAGACATAGAAAAACTCCCAAAAAATTAGTATTTTTGGTATTTCCCACTGTTAGTGAAATTCCCATTAGCAGCCAGGCATACAGTCTGTTGTATATAGTACAAATTACATTGTAGATAAGCTTGATTGCTAAATTTCTTTAATTTATTTATAGAAAAATAATTTGCAAATATCACTGACATCTTAGTTGGCACATACATATTTAACAGCACAGTAAGTAGCATATACTGGCCTTTAATCATAATTTTAAAATACTCATATTTAACTTTATTTGACCTATAATAATAATCCGTTAAAACATGTATTTGTTTTTTATTACTATGAATTTTTACATTAACAAGGTAAAAAGCATCAAATTCTATAAAAAAGATAAAGTTGAATATCATTTGACCCTCCTACCCTAGAACCTCCCACCCTAGAAAGTACTCCCATCTACTTTTTGCCTATGTATGTATCCTTCCAGAAAATGTAAATTCACAAATGTGCATTTATGTGTGTCTACGTATGTTTCTACCCAAAGAAACATACCCACAATGGCTTCCATGCTTAAGTAACCACATATTTTCAGCAACTTACTTTATTACCAAATATAGACCTATTTAATTTAATCAAGTAGCAGAATAAGATTGTTAAGAAACCTACACTCCATTGATGAATACTTAGGCTGTATAAAGTTGTTTAAATGTGTTTTTGATGTTGTACTTGACATTTTTTTTACCTTGTACATGTGAAAATTCATAAAATACACATTTTAATAGATTATTATAGGTCAAATAAAGTTAAATATGACTATTTTAGAAATGATCATTAAAGGTCAGTATATGCTATTTGCTATGGACACACAGCAATAAACTTTCTTGAAATTACAGTTTACCTGTTCAACTATATCTAAGGAATAATTCCAATGCCATACCTGTATACTATTACTTCTAATAATGTTTGTATTCATCCATTCTCACGCTGCTATGAAGAAATAGCTGAGGCTTGGTAATTTATAAGGAGGTTTAACTGACTCACAGTTTTGCATGGCTGGGGAGGCTTTCAGGAAACTTACAACCGTGGCAGAAGTTACCTCTTCACAGGGCGACAGGAGAAAGAATGAGTGCCCAGCACAGGAGGAAGCTGCTTATAAAACCAATGGGTCTCATGAGAACTCACCCACTATCACAAGAACAGCATAGGGGAAATGGCCCCCATGATTCAATTATCTCCATCCAGATGAACCCACCCTTGATATATGGGTGTTATTACAATTCAAGGTGAGATCTGGGTGGGGACAGAAAGCCAAACCATATCAACGTTAGAGTACAACACAGAGTACTATATGAAGAACAGCAGGCTATAATTGTACTATCCTCTCTCATTCATTATTTATCTTTAAATATTCATCCATTAATCATGATGAAGATAATAAAGCAATCTGTATCTTAGAAAAATATGAATAGAAATAGTAGTAAAAAGCACATCCTTAAAGCTGCTTCATTAAAAATTAAACTGGCAATTGATTGCCTATGATTAGGATATTTTATCTGGAAATAGTCAACTCTTTGCAAATAAGACATGAAAAGAAAAAAAAAAATTAAGAAGCAGGAGGGACATTATTTAATCCAAATAGAGGAATAAAGGAAGATAATGAAAAAATTATAAATCCTGTGAATGTCTACGTGCATGTATGCACACTTAGAGGTAAACTGTGAAGAAACTGATTTTAAAAAAGCATGATTTAGAACTTTTGCTTCTTTGTTTTTGCTTAGTTGCCTTTGTTGCTTTTAGTCAGATTCTGCACTTCAATTAAGGTTCCCAGCAGTAATGTAGAGTAACAGTATTTCATAATTCAACATTGCTTAACCAAAATGTTACTTTAGTCTGTCACTGGTTACACTTCAAGAAACTTAGGGTTATCTCAATTAAAAGTGAGTGTTCAGAGCACTTTTCAGATTCCCTGCAGAATCATACAATAAATCTGCTCTACCTAAATTGGAAAAGATTCTATTTTTCTATTTTTTGCTATATGCTACTTTCGCTGTTAACCTTCTAGTTTAATGTTTCTCTTCTCCAAAGAATTATTTGAAGAGGCAACAAATGATATAATATTATATTACAGTATATTCTCCTTGTTCATGATTATGAACAATCTATTGTTGATTTTAATTAAATAGTGGCAATGAAATTTTCACAAAAGGATTAATTGTAGGAAAATTAACCAGTCATTCAAATTTCAGTCCACAATGATTAAAATGACAAAAGTATAATGTTTTGGACTATACTTAAAATATTAAATATTTCAAAGTATGTTTATCTAGTGAAATATATGGAGTATGTGCTACCCATGCTGAAGTTAGGAGTAGAGGTTATTTCAAAATCTGAATATCTGAAGCTCAAGGTATTTGACTCTGAAACATCTTAGTTGTAGAGGCGTAGGAACTGTTTCCTTCTTGATAATTCAGGAGATTATTTCTGCACATGTAATTTATTAAACTAGTTACATTACACTATAGGAAACAGGAACATTAGTTAACCACACTGCATTATTTTCTTCACAGGCTGTCAGCAACTTCCTCCCAAATGGAATGCTGAGTTGTGATTTCACCATAATTAGTTAATAAATTTTAGAGTACTCTGACCAAAAAATGACTATGAAAAGGGGACTTTCAGATTTCCATCTCCACAATATTGAAGTGAGCTGAAACAAAATAAATATGCAACTTTTAAAGAATGTGTTAGACCTGAAGAAGCCTGCCCAGTGCAATTAAAATATAATAATAATATAAGTTGATACTGCCCTACAGTTTCCAATTAAAACTAGAGAGTAGGGCCTACATATTTTTAATGTTCTCACACAGCTTTATAGCAAAGTCACCGAAAGTTTATATTTAAAACTGATCTTAAAACCACTTAATATAGACTGCATACACAAGCAACTGAACCACGTTTGATTCCCCTACAAAACAGAGGTGTGTTTGATTACTTTGCTGACATGCCACTTGGGAACTCAAATACAGAGAATTTTTTTTAAATCCCCACATTTTTAGTCCATTTTCATACTGCTATAAAGAACTGCCCGAGACTAGGTAATTTATAAAGGAAAGAGGTTTAGTTGACTTACAGTTTAGCATGGCTGGGGAAGCCTCGGGAAACTTACCATCATGGTGGAAAGTTACGGGAAAGCAAAGCAGCCGCTTCACAAGGTGGCAGGTATGGGACTTCAAATCAAGATGAGATTCGGGTGGGGACACAAAGTCTAACTGTATCACCACAGGAGGTTAATTTTGGCTGTTTTATTTGTCAAATGGAAAATTATTTATTCAATGACTGTAGAAATGCTGTGGTCCTGAGAGAAAAGCAATGACCCTTTAGAGGGCTGGAAAGCTGAACTTTAATAGCAGAGCTGACATTATACTGAAACAGAGGCTCTCAAACTGACCTAGATCTCACCAGCTCAAAGGTTTGTTATTTCCTTCCTCTAACTGTAAGCATAGCAGAAGTCAATACAAAATATGGTATATCATAACTCAGTTAAAATTGAGTTCGTTTTTGTCTCATATAAGCTTAAAATTAAATTATTGTACAAAGCTAAAAGGAAGTTGATAAGTAAATATGGATTTATCCCTATCAAAAAAGAGTATGACTTGGATAAATCATAATGGAGAATTCTGTATTTCAGATTATTCCAAAATAGATCATGATAACAAATACAAAGCTACAATAATTCTTCAGCACTTGTGTGATCTCTCTCTAACAAAAAGAAAAAGAAGTTACCTAAGACTTTTAAGAAAAATTATATTTAAATGCAGCCATTGTCATATTCCCTTCTATAATTTTACTATATTTTATTTCATTTTAAAATGAAGGAAAGATGATTATATTTCCACAACCTTGTAGCTTGTTTATTTGTAAACTTCTTTTAAAGTATGATAATTATGAACAGTACAATATATAGTATGCATATTAATAGAGATTCAGTATTTGATAAAAATAAATAAGCTTATTTGAAAGTATGTGTATATTCATACATGTATATGGTCCTTTACTCTTTTATGATCGTAAGACAAAGCTTAGCTTATACAAATATTGCAGTTGTGAGCTTCTCAATGAAAAATGATAAAATTTTATTTGTAAAATTCTATTAGATCCAGCCATTTCAAATATTTTGCTGTAAGACTGTGGCTTGACAATTTTCCATTTGTTTCCCTAAAATAACAAAATTTGCTAAGAAATCTTAAAGCAGGAAACACTAATTATCAAACCAAAATATCAGAAGTTCACTAAAGGTATATTGGCTTTTGAATTTCACATGGGGGACAGAAAAATGGCTTCTCAGATAAACTATTTCTGAAAGAAATGAAAAAAAAAAAAGAGGGATGGAAAGAGAAAGAGAGGACAAGAAGAAGGAAGTGTTAAATAAATCAAATAGTGCATTGATTCTTCCCAACCAAGTTCAGAGATGGTAACATGAGCCAAGTCAAACAACTAGGGCTGAAAAGAATCAATTTAAGGATTTTTGTTAGGACTGTCAGGAAACAGTTTCTTTCTCCCACTTTCTCTCTCCCTTCCTTCCTCTCTTTCATGGTCTTTCTCTGTCAGCCTTTGGACATGGTGTTGCTATAATGCGAAGCGACCCTGACCTACCCCTCCAAATCTGAGAAAGGAACCGATGGAGACAAATCAGAGCTGAAAGTTGCATCCTGATTTTTCAACTTTTTAAATACTGAGCCAAGCTATGCCTGAAAATAATCCTGCGATTGGTTGTCTGAACAAAAAAATTCCTTTGATGCTGAGGCAATTTAGGTTGAGTTTTTCACATCCTGCTAAATGAGTTCTAAGTGATACAACCCTATTTTCCAGCCTTAATTCTAGATGCTGAAACCAAAAATATTCTGTTAAATGCGAGTTACAGAACCTGAACTCCAACAAGCTCGGGACCGTCATATAATTCCACCTGTCTCACTCTTTTTACACATTGTTCACCTGTAGGTCTCAACTCCTTCTTGGACTGATACATAGCCAATTTATCATTTCAGTTTAAAATGGCAAAGCATATCTTCAAATTACTATTGATAGCACCAATTCAGCAACAGTGAGTGCTAACTCCATTTAAATTCAGCTCACATAGTTTCTCCACTTAAGAATCACTGATAATCCTACAATACCAATCACCCTGTTCAAGAAAGTTTTGTGTTATGGGCTTTGAATCAGTTTGAGAGACTTGATACTAATTTCTCATTCCCAATATAGACTGTATTTCACACAGGGGATATAGGGACACAGAAAATAGAAAAAAATCTTTAGAATGATATGACATTGTTTTTCAAAGGCTCTTTCATATTTCAAAAATTAGGACTCTTTTCTTTTTCGTGTATCCTCAAATGTAAACAAAATGCTATCACTAAAAGTATATACACAAATATAGAGGTAATGACTATAAAAAACAAAATTAGTTTCCTTCTATTGGTACATATAAGTAAATTTTAGTGCTTTATGGCCACATTCCAAAATCAATATTTTTTATTAATGTATGTATCAATTCATGTATTTGACCAACACCTCCTGAATACACACTTTATACCAAGAGTGATATATTTCACTTAAATTTCCTATCTTGGTTTTAAATTGCCCTTGAATCTGCTTCCTTTGTTTAATATAGACATTATAGCTAATTATTTATTCCATGTTTTCAAAATGTGATGGTACAGACAACACTTAGAATTGAAAAAAAAAACTGCTTTCCCCAACATCATTGGGAAAACTTGGCCATCGATTACACATTTTCATTTGTCCATTTATTTTGATCCCAATAGAATAATAAGTGCGATAGTCATATACTCACATAGCTATTTAAACAATATTTTAATTTTCAATTTAAAAAAGAAATAGAACTATTAAACAGATAGACATCAGTGGGAAAAAAGTTACACAAATTAGTCTAAGCTACTATAAGATCAATTTTCCCAAATAGAAAACAAAATCAAGTTACTCATCTCTCCTCAATTCTTCGAACATGTCCTTAATAAGAGTGACACATGTACCACAAAACCAATGGTATACACAAGCCCCTTCCAAGATACTTTACCTACTTTTTGTGTTTGTAACTTTACATAATTTTTTCTTTAAAAGATTTCCCAAATTAAGTTACTTCAAAACCCTAAACAACCTGGATTGGTCCTGCCTATTAGAACTATATATTATTTGAGACGTTGCTTTTAAAATATCCCGGTTAGTTTAACAATAGTTAGTTACTGTAGATCTGTAGGAAAGTTTGCTTTTATTTTAATTATTTTTTTAACAATTTCTGTATCAATCTTTAAGGAAATTTACTGCCTTGATATGGTTTTATAAGATCCCTTTGGTCCTGTGTCTCAATAGAATAAACTAGAAACAGATTTCAAAGCTGACAATCTACTAAGGCCAAATATTACAGTCTAACCTGTAAAATATAAAGACGTATTTTTTAAAAGAGCCATCATGCTATGCATAAAAATATTTGCAATTATTCTTTATGTACAATTGTAATTTTCTCACTTTCAATATATAATAATAATAATTGCTAGTGCTGTTTGAGCATTCCATTATTTGCCAGTCGCTGTGTGAGGTGCTAGGAATACATTATTTCACTGACTCTTCACAACAGCTTTTGGGATGGTCATCAACATTAGCCCCATTTTACAGATAAGGAAACTGAGAAATATGCCAAGAAAATCAATGTTTATGTACTGTATATAATACACATAGTATATGCAGTGTGTATGTGTATATGTATGTACATATATATGTACATATATTGCAATATACATATATTGCCATATGCAGCATATGAAACCTAGTTATTTTAGAATTTACTAGTAGAAATTTCAAATAAAAAGCATACCACACATTACCTATCTTACATTAGATTCTAAAGAAAATATAAATAAAATATTTTATATTCAACATAATCCAGGGAGGCTTTCAACCCAATTACAAAATACCTTTGAAGAAAATATTTAAGTGAATATGACATGCATTTTCAGGTACCCCCTCACAAATACATCTCTTTTACTAAAAATACAAACACTGAAGTCAAATACACTCATTTTAATTATTTTCTGCAAATAAATAATAATCAGAAAGTTATGAAATTATAATTGTAATGCCCCATGACCTATGCCCTGCACCTCATTATACCTGTAATAGTATGTCAAATACCTGTAGAGTAATTTGATACATAAATGAGATTATTTACTAAAAGATGAATATCAAGGCCCAGAATAAAGTAATTGTGCAATATCGATTTAATTTACAAAAGAAATGAGTAGTAAATATGAATCACCAAAATATAATTAGAAGATAAAATGAAATCTTGGAGAAATTACAGAATACCACACTGAACTAAACCAGCCCAAATACCACTTGGAGGAAAAAAAAGCCAAATTTTCCCTTGGGTTTTAGGTGAAATTACTCCTAGCACAAGAGGAAAACCTTTTCAGAGAAGCTTCTCTAATACAATGATAAGTCACTACGTTATAAATTAGGCAAATCAAAATTACTTATCATGCACATGTTAGGAAATATCACAGAAAATTTTACCTACTGAGAAATCAGCAAATATTTCCAAAGGTGTAAGAAAAAAACATATTCTGCCTCAAAAATATATGAATCCATGGATTGAGGGGCATCATGCTTAGCTATGGTAGATATTTAACAAATATTTGTTGAAAATATTTTTTAAAAAGAGAGCCAGGCTTTTTTTCTAGAGAGGTATGGTGGCTGGCTATGTCTCAGTACCTAAGACAGGTGTCTCAGTTATTTATTCTGATTACATAATTTTGTGGCTTAAAGTAACAACCATTTTATTTGTTTATGATTTTATGGGTCAGCAATTTGGGCTAGCCTCAGCTGGTTAGTTCTTCTGCTGGTCTCACCTGGGGTCAATCTTCTGACTATAATTATCTGGAGGTTTGAATATGTGTGAATGGTCTCAGGTGGCCTCATCTGCGTGTCTGGCCATTGGAGCTGGCTGTTAGCCAGGCCACCTGTCCTCAGCAGAGGAATCCATGTTTCTTCACATAATGGTAACATTTTTTGAAAAGAGCAGAGTAGAAGCTACATAGTCTCTGGAGGATTAGGCTTGAAAATTATACCATATCACCTCTGCAATCCCTGTTGTTGAAAGCAAGTAAAAAGGCCAGCTCAGATTCAAAGAGAAGAGAAACACACATCTATTCTTGATGAGAAGCACTGCAATGAATTTGCGGCCATTTTGAATTCAAGAGGTAACAACGTAGCTTACAGATAGGAAAACATGACAGGGCTTACTTTAGAAAAGATTTGTCCTGATAACAGTTATATCTAGAATTAAGCCCAGATTTTGACTGCCCATTATCTAGCCCCTCTGTCATGGAAATAACAACAGTGATTCAAGATGAGAAAATGAGTTTGTCAAGTGCCTTCTTTTCCACCCTCTGCCAAACGGAAGAGGTAACAGGAGTAACACCTGAAGCACTCATTAAGAGCATCAACAGCAGTCTACACAAGTAGCACAGCAAAAGAAGAGGTGAGTAGAAGGTAGAACATGATGAGACAAATGCCAGAGTGTTCATGATGGACAGATGATCTGTAAGTTTCACCCCATCATGATATTGCAGTATGTTCTGATTCTTTGCACTAGGAAACATGTTAACCTGAACATTTATTTATTACTTACAGCATACCAGTCCATTTAAATGGCATGTCAGTCCCTCCTGCAGATGGTAACTGAAAATTAAAGAGGGCAAATCACCCAAAATCACACTATTTTATCAAAAAGTTTTAGTATATATTTATATCCCAGACTCAGGATGCAAATACCTTCTCAATACAAACAACTACAGAATCTCCTAGTGGATAAAGTGCTTTTATAAACATACAGATATAAGACATGGCAGTTCATAGAGTACCAAAAGCACATGAGAAACTAAAAATAGGATATATGATCAGAGGATGCTCATAATCCTTAAAGGAGACTAAAAACACATTTTTTGTAATAATCAATGGAAAACAGCCATAAGCAGGAGAAAAGGGCAATCCCCTAGGTGTAGCCAACAGAGCATCCTCTTTAGAACCAAAAATGTTTGGATTTTAATTTTAGCCCTATCATCTTAGCTGTATAATCATGGGCAAGCAAATTAACCACCTGGGCCTCAGTATGTTCCTCTAAAAAACAGAGACAATCATGATAAAGCTATAGGGTTAGTGCATAGAGTACAGAAAAGTAAAAATCTACAGTGCCAGGAAAAGACCACCTTCTCAGAATATGATGAAGATGATGCTGATGATCATCATCATCCATTATATATTATCCAAGTTATATTAGCATCTTTGAGTGCTATCCTCATCAAGTACAGGGAAAGCTCATGTGCTTGTCCCAGAGGATGAAGCCTTAGACTTTCATTCAGCCTCAGGTCCTTATTTTACCAACATACCTAGCAATCTTATTATTTTCTTAGTAAGTTCCTATCAGGAAGTTTAAAAAGAAAGCAAGTACACTGACAACAATTAGCTATATAAGAGCAAAGAAAATCGAAGAAACACTTTACAGTTGAGACAGAAAGAATAAAAGAAGGGGCAAATTTATAAACTGCCTTAAACATATCTTGGATTGGTCCCAAGGGTCTTCTGCAATCACTAACATATATATTGAAGGAGTCATTAAGAAAATAACTATACCTAGATGTGGTGTGTTGATCTTGACAACTATTTGAATTCACATCAAATGCAATACTTTTAATAATTTTTAAACAGGATGCCTAAAGACAACATTCAAGACTATGGATAATGCTGATAACCAAAAGACTCATTCTACCAGGATACTTAGTCAAGTAAGTTTACATGTCATTTTCTTCTGTATTCAAATTATTTTTCCCTCTTTTAGGAATTAGATAACCTCATATAGAGGCTGAAAAACTGCTAGGAGCTTAATCATCAATTTTATTAAACAATGGAGGAGGTAACAAAACTTAATTTAGTAAATAATCTAGAGATCAATGGCATCTAGAGGAAAAGGTGTGAGAATGTCATCAAGACTGATTAAGGACTAGGGCTCCTCTCTGAAAGAATGTTTGTTTCTCACTCTAGACTGCAACTTTTCTAGAGTGGCATCTATGCCATTTTGGCTTCTGTGACTTAAAGGAGAAGTGGTTAGCAGAAAATCCAAGTATGCATTAAATGCCAAATAAATGTTAAAGGAATTAAAGAATGGGCTTGAGTCATTCTTGTCTAGAACAGACAGCTCATGATGCAGCCAGCCAGTCACCTTAGAGTAAGGTGAAAATTTACTCTTCTTGTGTTGCTCCATTTCATTGTTGTTCATATTTATTATGAACAATAACATTAAAATGTATGAGTGAATTTTCTCTATTTATTGGGAAAGATTTAAGTAACTTTGTCATCATGAGTAAATCATATGATCTGAATGTTCAAAAAGTGTCAAGATTCATAATAGCAAATACGTTTAATCCTGTGATCAAACTTGGATTGACCAGTTGTTGCATCTTGAAGAGGTAAACTTAAAGTGTGTAATTTGATTGTTTGTAATTCAAAAGATAAATGCTTGAGGGGATGGATACCCCATTCACCATGATGTGCTTATTTCACATTGCATGCCTGTATCAAAACATCTCCTGTACCCCAGAAATATATACACCTGCTATGTATCCACAAAAATGTTTAAAAATAATTTTTATTTTTTTAAAAAAGAGGTATATATGTTAAGAACCCGAATGCCTTGTCCAGGATCAGCAAGAAGAAAACATTGATCAAATGGTAACATCTAAAATGAGTGCCGGCTGGAGAGTTACAGCATTTTCTTGCTTTCTCTGCTCCAAAAGCAATGAAGTAATGGCCCTGCTTAACTCGACAGTAGTCTACCCACGTGGTTGTTGTCATGCTTCAGCAAAAATTTGGATAACAAATGAAAACATTCCAGAAAATGGTGATGATGAAGACTAATGATAGCTAACATTTATTAACCATTAAAGGTAAAAGGACTTGAAATCACGATATACAGAAAACTGTCCCAAACCAGTTTAGGGCCAAGATATGTTTAGTCATAAGCACAGCAATTGTGGTTTGGAAATTTCAAGGAACTCAGTGCAAACACTAGAAGTACTATCTCAGGAATTAGACTTGTGTGCCTCTTTCAACCATGCTAAAAATAATTAGAAGCAACAAGATGCCAGAGTTTTGGCTCAAGTTAAAGGAGAAAATTATAATACATCTATATAAAAGTGAAATAATATATTTTAGTTGGAGTGATTTGGGAATCACTAAAGTTACTCAAGCTTAGTCAAGATGACCACTTGGCAGAGATGCTTTAAAAAAAATTTAAGATTGAATATATATGTCAGGAGAACTTACAAGTTGCCTAATGCCATGTCCATCAGAGATTAAAATGAATATAAATTTGAACATCTGTGGTTAAGTCATGCATTCTCCAGAGTATTAGAAATACAGCCTACGATTTCTTAAACTCAGCTAGATTCTCTGCTTTACATCTTCTGCCTGGTTCCTGAAGACACTGGACTATATTATGACCCCTGGTCTGGTGAGCTTTTGAAGCCATACGATTATTACCTCCTTTATACTTTCCCTCTTGGTGCTCATGCTAGCTAATGATGAGATGATCATGGTGATGGTGATAATGTTAATAACAGTCAGGTGCCTAATGAACTATATCACTGAAACCTCCAGACCGTCTGATTGCATAAGTCATATTATTAGCCCTATTTCTTAGGTGAGGATTCTGATGCTCAGAGAAGTTCAAAGACTTGTTCAAGGTTATACAGGGCTGTGACCAAGGGGGGTAGAATTCCATAGTTCCTTTTTCTAACTACTGCACAATACCAACTTCTACAAAACACAGCCATGATTTCTTAATTTCTTCTCTCTCTCCTACTACAAAGCGTAGAACATCAAAATAGAACTAAAAGTTTCAGTTAATAAATTACTTTCAAGCTTATTAATTTGTTTATATTTTTCATGTTACTAAGAAAATAAGTTATTGAGGTCAGGACCCAATGTCCAGTAATATATTGTTTAAGTGCCTGATATTTGAACAGTCAATACATGGCAAATATCCTAACATAATTCCTAAAAATAACCTTAAACTTTTCACTTAAAGTTAGGCCTATTTTTGTTGAGTGCGGGATTCCAAATTAAAATATTTGTAAATATTAATGATGTCAAGATATCTATCCACGTAAAATAAAGCATATGCACTACTCATGTAGTGTTCAATGCTGCCATATAAATTATATGTATTTTAATGTTACTGTACAAATGTCTAAACACTAATAAAAACAAGTGCAAATAAACCATTCAAAAACTTGACAAATCTTCACACCACAAAAAAATAATAAAAGGAGAGCTAATTAATAAGAAAAGTACCACATCCTATATTTCCAAAGGAGATAAGAGAAAGTTAGGTTTCACAGTAATGTAGTTGGTATGTCCCCACTAGTAAATCACATTAATACAAATATTCTATTACTCGGGAGGTAATACCACTAAAATCCATGGAAAACCTACTTGAAGATAGAAAATAAGGAGTAAAAATGAAGACTGGAATCAAGAAGTAAATTGAAGTTTGTCCTTCAAGGCTCTTGAGCACTTCCTCAAAAGAGCTGAACATGGTGGAGTGAAAATAGATCAAGATAAACAGCATTGTTTAGGCTTCCATTCCTGATTACATATGCTATTTCTGATTGAGCATCTATTGAATGAATTAGTTTTTTTGTTTTTTTTCTAAGAATTCAGAAACTGCTCCCAGAATTTGTTAAAAGTATGCTGAAACCTTAATCATTTATTGTATTACTTCTTTTCTAGAGTCTTTTATTCTTGTAAAATCTAAAATAGATTCCATTTTCTATCAAAATTCTACAATTGTTTTCCACAAGGATTATAATGCCATTTTCGAAATATTTGTTGGGAAGATTTTTTAGAGCAATAAATTATATATATGTTCCCACAAAAAAAAATGCAAGAACAGTGTGAGCTTTGAGTTTTGATAGATTTCTTTTGTAAAAAGATATATTTTCTTATTTTATTTTAAGTTCTGGGGTACACGTGCAGGTTTGTTACATAGGTAAATATGTGCCATGGTTGGAATGTACATTAGTTCAACCATTGTGGAAGACAGTGTGGTGATTCCTCAAAGACTTAGAACCATAATAATATCTGACCCAGAAATCCCATTACTGGGTATATGCCCAAAGAAGACATATTTTCTAAGAAGAGCAAAACTTGTCGGTTGACATTTTCCTGCCAATATGACCATGTAACTTAAACATTGTCTATGAAAACCAATTTCTGAGAAATATTACAAATGTAGTTTGTAGTTTAAACAATAAATCCTTTTCATGTGGTTTACTTGGAATCAGTAAAATGATAGACAGCAGAGTTATATAACCATGTAATTCCATTGTAATTTTTATCACTTATTAACCAACTTCATAATTAGTATTAAATTATGTCACATAAAATGTTTATGTAAAATTAAATTATGTTTATTAAAAATCATTTTGTCAACACAGTATCTTTCACAACAATATGATGAAAAAGCTTAAAAGTAGCATTGGTTATCTTTGAATTAAATTCTTATATTTCTGTCTTCTGTTATATGAAACTGGAATTTTCATAATAACATACAATTTATGTTGGTAGAGCATACTAAAAATGGTTCACCTCTAACTGGAATAGCTTCAATAATTATGAACATAATACTTCTTAATTTCACCATGCACATACCATGTAATGAACAAATTATACAGCCTTAGGTTCTAAATAGTCCTCAATGATTGAAGGATGCCATGGGAATAAAAATGTGGGCTCTGCAACCAGAATAAGAAGTCTCACTCTCAAGGCTTGTTGAACAAGACAGAGTTATGCACATGTGTGTCATTGGAATGATTTAGCAAAATTATCTGCTAGTTATGTATTCTAGGGGCTCTCACACCTATAAGGTCCAAATTTCCAGTTTTACTCTTCAATAATACATAAAACATAAAATTCATTATACTACATACAAAACCCTGAAGATAACGCCAATATGTTACATTTTTAAGTAAACAGAAAATAAAAATCACTGAAATAAGCTAATAGGTTAGCCAGTTAAGCCTTTAGGAAGTTTCAAGTAGCTTCCTTTTCCCAGCCTCAAAATTGGCAATAATACTTATTAGCAATCTTATTTATGACACATTTATTTTTAAATATATAATTTAGTAGATATTATGCAGTAGTTTCATGTAGAGGCAGAAATATTGTTAGATACCTGCAAGCATCTCATCCCAACCATATATCACAGCAATAGGTCAGCAGAAAGCAAGATCTCAATTTCACCAGCAAGAAAACTCAGCAAAACTACTAAGCCAAAAGTGCTTCAAACAGCAAGAAGATCCAGATCACTGATATAAATGGACAAAGGAAAATGACGGTCATTTATGAAAAGATGAAAGAGTGATAAAACATGATATAACATATGAAGATCATTTAAACACCAATGCCATAACTAGATACTGCTTTAACACCCAAAATCCATTTAATGACAGAGGAGACAAAAATAATTGAAGAGGGAATAGGGTGGGGGTATTCTCCCACAGGTAACTACAGGTCTTGCCATCGCCTCTTGAGAAAAAGGAAAGAAATCACTTCTGGCTGCTATCAGTCAGAACTAAACCTTTATGAACTTCTCCCAAAACACCAGCACAGGAATCTCATATTTCAAAAACAAGGTGTGTGTGCTCATATACACATTAGATCTATGAGGGAAGGAGAGACGTATGTGAAAGAACAGAAGGCTGGTGTTCAAGGTCATTCTCCTCTTGAAAAGAGAAAGGGAAAAAAATGACTAAAAGAAATTATCCGAGGTACAAGAATCAAGTGACAACTTCTTTTCACCTATCTGCTTATGCTTGTTCTTATAGATATCTTATTGTTCTGTCCCTATTAATAGTGACTAAAAGAGGGCTTACAAAGAAGGAGGCTTTTGGCTGGGAAATTTCCTATCAATACCTGAAGTGTTAACTCATCAATGAACCAGGCTAGTGAGCCAGGCCAGCTCTACTTAAAGACAATTCTTAACAAGGACAGTGGACTTAGATTTTCAAAGTAACTTGTACCCTCTCCATTTTTCCAGAAAAGGGAGAAGAAAAAGGTGGCAGAAATATTTTCCCCCCGCCTTAGGAACTTCTGTGCATGTAACCTTGTGCTAGTAGCTCTATTTAGTTATGACCTTTAACCTAACTCCAATCTGCACCAATGAGTGACATTTTCAAACATGCATCACACCATCATCTATGTTCAGGTTTCTGAGCATTCAGCATCCATTTTAATGCATTTGCTTTGCCTTCCCTGAGGCTGAGGGCGGAAGAACAAAGCTTAACCTGCAAAAATCGAGTCCTTAGTGGGAAAAGGCCAGAAGAAAGTGAAATAGGTGGGAGGTGATGAAAACACCTTATTTTCCAAGTACCTATATTCACCAGCATTTCTTTTTTCTTGTGCACTCTCTAGATAGGTATGAGTTACTTGCTAACAAATATTGTAAGTATGATATCAATACTGTTGTAATAGTATTCTGGGGTAATTTGGGAGGACAAAGTGGGGTCCTTGTCAGACGTTTAGAATACACAAATCAGATTTCTAAGATTTTCTGAGTGATAAGAGGATTAGAAGTAAATTCATTAAAAGACAAAAAAAAAGAGAGAAGATAAAAGAAAAAAATCCTTTTTTAAATTTATTCCCAATTATCTGTTACCTTTCATTTATTTCATTATTTAATCCAGGCAATACACTTTTTTTTTTTTTTTTTTTTTTACCTTCCCTGGGACCTCAGAGGGGTAAAGTTCTGTTAAAGTCGAGATATCTTCTGTATCATTCCTTGGTTATCCCTGGAGCTAGAAGTTACAAAGCAAATCTATCTGAAGAGTGGAAATCATGTTCTCCTCTTTCACGTTTATTGGGTACCAGGTGGGAGAGGGAGGTTAGTTGACTTTACAGAGGTGTTTCAACTAGAAACAATACGGGTATAAATGACATGATCAAACCGAGGAGAGCAAGAAGGGAGGGAAGAAAGAGGAATAAATGGAAATCTAGGAAATACACACTTAGCTTCAGGTTTTTAATCCTGATAAATCATGCAGTATTTGAATATCAAGACATTTTTGTAGCCAGCTTTCCTTCCATATTCTTCAATATTCATTGTCGCGGGGAGGGAGAGAGAGAGAAAGGTTTTGCAGGCAAAGACAGGACACCACCGCCCTCCACGCTCCTCTGTGGCTCTGGGCATCTCCCTCCTCTCGCATCCAGGCGGCCGCCTCGGCCACGATGCGCTTGCTGTCTGCCAGGGGGTCCGCTGAGCTCTTCCGCCCTGCCCGGAGAAAGTGTCAAAGCCGTCCTGCCAGCTGCAGTGGCAGAGCCCAGCCCCCAAAGCCCGCTGCATACATGGCCTTGTAGCACCACCAGCCTGCGAGGGCTGCAGCAGCAGCCGAGCCCAGACTCGAAGAGGAGTTGGGGACGTCAGTGCGCAGGGACAAGCAGAGCAGCTATCGGCCAGCTAGAAGTCTGCAAATGCCATCATATGGATATCTATAGAAATGCAGCGAGTGGGGGAAAATCAGGCAGCGCCCCTACACTTCCTAAACGGCGTTAGCAAAGAGAACCCCCCGCCCCCCAGCAGCCCCAGTCACTGCCTCCTGAAGCAGGGCACCCTGAGCTTGGCTGGGCCAAATCCTCCGCTGAATGTAGCCAGCAAGCAGCTCCCAAAGGCGGGAGACAAACGAACACTCCTTAGTTAAATTATTCAGACCGTCTTCACTATGGAATAAAACATTGATGAGACTACTTTGGAAGTGCTTTATCTTGTTAATTCTAATGTCTTCGAGAAAGGAGTGAAATTTTCCGATGGGGGCGGGCGCTGAGATAAGACGAAAGGGAATTCAGGGGAAAAAAAGGCGCCAGGGTAAAGGGCTTTGGAAGTTAACTAAATTTGTTCTGCTTCAGCCGGCCATGGAAATCTCATTTTAACATACCAGACCCAATATGTTAATTAGGCAGTCGCAAATCCAACCTGCTCCTTGTAAATCAAGGCACCGGAAAAAAAAAATTCAAAATATCTATTATACAGGGATAAAACAAACAAACAAACAACAACAACAAAAAAACGCGCAAAGGAGTTGCGTGTCCGTGACGGGGACAATACAGCTGGAGAGAATGTTGGGTGGTGGCTATCGTTTTAGCCTGGTTCTGCTAGATATAAAAATGACTTCTTTCATGGATTTATTCTGCTACATAAAAGCACGTCCTGGCAGTTAAACACCATATCTCAAGACACACAGCCGTGACAATATGTATTCCCTTTCATGCAAACCAAGTTCCAAGAAAACTCCATTTCGAGTCAAAGTCTCCAGATGCGTAATTTACAACTACTAAAAAGATCTGGCAAGCTCCTCCACAACAAGGAAAGGAAAACAACCTGGCACCAGAGGTAGAAAAGGGTAGAAAAGATCTTTGGTTTAAATGATGGGTGGAAACCAAACACCCACTCACACTTCACAATCTGGAAAGGGTTGGGTACCAAATGGTCCGTGGCAACCACAGCCTGAAGGAAACACAGAATTTTGATCTCTGGCATCTTCAGACAGGTTCCACACGCCTAGCTCTCAAAAAATATCCTCAGGGTGGAGCACATCCATATTCTCAAAGCTTTCACTACTAGATTAAGTGCTTAGGTATAGATTTATATTTCACCTACTAGAAATCGTATTACAAAATCACAGAGCAGGCGCCCTTGGATACCCAACCCTTCCCAATGATTTTCAAAACATTAATAAGTAAAGTAGCCTGCAATGCAGATAAGACACTAGAAACAAGATCAAAAGGAAATTGGGTGAGGCGAGTAATCGTTGGTTTGTTACCTGGTGCCTCTAAGGGAAAAGACGGTCGTAGGAAGACTTTCTGCCTGCAGGTACAATCCCGGCAAGGTGGCTCCAGGTGGCTTTCACAGTCGTACGCGGGTCTCGCTCGTCACTTCGCTGCCCTTTGCCATAGCTCAGCACCCGCATCGTAGGGAATCGGAAAGGCGGCTCCTGCCACTGCCGCCGCTGCCCGCAGGTCGCTCTGGGTGGGGGAATCGCTGCAATCGCCCCATGAAACCCGCGGCTCCGCGCCCGGGGAGCGGGCAGAGGCAGGGCGGCCGCGCACGCACACACAGACACACGCTCACACTCACACACACTCGCACCCGGGCGCGCGCGCACTTGCACTCACACTCGCACACGCACACCCAGCACTGCACGGGGAGGAAGCAGCACGGAGGGAACCGGTCCTTCTCACGATTGGCTTCGAAGCCCACCGGACCGCGGGCAGCAAAGAGAGCGTTCTCGCATAGCCCTTTAATCACGTTTCCTTCAAGTTCTCCTCCAACCCGAATCCACGTAATTCAAGAGCTGGTGACATTTTGGTGGGGAGGAGGGAGCCGAGAAAGGGCTGAGGAAGAGTCGGGGATTTTGTTAAGCAGTTTAATAAGCAATCCTCATTACCTTATTTGTTTTGTTTTGTTTTGTATAGCAAACCAGTTCGAAGGGCTGAACTTTTGGCTTCAAATGCTGTGAACCAAAACGTAAATATCCTTCTGGCCAAGAGAAGAAGGTGTAGATACACGGAAACAAGAGGGCTGCAAGACACTCTCTTGACCTTGTGATGTACCTGGAAGCAGGTTAATATTGGCGCTTTCCAAGCTTCTGGGTAAAGCGATCCACACACCTGGGTCCACAGCCCAGCAGCCGCTCCAAATCCAGCCAGGAAAATGGGTCTGGGCGTCCTCAGAGCTCTGCAAGAACCCGGGCATGAAGGGGCATCGCCGAGTTAACACATTTGCTTCTGGGCAGTTGGATAAAAGACAGTCAAATGCATCAGATAGGCGCGCGCGTACACACGCGCGCGCACACACACACGCAGCTAGCTGGAAAGCGGCTTACAAAACACTAGAGACATGCCAAGATGACTTGAAAAGGTAGCCAACATCCAGGATCTTTCCGGAACACAGAAGGGCCAGCAGGGAGGTTATCAAAGTCTTCTCAAGTCTTTCAATTCTTCCTCTCTCCTCTGAGTGTGTGTGTGTCTGTCTAGGTTTCGTTGGTCTGCCCCACCCCCGTCCAGTTGCGCTTTTTTTTTCTGATATAACGGACCGTGCAAAATGGATTATATGGGTGGGCTGTGTTCACAGCCAGAGCTCCCCAAAGTCAAGGATCCTAAGGGAGCAGCCAGCTGCTAAACAATTCACATCCTCAAGGGAAGAAGGAAAAACACGCTCAAACACACGCAAACACGCGCACACACATACATAGTCCTCCGTTCGGGCAGCTCTGCACACGCTCACCGCCTCCCTGCGCGCCGCGGAACACAGCGCCCCGCCCGCTGGCCACCGCGCTGGGGCGAGTCCGCAGTTCAGGCGCGAGGCAAGCAGCCGAGGTCCGGGGCTGCGGCCGCGGCCGGGGCGGACCCGGGAGCTGGGCTTCCCAAAGCGTCGCGTGTGGGCAACGGCGGCCTCCTGGCCGCGTGGAACTGAGCCCTGCGCTGCAGCATGAAGGCGGCGGCGGCGGCGGCGGCGGGCGCGCGGCCGTGAGCTCAGCCCGCGCTGCAGTGACGGGAGCGGCCGTGTCGGCCAGACCCCGAGAGTCCGTGAGACCCCGGCCGGGGCCGCTCCGCTGCTGTCAGCCCTCGGGCCTCCCAGCCAGACTGGTTCTGAACCGATTTATCAGGGGGTTGCGGAGAGGGCCGGCGAAGCGCCAGGAAATCCCCAGGCTGAGGAGGCGCGGGGGCGTTGCAGGAAGGGGGAAGGGAAAAGGCAGAAAACCTGGAGAATGAAAGCGAACTTCCAGGGGCGTCCCCAGCCTCCTGCAAAAGGGCAATTTGCTGATCGCCCACTTCCTCGCAGTTACGGGATAGAGAGAATCATCACTGAGTCAAGCTTCGGCTGCTTAGGGCGGTGGGAAAAGTCATTATCTATAATAACCCGCCGGAAATTTTGAGGAGAGCTACTGACTTGGGGGTTTCAGTCATCTGAGGCTGGCTTCCGCTGTCCCCTTAGTTGTGGGTGGTGATTTGCTTACTAATCAGATGGGAGCGGATTCTGAAAAGAACATTTATATTTGGGAATCAACTCAGCTCAGCATCAGACATTACGAATACTGCAGTTGGTCACATTTTACTATGTGAAGGGCAGAAAGGGAGCCCAACAGTCTTCATAAGCCAGACCTAGTCTCTAAGGTCACCGGCACAGACGCAGGGTCTAAAGCAGGAAAGAGGTGCGACTGGAAAGGAGGTTAGACAGGGCCCTGCGGGAATGGATCTGCCCGGAGCCCTCGCCTGGTTTTGCTTGAGACTCCGACAAGACTCCCAATGCTTCTCTCCCCGACCCTATCCCCACTCCCTCCATCCTGGAAAAGCCAGTGAGCAAAGTTAACTCTTTCTTCTAAGAAACCCTGAGTGAAATCTTGCTCTTCCTTTCTGCTAGAGTCCTGAAACCCTTTCGCTTCTCATTGTGGGTTCACCAGCACGTGGTCTTCGGACACTGAGAGCACCTTCGCTCTCAGCTGTGATCCTAGCTAGCCCAGACACCAGTCTGTACCCAAAGGAAGAGTAGGAAGTTGCAAAGGGAAGCTGGCTAACAAGGGCTTCTTCTGCCCTACTTGGCAAAGGCCCATACGGGTGGCCTCCGTGGATATGGAGCTCCTTCATTTTGTTCCAAAAAGAGCTCTGCCAGGCTTTACCATTGCCCTGGAGGTGCACAGGCGCCCGTATACTCGAGCACAACCATGGGCTCACCCCAAGCGCGCACACCTGCACCCACGCGTAAGGAAGAACCACACAGCTATCTCTGTCGGGGAAGAACACGAGGAGTGAAGTGCTTTAGGTGGAAACTCCTCACATCTCCTTTCTTTCCTCTGCTCCCCCTCTCTGCCCCTGGTACTCCGGATCCAATCCTTGGCTTAGGAATCCACTCAAGCCACGTCTGGCTGCTTTGTTCCAGAGGAGCGCAGCTCCGAGACTGCACTTCAGCGGTGCAGCCTCCCTCCAGGTCGGCGAGCGGCGCCAGATCCGGGACTTCAGGGTCTCCGCGGGAGCTTAGGAGGCTCAGGATCTGAGTTGGAGAGCTGGAAGGCCAAACTCCGAGCCGCTGAGGGACTGCGCAGGAAGACCACAGAAATAAACCAAAGGGACACCGCGGACAGATGTACCAGAGGACACCACTGAAGTCCAGGAGAATCTCCACCAAAACCATCAGCGTTTTCCTTGTAGCTTTCTGTCCCTCGAAGTGGAAAGTTGAGGTTTCTGAGAAGTCCACGGAGAGAACCTGCAGCAAACTGAAGCCACAGACTCCGAAGGCATAGGGAGAAAAAATGCTTCCATCCCCCTTTCACTTTAAACTTGATCGCTTCTGGGACTTCACTGGAGGGCGGTGGAGTTGCACCAACCTGGAGTACAGGCAGATCCCAGCGAGCACTTCCAAGTACTTTAGGACGTGGGGGTGACTCTTTTTTCTTCAGGATTGTCCCACTTGCCACCCTTTCCAGCTGAGCTGATAGGAACCAATGAAAGTCTAGGCGATGAGGATTTTCCGTTACCTCAGGGATCAAAGTATAAAATGTTGAATGAGAAACCCGAAGACCTTGCATCGCTGGGCTGAATAACTTGTTTTCTTTTTTATGGTGTCCAGACTGAGGTAGGGAGGGGACACACTGACCTAGCTGTAAGAAGTCAAGGGTTGGGACAAAACAAAGTTCAAATATATACTGGAATTTGTGTGTGTGTGTGTTTCAGAAACTGTGTGTGTGTGTGTGTGTGTGTGTGTGTGTGTGTGTTTTCAGCTTGAGAAAGATGAAATCACGTTTCCTTAATGCTGGGAGTAATAATGCTTAATGCTTAACTTTTCATTGTTCTTTCATGTTTCAAGCCCTACCAGGCCCAGGAAAACACTTCTTTCCGTTTCCTGTAGCCTTCCTGCGTATCATGCATTATATTTGAAAGTGCTTTCCTCTACTTTCCTCATTTTATCTCAATAATCTCTGCTAAAACCAGATAACTTTCACCCTCCCGGTTCAGCATTTGCTCTTTTCCCTCCTACACAAGCTGATTAGAATTTGCAAAGAGAGAGGAAGAAGAAAGGTTCTATTTTGTTTCATGATTGTTGCTAGAAAACGGCAAGACCTCGGGAGAGAGACCAGCATATTATTTCCCAGTGGATGTCAGAGCTAGCAAAGTTTTTTTTTTTTCTTTAAATTTTATTCCCTAGCAGGTCAAAAACTAGTATGTTTGCAAGAACAATTTCTAGTTTGCTCATAAAACTATTGTTATTAGCCACTCTAAGGTTGGCATACTTTTAAAAGTTCAAACAAGTTCCTTCTAGAATAGGGTTCTTTTAAACATTAACATTTAAAAAGAAGTAATTTTTTTCATAAATAATTTAGATTTAACTCTTTACCTCTATAGTATATCTGCCTTACTTCGTTAATGTGTCCCCTGATTTACTGCCTATGTCAAAGCACTTTTAAAATAATGTCAATTTTCTTGTTCTCCCAGTTCATTTTTCTGAGGACCAATGGTGATAAGTGTTGGTCTGCCTATCTTCCCAGAATAATCCAAGATTTGGGGAAAGAAAGAGTATTTTGCTAATTTCAGGTAATTAATGGAGATATGAATGTTTTTCAGTTAAAGTGATGAATATCAAAAGATTACCTGAGTTTCTGTTTATATTGTTATTTAATATTTGAGTTTCTCTTTAAGGTAGTAAAAAAGTTATGATCTAGTTTTTTTTAATGGCGTTAACAATTAGTTTGCACATCTTATGCATTTTATTTACATGGATTAAAGTATGTGGTAAGTTATCACTTTAATTCATAAATTTGTTTTATATGTAACTGAAGAAGCTTATTGTAAATTGGAAATACCTTACCTTCAAATTTCCTGGGTGAGAAATCACTATTGAGTTATTTCTACTTTGATTATTTTTACTAATATAATGTAATATAAGTTATCTGACAGTTCAAGACTGGAAATTGGTATGAAGAAACAAGGAAATACAAGTTTCTGAAATGAAGGGATATCATTCAAAACAAATCTGAGTTAAACAGAAGAAATGAAATCCAAACATTGACATTTTTTTAATCTACATAGTTTTGAAATATAAAACGAAATGTGCTTATATTAGGAGCATGTTTCCAATGTTGCAACTGACCTTGAACTCCTAGAACACAGTGTATTTTAGCAACTAGATCTCACCAAAATATATATTTCAACTGACTTCAATACAGAGTTGAAGACCCCAGCATATTTCTGGCATACATAGGTAAACAGATTTCTCATTGGAACAAAAAGAACCAAATGTATTTAGTATTTAATCTTCTTTTGAGTTACAGAAATATTTTTTCTTGTTTCTTGATTTTTTAAACTTGATTTATATAAAACACATTTCCTTTCCTTTCTTTCTGTATCTCTGTTGTAGATTTTAACCTTTATAGATCATAATAGTGAACTAAAAGATCAAGGTCTACTTGATGAAAACTGGAACTAGCCCTGGGAACCCAATAAATTACTGGACAGAAGTAGACATTTATTTTACTAAGAAAAATGGTTTTTGAACCTAATTTTTTGAAACACAAATACAATGTGTTTCAGAGATTATGTCCTCAGCAGAGACTTGAGAGAGCTCAGAGGAAAGGAATTACTTCAGAGATAAGCATTGCTGTAGAGAAAGGACATTTCTTAATACTGAAAGTTAGAAGTAAATTTTATCTTTCATCTCCATTCATATTTTTTTCTTGCTTATTTGCTGATACCTTGATGTTAACTCCCCATATTTGTCTGGTGCTCCCATTTAGTTATCCAAGGGCCCCAAAATGCATCATGCTCTCGAGGGCTATCTGACCCAAAGAAGAATTCTAAGCTATTACAATTTCTACTTCTCATCAAAACTCCATTGAGTCATAGTAGATAAATCTAATTGAGCTTTTAATAAAAAATAAATTATATCAGACTAATTTAAGCTAAAGTATGAATGACTAGCAGCCTACATCAGGAATATGAAGCCAACTTAATTTATAAAAAGTAGACTTTCTGGCAAATTGTGTTAATACATATGGGAAGCAGGGGCACCTCAATCATTCTTAGCCTTGAATACCAAATTGAATAAGCATGGTACTATATTTTATATTTTCCTTTTTTGTATCTTTGATAATGCTATTGAACAATTATTCACACCTAGCTTTAGCCTTTGAAAGAAATATTTTTTTAATTTATGTGTGTGTATAGATGGCATTTCAAAAAGATTTCCACTAGATAGTGAAACTGTTCTCTAAAATGAATCTAGTCGTAAAGCAATTATCTTAAAAATAAAACATCAGAGTAATTGTTGTTATGACTTGATTTAGGAGTTCAGGTAGGCGCACCAAATCATATTAGGTAGAAGTAATAAGCTGTTTGAATGTCTATGGAATTCATTTCTTCAACATACTTATGTTAAAAGCCTGATTAAGAACTATTGTCGTGCCGGACCCCTATTAACTCCAATAGGGATGATATCTGACATCGTGTCTGAGAGGCAGAAGGAGAGACCCTGAGCCAATGAATCAGACACAGCATTTATTGAGGAATTATATATAGTTCAGGCCAGGAGTGGTGGGCTGGACAGGAAAACTGCTACTGTTTATAAAAAGCATACAGGATATGTAGCATTTTCATTTAGGAATCTCTAGCTAGCAACCTCCGTTTTACCCAAAACAAACGTCCTCAGTCCCCTTTATGGCCTGAGTTCCAAGGTATGGGTGAGGGGTTCAGAAGTCCTCCATCCTTAAGGAGTGAATCTCCAGGTTGGCCACTCCTGAATTTCTTAGGTCAGAACTCCAAACAAACCTTCTTCTTACACCATAGGGACCTTCTCAGGGTATGCTTGAGTTATTGCTATCAAGTGCATCTGCTGTACAATTACATAACAAAGATTTGGCTTCTTAGCTTTAGTTTTACAGGTTTTATTTTTTTAACTTCTATTTTTTCTTTTATTATTTATTTATTAATTATTTTTTGAGATGGAGCTTTCACTCCGTCACCCAGGCTGGAGTGCAGTGGCACGATCTCGGCTCACTGCAACCTCCACCTCCCAGAGTCAAGCGATTCTCCTGCCTCAGCCTCCCGAGTAGCTGGGATTACAGGCGTCTACGACCACGCCCAGCTAACTTTTTATATTTTTAGTAGAGACTGGGTTTCACCATGTTGGCCAGGCTGATCTCGAATTCCTGAACTCAGGTGATCCACCCGCCTTGGTCTCCCAAAGTGCTGGGATTACAGGTGTGCGCCACCGCGCCCAGCTTTTAACTTTTATTTTACGTTCACGAGTATATGTGCAGGTTTGTTACACAGGTAAACTTGTGTCATGGGGGTTCATTGTACAGATTATTTCACAACCCAAGCATTAAGCCCAGTATCCATTAGTTATTTTTCCTGATCCTCTCCCTCCTCCCACCTTCCACCCTCCCAAAGGCTCCAGTGTATGTTGTTTCCCTCTGTGTCCATGTGTTCTTATCATTTAACTCCCACTTATAAGTGAGAACATGTGGTATTTGGTTTCCTGTTCCTGTATTGCTTTGCTATGGATAATGGCTTCCAGCGCCAAATTAGAAAACTGAATCTGTCTTCAAGTTTGAGGCAGATTCAGCTTCTTAATTATTCATCTTGAAACTCTGTCCTTGAATTTCAGGCAGGTGGCCACAAGTCGGCAGTAATGAGACACTCTCATGTGGTTGTAACCACATGGTTGGACTTTCTTACAAGCCCCCATAGATTTAGAAGGAAGAATTAATTTTAATTTATTTTATTAAAGATCCTTTTTATTAAAATAAATGATGTGTGATAAGTTTTATTTACATGAAATCAGATAATTTCTTTTGGAACAGTCATTTTTTAAAAAATTTCTAAAACATGATTAGGTAATTTGCCTTTTAATCTCTTCACTGGTTCTTTTTCTTTTCCCCTTTAAATCACAGCCGTTTAGAGAGAAGACTGAGTTACTGTTCTTTTTTAACTCATCTTTTGCTTCCATAGTATATTCCTGGTCCTGTAACTGAATGCAATCTTTTGGCTAGCTTGGTGTTAAAGTTCTTTTGGATTTGTATCTCAGCTCTTAGTGGCTGTGACTTCTGTAATGAAAGGGAATCCTTTCTGTGACTGGTTAGCATCAAACTTCTTTCTCCACACAGTGTCCTTTATTTCTCTGCTTGCAGTTTTGTTCATTCCATGTAAATTCTTTGAATGCCTTTGTCAGGCCTCTGAGCCCAAGCCAAGCCATCGCATCCCCTGTGACTTGCACGGATACGCCCAGATGGCCTAAAGTAACTGAAGAATCACAAAAAAGTGAATATGCCCTGCCCCACCTTAACTGATGACATTCCACCACAAAAGAAGTGTAAATGGCCTGTCCTTGCCTTAACTGATGATATTCCACCACAAAAGACGTGAAAATGGCCGGTCCTTGCCTTAAGTGATGACATTACCTTGTGAAAGTCCTTTTCCTGGCTCATCCTGGCTCAAAAAGCACCCCCACTGAGCACCTTGCGACCCCCCCACTCCTGCCTGCCAGAGAACAAACCCCTTTGACTGTAATTTTCCTTTACCTACCCAAATCTTATAAAACGGCCCCACCCCTATCTCCCTTCGCTGACTCTCTTTTCGGACTCAGCCCGCCTGCACCCAGGTGATTAAAAGCTTTTATTGCTCACACAAAGCCTGTTTGGTGGTCTCTTCACAGGGACGTGCATGAAAGCCTTGTCATAGCCAGTGCCCTGCACCAGGCACTAGAGAAAGAAGACTAACCATAATTTTCATGGCCTCTGTCCCCCACAATAGAGCTTACCATCTAGTAGAGGTTAATAGACCAACAAATTAGTTGTTAAATTATGATCTTGTTTTTATTTCACCAACTACAATTTGTTATAAAGCCCAAGTGTGTTCTTTTGTGAGACCTCTGGAACCACCTCCTATTAACTCCAATAATAGCTTCTCTGTTGCACTTAGTTTTTGGTTTATTTTTCCCACATTCATTCTAACTGCCTTGGGAGGTAGTTTGTGAAACATCTGTATGAAGTCTTTTACTGCAGTACCAGATACAGCCCAGGGTATTACTAAACAAAGTTTTGGAATAAAACAAACCTGGGTTTGAATCATGGTTCTGAGATTCACTGTGTTACTTGTGTAAATCATTTAACTCACCTGAATCCTCAGGTTATAATGCATATCAAATAGAAATTAGAATATTTATATTTAGGGTTGACAGGCTTTAATGACTGCCTGTATATAAACTACCCAGTAGAGGTAGGTACTCCATAGATAACATTTCTATTCCCTGTCAGTCTATCTCAAATCATGTAATGAATGATTAATTTCACATTAAAGTATAGTACAGATAACCCAGTTTCTCAAAATAAACTACTTTTTAATCAAGAAAATCTGCTCATAAAAGCTTCCTGAGATAAAATCCTTGAGAAGATGCCTAAAATATTCTACTGATGTTTTTATTTTCCCTCATATTAAATATATATATAATATATATTATCTATTATATATAATACATATACCAAATTATATATTAATTCAAACATGAAATTTAAGCAAAATTTTCATATCCAACTTATTCTCCTCAGACGCGATTTGTTCTCAAAATGCTTTTTAGAAGTTTTGTACCTTAAATTAGCTCCCCTTTAAAAGGGCTAGTTTTATAATAAAGTAATCAAAGAAGTTTCCATGGATTTTATACAACTGGTCTTTGGCTTTCAGACTAGTTTCTCTCTCTCTCTCTAAATATATATATATCTGTATACATCAAGCCCAAGTTTGTTCTTTTTTGAGACCTCTGGAACCACCTCCTATTTACATACACACACATAGAATCTTACTGAGGTACTTACACATTATTGAGGTATTTAAAACTCATTAGAGGGAAAAATGTTAACACTAATTGTTACAAATATTAAGAAATATGTTGAAAATAAAAGTAGGGTAATATGAAAATAAATATAGAAACATTAAATATAGATTTTAAATTATTTACCATCCATTTGTTAAAATAATCATGAACATTTATATTCGTAGAAAATGTGATTAGTTTAATAGTTTTTAAACTGCATTATATGGTTTTGCAGTATTTTTCCACTTTAAATTTGTCTATTGTCAACATTAAACTATTAATTTAATAAATTATTAATTTAAGCTATAACTATATTTAATTTCTGCTTGGATATGCAAAAACATAAATTATTGTTTTATTTTGTGTTTAGTTTGGCATGTTTTAACGTTTTGTAATATTGTAACTGAAATGCAATGGAGGGGTACCGCGAACAGGTAGGGCCGAGAGGCGAGACAAAGAGGACAAAAATCTCCTTTATTGAGCTCTCGGGCGAGGTTCACTGGCCCGCAGGGAGTGGGCCAGGGAAGTCGCGCTGTGCCAAAAGTGCAGCGCGCTTATATGGGTGAGTGACTTGCCTTAGTGACGTGCTTTAGTGGGCATGCGCGTTCACTGGGGCTGCGGGAAGAAGACAGGTGAACCCGGAAATGCTGAGTCAGGGTATCCGAGGTGGCTGTCGGGATGGCGGGAATAAATGGCGGGAACAGGCGAAAATGCCAAGTCAGGGTAGCCAAGATGGCCGCTGGGATGGCGGGAACCGGCGAATCCGGGAATGCTGAGTCAGGGTAGCCAAGATGGTTGCCGGTCGCCATCTTGGAGTCTTTACCGGAGTCCAATCAGTAACATTAGAACATTTTAAAACCAAAAAATATATTGTTGAAAAATTAACATGACACCGATTATGGGAACTTATTATATATTTTATAATAGTTTTATTATCAACAGAATTTAGGAAATAAAAAATTGCATGAGAAATCATTGTGAAAAATTATATGGCATTGTAGTAGTTTCTATATTGTTTTCAAACTTGTGCGTCCAACATTGATTACCGTTACCTTTTATAATTTTACAAATTTGAGGATTTGCTACATTTTCTGGTTGAATATTTTCAATACTATTTTTTAATACTAAATAATGTAGCCAAAAGTGTAAAAATATTAGCATTACATTTATTCATGCATTCATTTTCATAACAGTATGCTTTAGGATTAGGTACCTCCTGATATAGACTTCATTCACTAAGATATATTTTCACTCTCCAGTTTTCTTTCACATTAAAAAGTTCAACGTATCTAGAACGGAACAAAACGGAGAAAGCAAAGAATAAAGGTAAACTCTAAGTTAATAGTTATTCAGTAATACATAAACAATTCTCTGTATGTTATGTAGAAAAGCTTTTTTCAAAACTAAACACTCTATTTTCAAAAACATTGTCTTACATTCCACAGAGAAGTTTATTTTATACTTTTAATAAGATGAGGGTAAATGAATGATTTATTAAAAAGACAAGTAGTAATGTGAAAAACATGCACATACCCCCAGGCACATATGATGGATCTTTATAATACACTAAGGTTTTATTTTTCAATTTGGTAAATGGTGAGATGCAGTTTTAAATCAACTTTTTCTAAAATGTGAAAATGCTCATAATGTAAAAAATAAAAAATTTACTAATTTTGAAATAGACCCTTATGTGAGGCAGTGAACTAGAATAAGGCAGTTTCTTTTTCTACTGACCTCATCTTGGAAACTTTGATTGGATTCAGTAGTACTACTGAATTTAGTAAAAATTTAGAAAATTGCCAGTGAGCTATGAGATGGATTCCTCGACCTCAACTCATTTCTGCTTATTGTGTTGTCTTTATAATATGCAACTAGGTTCTCTTTCTTGCTTTTGTTATTTAAAAACTTCTGATTTATCCTTGGTAAGAGGATTCTTACTCGACATGTTATTAAAAGTGTGTATAAATGTGATTGCTACACTGCCCTGAGCTTCTAGTCTCTAAGTATGGGATAGCCTTGCAGGAACAGTCACGGAACAGTGGCACCGCTGGAGCTGTAACACTGCCTCCTCAATAAAGCTGTTTTCTTCTCCCTCTGGCTTGCCCTTGAATTCTTTCCTGGGCAAAGCCAAGAACCCTGGCTGGCTTAGCCCCACTTCAGGGCTTGCCTGCCCTTCATCAGAATGACTCTTCTTAGAATTGCAGAATTAGAAGAGTACCTCTTTGAATAGTTAGGAAAGAAGCTTCTGGAAAATGTTGCACAGAACACTACAGTGTAAGTTGAAACTTACAGTGAAACTTTAAATGTAAAGAAGAAAAACAATATGTGTAGAGTGGCCATGGCTACACTAGTTTATGTAAATGTGAAAACATTCTTCTTGTAAAAATATGCAAGGTGATTTTATAATTATAGAGCAAATGTTTAGTTCAAGTGGCAACTACTCTTTGAAAGCTAATATTGCTTTCCCTGAAAATATTTTTCTGTTTTTTGAAATGTATAAAGTCTTGGACACTTTCTTGATTGTAAACTCTCTCCCACTGGGGCTGATTTGCTTTTTTTTTTTTTTTTTTTTTTTGAGACGGAGCCTTGCTCTGTTGCCCAGGCTGGAGTGCAGTGGTGCGATCTCAGCTCACTGCAAGCTCCGCCTCCTGGGTTCACGCCATTTTCCTGCCTCAGCCTCCCAAGTAGCTGGGACTACAGGCACCGGCCACCACGCCTGGTTAACTTTTTGTGTTCTTAGTAGAGACGGGGTTTCACCGTGTTAGCCAGGATGGTCTCAATCTCCTGACCTCGTGATCTGCCCTCCTTGGTCTCCCAAAGTGCTGGGATTACAGGCGTGAGTCACCGCGCCCAGTCTTTTATTTTTATTTATTTATTTATTTTGCCTTAGTGCAATGCATCTACGCCATGGTATACACTAAGAAGTGAAAGCTCAGATTGAAAGGCAACATTGATGAGTGCAACCCATTAAAAAAAAAAACAGATTTGAACAAAGTTGTTGAACTTTGGAAAAGAAAATGAGTGAATATCATCCGCAAGGTACTGAAGTGTGTCTGTAGTTTCAGCTATAACCCAGTCTGCAAATTCAGAGTCTCACATTCTATGTAGATCACATTTGTATAAGGTGGTAAGTTTTTTTAAATGTAGTCAGTACAAAGAATCCTTAAATTTATGTTTTGTCTTTTCAAATTTATTATTTATTATTTCATCTCTTAAGTGTTGCAATGCATAAGATAGTGTGCCAGGCTTTTTTTTTTAACCATTGGTTTTGTGATAATCAAACACCTGCCTAAATCTCTCCTCTTTGATTTTAATATTAACTAGAGCCATATGTTTATATACATAAAATTTACATGGAACATATTGTTCAATAGGGGTAGATCATATTTTAAAATATGTTTTTGTTTTATTTGTCCTAAGCTAATAACTGTAAAATAAGTGAAACAAAATACCTGACTTTAAGAAACTGCAATCCAAGACAATCAGAAGTCTTTTAAATTTAGCAATCATGATAAAAAGGCAACTGATTATTCCCTGTTCTGATTCTGGTAGTGGTTCTTTTTCAGGCTTCATAAGCATGAACTAATGATGAAACAATCTTGATACACAATCTATTAAGCTTAACTCCAACTGAATAAGTACTTTATCAAATCTGACATTTAATTGTACTATATCTCTGATTTAGTCAAAATTATAATGACATAATTCACATTTACTATTAATTTAACATATAGCCCCTGTGATTTATATTTATGTTACTATAATCAAAATGTTTTGTTGGTATTTACAGCCTAAGAAGATGAAAAGTACTTTATAAATATATTTTTAATTCAAATTTTAGATTACTTTATTGGAATAAAACAAAATATTTGCTGTTTACAAGATTATTTCTGTGTCATGAACATTATCTCCCTCCCAGCCATGTTTCTGGAATTACTGTCCTACCTGATTTAATCTTAGCTGTCACAATCAGACAGACAGAAAGTGTGGGACACTTTTCTTGCATCTGTAGTGGAAACTTTAACAGCATCCAGTAACTGCTGCAGGTCTGTCAGATAAATAAATACATGATTAATTGCATTTTTTTATTTATGCTTATACAAAAAGTAATATATGCCTTTAAACATTAATATGAATGCATGCAGGTCAGTAATAATTACAAATTAGTCCATTTATTCATATTTGGAAATGCTTGAATTTCCCAAGAATAAAAATTTAAAGTTAAAAAGGAATTTTTAGATCAGGTATTTCAACTGCTATTTTTAAGCTTAGTAAAACAAAAACAAAACAAAACAAAACTGATGCCCAAAGACTGTAAGCTTGGAGAGAAGTAGAGAAACGAATGAATCACAACTAGACTATCCTGACTCCTTCTCTTAGCTCTCCAAAGCATATTAATGAGATTCCTTGTTGTGATGAACAGAGATTCACCCACATTTAGAGAAAAGAAGTTTGTTTTAAAAATACTTATGGAATTTGAGTAGGAAAAGATAAATTACAGTTCTAAGTAAACATAGTAATATGTGTCACAATTTGAAGTGCTGTGAAGAGAATCATTAATCTAAACAGGACAGAATTTATGAGTTTCTTCACAATTAAATCAGGTGCAGTAAGAATTATAATAATTTTTCAATTGTATTCTGTCTTGAAGAGGAAGTGAATTGGATTATGGATTAAAACATAGGCCAGTGGATATTCATTAGGCTCCTGAAACCTAGCTGTACCTTGCATTAAACCTATAATTTTCTGAGTATAGGCAGATCATAATAAGCAAATCAATGCTAGATAAATAATGAAGTGTTCTTTTCCATCAACAATGACCTCATATTCTGGAATGAAAAAAAGAAAGACATAAGTAAATGAGATAGAGTAGAATAAATGGGTATGTGTGTGTCAGTGTGAGTGTGTGAGTGTGTTTGTGTATTACAAAAAAAGGAAGTAATAAACTATGTGGCAGATCAGGGAAGGTTTGCAAAAGTGGACACTTCAGTTGGGTCTGAAAATATAAGTAGGGATGACCCACACAGTGAGGTAGAAAAGGGTATTTTAGGCAGCAAGAATGACATGAACCAAATAGAAAGGTACAAGGCAGTAGGCACACAGGATAATGTGAGGTTAGGCTCTGTTGTGTTTTTGTTTGTTTGTTTTTTCTTTTTTAACTTTGATTTTAAGTTCTGGGATGCATGTGCAGGTGTGTTACATAGGTAAACTTATGTCATGGGGGTTTGTTTTACAGACTATTTCATCACCCAGGCATTAAGCCTACTACCCTTTAGTTATTTTTCCTGAACTTCTCCCTCCTCCTACCCTCCTCTCTCTGATGGGCCCAGGTGTGTGTAGTTCCCCTTTATGTGTCCATGTGTTCTCATCATTTAGCTCCCACTTATAAATGAGAACATGCAGTATTTGGTTTTCTGTTCTTGCATTAGTTTACTAAGGATAATGGCCTCCAGCTCCATCCATGTCCCAGCAAAAGACATGATCTCATTTTTTTATGGCTATGTACCATTCCATACTATATATGTACCACATTTTCTTCATCCAATCTACTGTTGGTGGACATTTAGGTTGATTCCATGCCTTTGTTATTGTGAATAGTGCTGCAATAAACATACACATGCATGTGTCTTCATAACAGAATGATTTATATTCCTTTGGGTATATACCCAATAATGGGATTGCTGGATCAAATGATATTTCTGTCTTTAGGTCTTTGAGGAATTGCTGCACTGTCTTCCACAATGTACTAATTTACACTCCCACCAGTAGTGTGTAAGCATTCCTTTTCTTCCACAACATCAACAGCATCTTTTTCTTTTTTCTTTTTGGACTCTTTAATAATAACCATTCTGACTGATGTGAGATGGTATCATTGTGGTTTTGATTTGTATTTCTCCAATGATGAATAATATTGGGCTTTTTAATCATATGATTGTGGGCCACATGTATATCTTCTCTTGAAAAGTGTCTGTTCATGTCCTTTGCTCATGTTCTGATGAGATTCCTTATTTTTTTCTTGTAAATTTGTTTAAGTTCCTTAAAGATGCTGAATATTAGACCTTTGTCAGATGCATAGTTTGCAAAAATTTTCTCCCATTCTGTAGGTTGTCTGTTTACTCTGTTGATAGTTTCTTTGTACTGTGCAGAAGCTCTGTAATTTAATAAGATCCCATTTGTCAATTTTTACTTCTATTGCAATTGCTGTTGGCATCTTCATCATAAAGTCTTTGCACATGCCTATGTCCTGAATAGTATTGCTTAGCTTGTCTTCCAGGGTTTTTATAGTTTTGGGTTTTACGGTTAAGTAATCCCTCTTGAGTTAATTTTTGCATACAGTATAAGGAAGGAGTTCAGTTTCAATCTTCTGCATATGGCTAGCCAGTTATCCCAGCACTGTTTATCTAATAGGGAATCCTTTCCTCATTGCTTGTTTTTGTCAGGTTTGTTGAAGATCAGATAGTTGTAGCATGCAGCCTTATTTTTGGGGTCTCCATTCTGTTCCATTGGTCTATGTGTCCTTCTGTACCAGTACCATGGTATTTTGTTTACTGTAGCCTTGGACTACAGCTTGAAGTTGAGTAGCATGATGTCTCCAGCTTGTTATTTTTGCTTAGAACTGCCTTGGCTATTCAGGCTCTTTTTTGATTCCATATGAATTTTAAAATAATATTTTCTAGTTCTTTGAAAAATCCCAATGGTAGTTTAATAGGAACAGCACTGAATCTATACATTTCTTTTAACAATATTGATTCTTCCTACTCAATAGCATGAAGTGTTTTTCCATTTGTTTGTGTCATCTCTGATTGCTCTGAGCAGTGTTTTGTAGTTCTCCTTGTAGAGGTCTTTCACCTTCCCTAGTTAGCTATATTCCTAGGTGTTTTATTCTTTTTGTAGCAATTGTGAATGGGAGTACGCTCCTGATTTGGCTCTCAGCTTTACTGTTGGTGTATAGGAATGCTAGTGATTTTTGCTTATTGATTTTGTATCTTGAGACTTTGTCGAGATTGTTTATCAGCTTAAGAAGCTATTGGGCTGAGGCTATGGGGTTTTGTAGATATAGGATCATGGCGTCTGCAAAAAGAGATAGTTTGATTTCCTATTTGGATGCCCTTTATTTCTTTCTTTTGCCTGATTGCCCTGGTCAGGAATTCCAAAACTATGTTGGTTTTTTTGTTTTGTTTTGTTTTGTTTTACTTTTTAACATTTATTTTAAGTTCAGGGGACATGTGCAGGTTTGTTACATAGGTAAACTTGTCATGGGGGTTTGTTGTACAGATTATTTCATCACCCAAGTATTAAGCTTGGTACTCCTTAGTTATTTTTCCTGATCCTCTGATACTGATCCTCCTCCCACTTTCTACCCTCCAAAAGGCCCTAGTGTGTGTTGTTCCCCTCTGTGTGTCCATATGTTCTTATTATTTAGCTGATAGGCTGGATAAAGAAAATGTGGTATTTCCTCAATACTATGTTGAATAGGGATGGTGAGAGAGGGCATTCTTGTCTTGTTCCAGTTTTCAAGAAGAATGCTTCAAGCTTTTGCCCATTTATTGTCATATGATATTGGCTGTGGGTTTTTATTTATTTATGGTTCTTATCATTTTGAGGCCTGGTTCTAGACGTAGAGTGATTTGCATACTTTACCAAGGAGTTTTACCTCATCTGATAATCAGCAGGGAGCTAGTAAATGGTTTCATGCAGAATAATAAATATAGGTTTCTATTTTAGAAGGAATAATCCTGCAGCAATATGGAAGATGGAGGTATGGCTAAGGATGAATGAAAAAAAAAAAAGACTTCCTAAAGGAAAATCAAAGTAGTTTCAGCAGCAAATAAAAGGGTATGACTATGAATTGAGGGGGAAATATTGGATTTTAAAGTTTATAATTATATATATATATATATATATATAAAAATATATAATTATATATATATATAAATATATAATTATATATAGCTGCTTCTGTTATTTTTGCTTATATTTTGTTTATAACAAAAAAATTGTTATATTTGCTTCTGTAAGGGCAATGTGCAGCATCAAGACAAGGTGCAAAAGTGGAAAGGTTAGTGGATGTGTATAAACAGACCAAACATGAAGAGGAACCTTGATTTATAACAACCTCCTCTCAAAGTAACTAATCTAGTTTCTCAAGAATAAAATATGACTCCCATGTGATAGTATTAATCTATTCATGAGGGATTCACTGCCCTGACCCAAACAGCTCCCACTAGGTCCCATCTTCCAATATTGTTTCTTTGGCAATTAAATTTCAGCATTAGTTTTGGTGCAGACAAATCACATCCAATTCATAGTCCATGATATTAAAAGCTAAGGCCTTTGGGAGGTGATTAGGTTATGAGGGCAGAGTCCTCATGAATGGGACTTGTGTCCTTATAAAAGAGGCCTCAAATACGAAAAAAATTTCTTTGTCCTTTCTGTCATATGAGAACACAATCAGGTCTCTATCTATGAAAAAAACAACCTTCACCAAACAATGCGTCTGCTAGGACCTTGATCTTGGGCTTCCCAGCCTCAAGAACTGTGAGAAATCAATAGTAGTACGTCGTTTATGAGCCACTCAGTTTATGGTATTTTCTTATGGTAACACAAAGGAAGTAAGACAAAAGTAAATAAATTGCTGAAGCAAGATACCTAAGGAGTTTGTAGGGTATCCTATCTAGTAGAGATTAACTCTAAGCAGAAGAAGGAACACTTCTTTCTAAAAGAATAACAGAAGCTGCTACATATTGTCTTGTCCAAGCTCTTTCATAAATATTTCCATTTATTTTTGTATGACTTTTCTTACTGATATTTTAAATTAAATTTAGGATGATGGAATGTGGTGAAATTTTTAAATGTCTTAATTTTGAGAAACAAAGGTCCTGTGATAGATGTATTATTATAACAAGCCACGTAAGAAAAATCTGTAAGCAAATGAGTGGTTGACAACTATTTTTGAAAACTAAATAAATGATAAAACACAATAAAAATTCAATTTAGAAACTAACAAAATAAAACAAAACAGTTCAAGCACACTGTGGTTTCCCCTCACCAATTATCAGAATTTTTAGTAGACTTTGGATAGGTATAGGTCTTTCTTCTAACAGTACAAACACTTTGATTCCAAGGACAAATACTTTATGGATAAATATTAACATTATGTGAGTATTATTTTATAATATAGGAAATAGCAACTTCAGAATAGTTGTTTGACTTGCTGAATATCAGAAGATATCCAAATTATTTTTAATACAATCTGAGCTCTTCGTGTTTTCCATTATGCGGGTCAACTAGTTGAGGATAATAACCTCAATAAGATTTCAATTATACTTCTTAAAAGTACTGAGGTTTACTAACTAGCATTCATGTGTCAAAGATTTGGGTGATTTGTCAGTGTCGGTGTGGTTACCATTGATAAAATCAATACTTAGAACACTTGCACTTTTAGAGCAGCAGTTCACAAAGTGTGGTCCTTAGAATGCCATATTTTTAGAAGTGCAGATTCTCAGGTCTACCCAAGATCTACTGGACTAGAAACTCAGGAATCTGTTTTAACAAGCCTTCCAGGTGATTCTGTGCTTCTTATATTTTGAGAACCACTATTTTTAAGGCTAGAACTTACCTACAATAAATAGTAAAAGGACCAACTGATGAAAAACAGATATTCCAAATTTATATTACTTTCATTTAAATATTAAACAATTTTCATTTTTTTGAATTGTAAAGCACATCTTATATTTTTGTATGCTTTGTCGAAGATCAGTTGGTTGTAAGTATTTGGCTTTATTTCTGGGTTCTCTATTATGTTCCATTGGTTTACTTTCCTATTTTTATACCAGTACCATGCTGTTTTGGTTACTATGGCCTTGTAGCACAATTGGTAATGTGATGCCTCTAAATTTGTTCTTTTTGCTTAGTATTGCTTTGGCTATTCATGCTCATTTTTTGTTCCATATGAATTTTAGGAGGTTTTTGGTTTTTTATTTTTTGGTTCTGTGAAGAAAGATGATGGTATTCTGTTCAGAATTGCATTGAATCTGTAGATTGCTTTGGACAGTATGGTCATTTTCACAATATCAGTTCTTTCCATCCATGATCTTGGGATGTGTTTCCATTTGTTTGTATTATCTGTGATATCTTTCAGCAGTTTTTTTTTGTTTGTTTTTTTTTTGGTAATTTTTCTTGTAGAGATCTTTCACACCCTTGGTTAAGTATATGTCTAAGTATCTTTTCTTTTGCAGCAAAGAAACATATATTGGGGAAAGGATACTGTATTCAGTAAATTGTGCTGGAAAAAGTGGTAAGCCACATGTAGAAGAATGAAACTGGATCCCCAGCTCTCACCTAATACAAAAATCGACTCAAGATGCATCAAAGACTTAAATATAAAACCTGAAACCTTGAAAATTCTAGAAGATAACACCAGAAAAACTCTTCTAAATGTTGGCTTACGCAAAGAATTCATGACTAAGACACCAAAAGAAAATGCAACAAAAACAAAAATAAATAAATGGGACTCAATTAAACTGAAAAGATTTTGCACACCAAATAAATAATCAGAAGAATAAACAGAAAACCCACAGAATGGAAGAAAATATTCACCAACTATGCATCTGACAAAGGACTAGTATCCAGAATTTACAAGGAACTCAAACAAATAAATGAATTCAAATATCCCATTAAAAAGTGTGCAAAGGACATGAATAGACAATTGTCAAAAGAAGATATACAAACAGCCAATAAACATAAAAAAAAATACAGCATCGCTAGTCACCAGGGAAATGCAAATTAAAACCACAGTGAGATTCCACCTTACTCCCGCAAGAATGTCCACAATTAAAAAGTCAGAAAACAATAGATGTTGGCATGGATTTGGTGAAAATCACATCAGTGAATACAGATTTGGGAAGAAATGTGCATAACTGGTTTCAGCTAGCCAACACGCTGGTCCCAGTATACCACTGGCTACGGCATTCTAAAAGTGTCCTCATATGTATCTATTAAATATTCAAGAACTTTGACCAATATATTCTCTGCCAAATGCTCTCAAGAAATCTTGGTGGAGATGGTGTCGGGGTAAGGTGGGGGTTTTTCCGAAATGGAATCATGTTAATGTGGACTTAATGTTAAAATATGAATTTTCAAAAAAATTTGCTTTACTTTCAGTAGGCTAAATACCTACATAGTAAAATTTAAAAAAATCTGTAATTCTCTCTTAATTTATTCATTATACTATTATATGTGGTAGGCATTTTTTTCCTGGCTCTCATATCATTTGTGTTTGTTTTATACTAATGAAATACAGAAAAACTCTGTAGTATATAGAGCCCAATGGAACTTTTAAGAGTGAGAATTTTAATTTGTATATTATGGAAAAGTCATCTCAGAAATATTAGTTTATAAATATGCAGATACAATTTCTAGAATGTCAAAAAATAATCCTTTCACCTGAGTTGTCTTAAGTAAATAACTTTTAGGATTTTTAATTGGATTATTTATGTAATCATTATAAAGGAGATCTGAGGTAAATTGCTTAAGCATTTTCTTTAGCTTTTTGCAAGACTAAAAATGGAGAATAAATATTTGCTCAAATATCGAGTCAAACTAATTTTGAAGAGAAATCTCTAAATACTTTATTAAATGACCAAAATATAAGAAAATGTTTAAAAAGACTGCAAATAGAAACACATCAGTTTAAAGCACACAAAGAGATAAGTGGAAAAAGTATTTTCTCAGAACATGCTAAAAAAAACTTAGAATATCCAGGATACTGCATTTATTCATCCTTACAACATGAATTTTAAATATCTTAGCGACTGTGCTATCATTTTCAGTGTTCTGTATGAATTCTTACCTTCTCAGAAGATTATGTAGATATAACAGATACTTCTGGAATATATATCCATGATAAGATTTGTCTTTTTACAGGAGAAAAGAAAATATATCAAGTCCAACAGAACTTAAGAAAATACAATTTAATTAACTTTATATGATATAGGCCTTGTTAATATTATATATCAAAAAAGAATTCTAGTTTATATTCTTTTGTCTGTAAGATGGGGGAGCTGTTGCATTATAAAAAATACTGGTCAGTTCCATTCCTCTAAGCATTTTCTTTTGATTAAAATCATTTGTAGTAAAAATGATGACCCAAACCTTTGTAAATGATATTTTAGCTGGGTTATAATCTAATGAAATTGTGATTTTAAAAGTGCTTCAATTACTACAACTATAAAATCTTGGTTTACTAGGAATATGTATAAGGTGAAGTATCCATTATTTCTTTAACATCAGTATATATTGTTTAACATTCTGCTTTTGGGCTAAGACTTCCTAGGCTTTACAGAAGAGAAGTTGTTTATCTGAACAGTGTAAAAATATGTGTGTGTGTGTGTGTGTGTGTGTGTGTGTATGTGTATAAAAATATATGTTCTGTTGTTATTTAGTTATGTCTTCCCTGAAAACACTGATAGATCCAACAAGTCTCTTGATTCCTCTTAAAGATAAGCAAGAAGAAGAATAAAGTATGTCACACTTAAACTTGAGTAAATCCAAGTTGGAAAAACAGAAGCAGATTTTTTTTTAATCCTACAGGATGAATGTTGAGAGAGACAAAAATATTAACACCACATAAATTATAACCTAGAGAAATTCTAAACCAGGTTGAAAACCTACGCATAAGCAGTCAATAATTATCTTACACTTATGCAATACAATTTTTTATTACAGAAAGAACTTTAGTAATTACCTCATGCTGTATATATGGGAAAGGAGATAAGGAAGAAAAACTCTTTATAGTATGCAATTAGTTATCTCCTGCCTTATCTTGGTATTTGTAGAAACACTTGGAAGTAGGAAAAGTGAACATTTGTATCCCTGTTCTATAGTTTAAAAAATTGACACACATAAGTTATTTTTAATTTATCCAGTTAATCACCAGTAATCATGATGCTTTATGAATGACAATTCTTTTATATTTATTCAAAAATATGGGGAAAATAAATGACATCTGCCTATATAACTTAAAATTCTTGAAGAAAATGTGTATAGGAATAACTTGGTATGAAATGTTATAGAAATGTTAGTTCTTTGTCTCTTATAGTTACAGTAAGTGGCTAATCATCATGTCTACGTTTATGTATAATTTATTTACATTTTAAAATGTTCTAACCTTGAATACATAGGGAACAAATATCTGATGATAGGTGTTTGCAAGGCAGCATCAGTGATTTTTCTTGATATTTTATCTGAAATATCTGAGTATCTACTAGGAATCTAACATGGAAAGGTAATTACATATGATGTTGGAAGCAAATTTGTATACACCCTATTTATGGCCAAGCAAAACAGTGTAATGTGTCTGAGCATGTATGTGTTCCTTTCACCAGTTTTCTTGTGGTAGAATTTATAAAACTGCATATATTCACAATGTACAATGTGATGGTTTGACGTATATATACATTGTGAAATAATTACCACAATCAAGTCAATGAACACATTCATCACCTCAGCGTTTTCTAAAATTACATTTATCAAACTGTATTTGAAAGTAAATGTGTTTTCTCATTGTTAACCACGACTTTAAAACTTTATTACAGATTAATGTTAAGAAAGCTACTGAAATTAATTTTAGTAATAAAACATCTGAATATACACCATGAAATGTATAAATGTATGTGCTGATTTTAGGAGTACAACTAAATAAGTAATGCAAACTTACTTGCAGGATCATCACTTTAACTCTGTCTCTCTCTCTCTCTCTCTCTTTATATATATGTCTCTCTCATATATATGATATATCTTATACATCTAACTATATATATGTAGAGGAAGAAAGAGACACTATAGAGTAATACAACCTTTCCATTAACTGCATATAAAGTCAGCCTTATAATAATGCCCCTGGATTATCTGACCCTTTAATAAAATGTTATACATATTTAGAGACTTGGATTGTGCCTGTTTTTACTAACAGTTGTTATTTAAAATATTATTAGTAAGTTAATTCATATAAACCATGCAGAGAAGCTGTATAACTGTGCATATAAATAGTGAAGAGAAACTGATCTGGCATTCAGGGATGTTGAGATTATTCCAACTCCGCTGCCAATTGGCTGTGTGTCTTTGGAGAGGTCACATAATATCTCCGAGCTATAGTTTCCTTATCAGTAACATAGACTAGATGATTTTTAAAATTTCACTCAGCACATAATTTGATCTCTAACTTAAAAGAGCTGGAATAAAAATCACCACTAAAAATTATTAGCGTTACTATGGTTGTACTTTGTTTTTATACATTACAGGCATTAAAAACTACCTAGAGTTAATTAGTATTCGACAAAATTATTTCTTACAAATCTTACGCTATTCTGTAACGCATGGGTCTAATATGTATTTAATGTAGCTTTCGTACAACTGCAAAAACTTCAAAGCATATCTGAACTTGTGGGTTTTGTAAGACTTGAACGCTATAAATGAAAGTAATGGAAATTTTATTATATTCTATTATCGATTGTGTGATTAGAGTTGTTGAGTGGTAACTCAGTGTCTCATGTGTGTGAAAGAGAGAGAAATGATGACAGTTGTAAAAGCCTAAGATACACAAGACAGAATAGTGGTTAGGATCATAAGCTTGGAAATTAGAACCGATATTTTACTTCCAGTGTCTGCCACATCTCAGTGGTATGACTTTGGGAAAGTAGTTTAATTTCTCTGAGTTACTTCATCTGTAGTATGCAGATTACAATAGCCACCGCACAGTGGGTATAAAGATGAGTAAGGTTATATTTTTGAACACGTAGAAGAGTATCTGACATACAATAAGTGTGTACCGTTAAAGTATACTTAAACAAAATTTAATATTAATAAAAGCTATATATAGGTATATGGTTTTCACTTTTTGTTGTTGTTGTTATTATTGTTTTTCTTCAGTGCTGGGAAAACTGGCTAGCCATATGTAGAAAGCTGAGACTGGATCCCTTCCTTACACCTTATACAAAAATTAATTCAAGATGGATTAAAGACTTAAACATTAGACCTAAAACCATAAAAACCCTAGAAGAAACCTAGGCAATACCATTCAGGACATAGGCATGGGCAAGGACTTCATGTCTAAAACACCAAAAGCAATGGCAACAAAAGCCAAAACTGACAAATGGGATCTAATTAAAGTAAAGAGCTTCTGCACAGCAAAAGAAACTACCATCAGAGTGAACAGGCAACCTACAGAATGGGAGAACATTTTTGCAATCTATTCATCTGACAAAGGGCTAATATCCAGAATCTACAATTAACTCAAACAAATTTACAAGAAAAAATCAAACAACCCCATCAAAAAGTGGGCAAAGGATATGAACAGACACTTCTCAAAAGAAGACATTTATGCAGTCAACAGACATATGAAAAAACGCACATCATCACTGGCCATCAGAGAAATGCAAATCAAAACCACAATGAGATACCATCTCACACCAGTTAGAATGGTGATCATTAAAAAGTCAGGAAACAACAGGTGCTGGAGAGGATGTGGAGAAATAGGAACACTTTTACACTGTTGGTGGGACTGTAAACTAGTTCAACCATTGTGGAAGTCAGTGTGGTGATTCCTCAGGGATCTAGAACTAGAAATACTATTTGACCCAGCCATCCCATTACTGGGTATATACTAAAAGGATTATAAAACATGCTGCTATAAAGACACATGCACATGTATGTTTATTGTGGCACATATACACAAATGTCCAACAATGTCCAACAAATGATAGACTGGTTTAAGAAAATGTGGCACATGTACACCATGTAATACTATGCAGCCATAAAATGGATGAGTTCATGTCCTTTGTAGGGACATGGATGAAGCTGGAAACCACCATTCTCAGCAAACTATCGCAAGGACAAAAAACCAAACACTGCATGTTCTCACTCATAGGTGGGAATTGAACAATGAGAACACATGGACACAGGAAGGGGAACATCACACACAGGTGCCTGTTGTGGAGTTGGGGGAGGGGGTAGGGATAGAATTAGGAGATATACGTAAGGTTAAATGACGAGTTAATGGGTGCAGCACACCAACATGGCACATGTATACATATGTAGCTAACCTGCAAGTTATGCACATGTACCCTAAAACTTAAAGTATAATTAAAATAAAAGAAAATCTGCAAATATTTAAAATAAAAAAAGAAAAAGTATAAATTCATCCTAAATTTATAAATTATTGCTTTAGTCCTGAAGGTCTCTCTCCCAACCATAAATATTATTTTATTATATATCTGAATGAACAATAATTTTCATATTTTCATTCTTTCATAAAAATATAAAAAACAATACTAATATTTTGTTTGAATGTCTTTAATAAAACATTGCCTTTTGTTTATTTAGATTACACTGCATTTTGTTGAATCACTAAGGAAACAACTTAAAAAATTCAGACTTAAGCCTCTAACAGCCACAAGAATGTGTTTAAATTAACCAGCCACCAGATATGTTTGACAAACGTCTACTTCCAAACCTCATCCGAAGTTACTATATTATGGCGAATAGAACTTTAATCATTAGAGAAACTCTGACATCCACTAAATTAAATTATTCTAAGCAAATATCTATATATTCACTAGTATAAAGACATAGTATCTTTCCTAGTATACAAAAGATAGACACGTGTTGCTACATATATGTCTATCTTTTGTATACTAGGAAAGACACTAGCCATCTTTCATCCTAAATAAATTTCTTTCATTGATAATTGTTTCATGGCTAACAATATCATATAGGTTAACATTGCAGGCTTTGTTTGTCATTAGATAGTTTGAGTTCAAATTCTGCAGCAGGTTATTTAATCCCTGTCTATCTCAGGTTCTTCTACTATAAGAAACAGTAATAATAAAACCTATTTAACAGGTCAGTGTGAATATTAAATAAGCTGACACAGGCAAAGGGCCTAGAATAGTGTTTGGTGCATACTAAGTGTTCAATTAACATTAGCTATTATTTTTTGAAGGAAAATAACATAAGAGATAACTTGGATATATATAGTTCAAGAATAAGCATAGATGTTAAAGTTAGCAATTATTGAGCGTATGAGTATATGTATATTATATTTTTAAATCCTTAAAATGAATTATGTAAATTCCTTAACTTTTTAAAAATTTAATCCAAGTGCTTTCATTTGACAAGGGCTGTCCCCCCTTACTATTTTATAGGTAATGGGATTGATAATGAATAGGTAACTGTGTGGCATGGCTCTCTGGATATAATATAGTTTTCTTAGAGGCAGAATTGCAATGAGGATATATCATTTCTGGAATCTTATTAGATAAGACCGCTTAAAAGTTGAAAAATATCAGAAAAATATCCGGCATGTGCATTATTAACTCCTCAACATGAAAAGCCTAAAATGAGACTTCAGAGAGTAAGATAAGAAAATATATAGAAGAAAATATCTCTCAAAATGAAGAAGTAAATTAAGCAAGTTTTTTTCCTATAACCTACTAAATCTACCTTGAAAATAGAAAAAGAAAAAACACACACCTACATACAGAGAGAGAGATTTGAAGGGAAGAGCAATTAGCTCAAAGCCACTAGAAAAAAAGCTCTTTGTTTGTTTGTTTTCAAAGCAATCAAATCAGGTTCTGAAATCACTTTTTCATTTTTCTCCTTCTTAGTGAAAACAAACATCACATAAATCCCCATGTGAAGGGAATACTGAGAGAATAACTTCTCCAAACAAATTTGCATATGCCCACAAACCAAAAGCATTTCTATGGGGCATTTTATTTTAAATTTTTAAATTTAAATTTAATTTTTTCATCATTTGCTTATTAATATACTTTTAAGACTTTGTGGTTAAAAAATTCTTTAAACTGTTTTTAGATAATAAAACTCATTTATTTAGGGAAATGACAAGTAATATCATGTATACTACTGGTAGCTCTTTAAATCACAAGAATATGCAGACATATATGCAATTTAATTTTAACTTTCACTGCTTGATTACAAAATCATAAGCAATTATTTAAAAATATTTTATATGGTAACATACATGAGCACATGCCATGAATCCATATACATCTTTAGTCATATGTAACATAAAATACCAGTTTCTATGTGTATAAAGACAGAATTCATTTTATGCAGAAAACATGTTTAAAAATTTTCCACTTGATACTTCAAATACCAACCTGAGTCCAAAAATGTTAAATTAAAATAAATAAGTGTGTACAAATACATGTGAACATTTTTTAAAAGACTAAAAATGTTTATTAGTCCATTTTCACACTGCTATAAAGAAATACCTGAGACTGGGTAATTTATCAAGATAAGAGGTTTAATTGAACTAAAGTTCCACATAGCTGGAAACTTACAATCATGGCAGAAAGGGAAGCAGGCCATCTTACACGGTGGAGGCAAGATAGAGAGTGTGAAGAAGGAATTGTCAAACACTTACAATCATGAGAACAGCGTGGGGGGAACCGCCCCCGTAATCCAATCGCCCCCCCACCTTGTCCCTCCATCCACACATGACATTTACAATTTGATATTCGATTTTGGGTGGGGACACAGAGGCAAACCATATCAAATGGTAAACACCAACATAGTAAAGTGATTATTTCAGTGTTGTTATTATGGTTGATTTTTAAATCAATTATTGCTGATCTAATTGTTAAAACTGCCTCATGTTTATATTTTATATTAATGCTTTAAGTGTTTCCTGTACTACATGATTTTGTGTCATTTTCTTAATGATTATCCTGGTAGTTACAATTTACATATTAATTGAAAATCTAGATCAGATTAATACTGAATTAATTTGGATGACATATTTAAAAAGTTGTTACAATACAGCTCCATTTCTCCTCCTTTGTATAATTATTCTCATACAAATTACATGTCTATGCATTATGAGCCCATCAACAATATTTTTAAAATATTGCTTTACACAATTGTGCTTTAAATCAAACAGTACCATAAAACAATCGCAAATAAAAACTACATTTATACTGTCTATTTACCTATATAGTTAGATTTACCAGTGTAATTTCTTTTTATTTTATTTTTTTGGATTCAAGTTAATATTTGGTTTTCTCAAGCTTAAAAAACTTCTTCCTGGGGTTCATCTGTTAATGACACATTCTCTTTTTATCTTGGAATGTCTTAATTTGTCCTTGATTTTTGAAGAATAGTTTTGCAGAAGATAGAATGTTTGGGCTGGCAATCTCTTCTTTCAGCATTTTGAATATGTCCTTCCACTGACTTCTGGCCTTTGTTGTTTCTGATGTCAATATTATTGAGTATATATGTGAAGTCATTTTTTAAGCTACTTTCAAAGGTCTCTCTTTGTACTTGCCTTTCAAAGCTTTGATTATGATATGTTTACATGTGGATATCTGAATTTATCCAGCTTAGAGTTCTTTAATCTTCTTAGATGTACAGATTAATTAAATTTGAGGAGTTTTTAGCTGTTACGTATTCAAATATTTCTTCCTTCTCTTCTTTCCTTTAAAATCTCCCATTATATATTAGTGTAATTTATGTTGTCAAACAGATCTCTAAAGCTCTGTTTATTTTTCTTCATACCATTTTTTCGTTGCCTTAAAATGGATAATCTCAATTAAACTATTTTTGAAACTGTGAATTCTTTCTTCTGCTTGCTAAAATATGCCATTGATCCTCTCTAATTAATTTTAAAACCCCATTGTACTTTCAACTCCAGAATTTTTATTTAGCCATTTTTAAAATTTTTATCTCTTTATTTCTATCTTCTATTTGGTAAGAAATTTATCTCATATTTTCCTTTAGTTCTTTAAACACGGTTTCCTTTGGTTCCATGAATATGTTTTAAATGATTAATTTAAAGTCTTCACTAAGGTCAACATCTAGGCTTTCTTGGAAGTGGCATCTATTGGCTGCTTTTATTCCCGTTTATGGCTCATATTATCTTATTCTTTTGCATATCTCATAGCTTTTTTTAGCTGGACATTTTAAATTATATGATGTTTCAACTCGGAAAGTCAGATCACCTCCCTTCTTACCCTGGAGATTGTTAATTGTTACTGTTTGCTTGTTTAGTTACTTTTCTGGACAAATTCTGTAGATTATGATTTTTTTCTTGCATTTGTTAGCGAAGTCTCTGCTTGCTTCAGTTAGTGGTCAGCTAATGATTGAACAGGAGATTTCCTTCAATACCTTGAACTAAAGAATTTGCCAGACATTGCTTACGAGTGCTGTGGTTGTATTGGAAACACATCTTCAATTCTGTAGAAGGCAGTTGACAACTCTGACTTAGTGTTCACTTTCTGCTTCTGCAGACCCTCAAGGTCAACTAAGTGGCAGGGATAAGCACCTTCTCACGTCTTTCACTAGTATGTGCACAGCCTTGAACAAGTATGTGGCTTTTCAATCCCAGATATATTAATCCATTTTCACACTGCTATAAATAACTAACTGAGACTGGGTAATTTATAAATAAAAGAGGTTTAACTGACTTGCAGTTCCTCATGGCTGGGGAACATACAATTGGGAAACATACAATCATGGTGAAAGGTGAAGGGGAAGCAGGACATATTTTGCATGGTGGCAGGAGATAGAGAAAGGGAGGGGTGAAATGCCACACTTTTAAACCATCAGATCTCATGAGAATTCACTTATTATCACCAGAAGAACACAGGGAAAATCTGTCCGCATGATCCAATCACCTCCTACCAGGTCTCTTTCCTGACATGTGGGGATTACAATTTGGCATGAGATTTAGGTGGGAACACAGAGCCAAACCATATCACCAGGACTTTGTTAGAGCTTTGAAAGCCCCCTGTGGACATGTTATTCCACATTATTTTCTTTTACATTTTTCGATCAGCCTCTTATTATCTCCAACTGGTAATCCTACCCAAGCAGCTATGATGACAAACAAGTGCCACTAATTGTTCTTGACAAATATCTTGAGGATAGGACTATTCGTGCAGAGGAATCCCTCTGTTAGATCAAATGTAGTCAAGCCCTGAGAATAAAGCTTTTTAGTGAGCTGCCAGATAAGTCAAATAATAACTATAATCTGGAATTTTGGAGTGCTCCAATCTCATTTTGTTCCCTCCAAGTTTCCAAATGGTGGTTTTACATACATTTTTTAGTTTCTTTGGCTGTTAGTTTTCAAGGCTACTACAGAATTGGGGAGGAAGAAGATTGGAATAAGGCATAAAACACATAGCTCACTCTTCTTGTTGAGAGTAAGCTATAAAAAAAAAAAAAAGCTCTCTATATTGTTGCAAGTCTTTAGTTAATTTCCAGAGTTCCTTAAAGGTTGATTCCAAAATCTGTGAATTTTGACAGTTTTTGCATTTGTTCTCATTGTTTGTATGGAGTAGATTTTTGGATATTATTATTTTACTTTTCAGAAGAGGCTCTCTCAGGAACTAGAATTGTGGCTTGTATAACTTTCCTCCATAACTAGTGTTCATTTGGATGACTTGCTATGTCCAAACAATTCAATGACAACCGTCTGCCTACTTATCTAGATATATCTCTGAAAAATCACCTTTTCCTAGATTTCACATCAAGCAGACTACACTAGAGCAGTCATTCCAGGTTCAAAGTCATGAGAGTAACAATTTGTATGTGAGCAACATTATTCCCACTTCTTTGATTTTTAAGTCACATTTTAGGGGTGTGTAATTCTACATCGGTTCTCCCTCTTACTCCAAAACTGTGCTCTCATACAGCATTCCCTAAGATATCTTGACAAAGGAGCAAAATATTGGAGCATGAATCGCAGAATACCCAGCATGATATGCTGGCCATCCAGATGGGCATTGCTGTAGTCTCACTCAGGTAGGGCCCTGAGAGGCATGCAGGAAAGAATTCTTCCAGTGGGCAGAACATCAAGTAGTGCATCCTGTTGTCTACATTGCTTATAATTAGAGCTGGCTTAAAATTAAAATCCATATTGCTTTCTGAGAATACATGGAAGTTGGGTAGCATAGGATTGGAAATACAACAGGAGAAATTATGAGGAGATTGATGGAAGAGATATGCAGATGGACCACTAGTAATGGACATAACACCCACAATTTAATAATATTTGTATGTTATATAAATATTCCCACCCATATGTCCCCAAAATAAGTAAAGTAAAAAAAAAAATTGCCCACTCAGTGCTTTCTAATAAAGCCATAAAAATACCATCCTAAAACTGGAGGCTATTCTTGGACTCAATATCAACATTTTCTCACAACAAGGCTAATTTGGCTAATGTCTCAGCTAAGTGCCTGAGTTTCTAACAGAAGCAGCCAATATTGAGCCACCAAATGGTATGCTGCCTCGAAACGACATGCACTGCCAGCTACAGGTGAAAGTTTGACTACCTTAGACCCACTTACCTGAGCTAGTCTTTTGTTCTCATGTGTAAATAAAAAGAGTATAAATTTAAATTATTTTCTTTTTTCATCATATTTCAGCTAGAATCATCTTTTGAATTTCTGACTGCCTTATAGAATGTCATGATATTTCACAAAATATTACTCTCTAAAATTAACTCATTCTACAGTAAACAAAGTGAAATGATTGACAAATGTTCAGATAATTCACTGTTCCTATAAGGTTCTCCATCAGCCAGAAGTCACTAGACATAAGGGAAACTGGAAGGCTTATTATGGCAACAGTTAAGAGACAGTAACTTGTCAATATTGGGGTACCCTCTAGCAGTGTGTGGTACGTGCTTCAAGCCGGTGAGCAATATAAAATATTTTCATTCCCCATAGAATACGTAGGTTTGAAAATAAAAGGTAGAAATAGAGGTGGTATCTCTCACTCATATATATCATGACCTGTTGGCAAACAAAACAAAACAAAACAAAAAAACTGCTTTTCATTTACTTGGGAGTTAGTTGGTTTAGAGATTGTAAGGTCCAAGGAAAAATGCTCCTATCAGCCCCTGTATCTTAAGTAAATAGACACAATAGGAGTGTAATGTGTTGACTGAGGTTATGGTGTTTACTATCGAGAAAATAACATGATGCCAGAGAAAAGGGGAAGGGAAGACTATGAATAGAATCTAGGGCATCCTCTGAGGTTTCTCATTTATGTGATCATCAGTGCTAAATATTAGAGGAAGAATGTAAATGGGCCAACTAAAGATTCAGATTTCTTAGGAATAAAGCCTTCACTCATCTAGTCTCCATCCCAAGTGGATAATCAGAAAAATGTGAGCTGAAGTGTTGGATGAAGGAAGGGAATTTTGAGTAGCTGGTAAAGAAAGAAAGGAATATATATATATATATATATATATATATATATATATTTTTTTTTTTTTTTTTTTTTTTTTGAGATGAAGTCTCGCTCTGTCACCCAGGCTGGAGTGCAGTGGCGCAATCTCGGCTCAATGCAACCTTTGCCTCCCAGGTTCAAGCGATTCTCCTGCCTCAGCCTCCCGAGTAGCTGGGACTACAGGCACGTGCCACCACGCCCAGCTAATTTTTATATTTTTAGTAGAGACGGGGTTTCACCATGTTGGCCAAAGGTCTCTATCTTTTGACCTCGTGATCCGCCCTCCTCGGCCTCCCAAAGTGCTGGGATAACAGGCATGAGCCACCATGCCCTGCCAAGAAAGGAACATTTATTCACACTCTTCATGGTCTTGTATTCGTTGCAGATGCACTGACCCTATCTGCTATGTTTACTTGATTTCCTGTAATTAAATTTCAAATTTTAACTAATTTTTCTTTTTTTATTCCATTCTTCCATCATTCTATTTGTAGAAGTTTTCTTTATAATTTATGTAACAATATCCACAATGCTAAACAAAATATAGTACACTGCTCTTTTTTACTGAAGTAAAAAAGTTGGTAAACTTTCTAAGATTTCTCTGTTTTTTAAGGGAACAGAGACTTGTTTTAATTTTGCTTACAACTTTGTAGCCTAAACTTTAGTAAAGTGATAATGGGCCAAGTACTAGTTATATTACTGAAAAAAAAATATGTTATGCCTAAAGTAAAAATGATTAATTAGTCTTCTTTTTTAAAAAAATTCCCAATTGTAATGATTGTGTATGTATGTGTAGGAATTCATGTATTGGGAGAGTATTACATATCTGCGGTATTAATAATGTACAAAATTCATTTGCTGGTATTTAAAGTCAAGAATTCAACACTTTTTCATAATTAATGGTATGAAGTTACTGTGAGGCTTTTTCAGATATTAAAGTTCACATATACTGACAATCTATTGCTAATTACCTGGTCTAGAGAAAAGCAATTTATCTTGGAAGTTAGAATATTATAGCCAGCAGAAATCTCTTCAGCTGTTACATATGTACACAAGTTAGTGTTATCAGCAGAGTATAGGTGTATATAAATGGAAAACTTTCACATTTAACCTATTGCCAACTATATATCATCATCTTAATTAGCTTCATTCCTTTCTCCTCCATCTCTTCTTGATATTCACATTTTATATATTTACTATTAAAACTTCTACCAGGGTGTTTTTGGAGAAAGTTGTGGGAGAGATTTACTTTCTTTTAAATAACACGTCAGTACATAGACAATAAAATTTGAATTTTGAAGTTTATTTGTGACTGCTGTTTCTTTCCACCATATGTTCTAAGAAGACTTGGATATATTAATGTGCACATAGGAGATCTCACTTAAAGCAGTATTTTAAAATCTAATAGATTTGAAAATTTAAATACTAACCTGTGGATTATTAAAAACTATACAGATATTTTGATGCTTCTCAACATTACACAGGAATCTACAAGGGTGGTGGAATTTGGGCATTTATATCTATAAATTTCATGGACTCCTGTTATAACTATTCCTAGTAAATGATTCCTAATTAAAATGTCCACAAAACTGACACTCATATTCATTCAGGTTAGGAAATGATTTTTTAATATACTTCCAAAAGTAATTTGAGCATGCATGTGAAAAGTCTACTCACTTTCTTATATGAATTTATATAAGAAGAGATGCAAACAGAAACTCATATAGCGTTTAAGGAAACAATTTGTAAGTGTGGATTTTCATAAAGAGCAAGTCTTTGGCATGTATAGAAAATTCAGCTATATCAAGTATATTTTGAGAGATGATGCATGAACTGACCCTGTTATAGTATCTTACCTTCTCACATTGCTTACTCCCTTAGTCTCAGCTGAGAGGATAATGATTTTTAAACTACAAAAACTTTAGTTTATAATTATGTTTCAGATTATATAATAATGCACCTGGATTGAACCCACATGAAGAAGGGGAGAAAGAGTAAAAAAAGCTGAAGCAAATGTGCTGTTGGCAAGGGCACTGTGGATACTGCTTTGACAGCAGCGGGTTCCTGAAACTGGGAGATAAAGTACTAATTTGGGGGCAGTTGACGTGCACTAAGCATTCAGCCAAAGGAATTATTCTCAGATTGAAGTAGAAGAATTGATATAATGACAAGCATTCTATAGGAACTTAAACAGTAATTGAACTGAGCAATCCCTCTCTTTACATTCACTCATTATACACATACATTGAAATTATATGAAAACATTCAGAATTTATCATTTGGCATCTGAAAGCAGAGGTGGCAAACTCATCCATAGAAAGAGGCAAGTTCTATAGCTTTTTGGCAGCCTCATATTCTCAAGCAGTAACATTCTTTCTTCCTTTTTTACAAAACTTACGCCTTCCCTAGGACTTATATTACCTGGAGAGTAACTTATTATAGGCACCAGTGCATTTCTGTGTTGAAAAACATGTAAAAGTATTCATATGGTCTAAGACAGCAATGCCCTTACCTGGCACTATTTTGTGGCCATATGGGAGCTTTCTAAAAACCTCTTTCTATTTCCTTGTTGTTTCCTTTCATGGATTTTGTGGATTAATTTCCTTTTTTCTTTTGGATGCTCAAAAACATAACAACTTTAGATCCTAATGACTAAAATAGGTAGCATTTTATTACAATTATCTTGAAAATACTATGATAAATGTGTACTCTTAACAACAATCTATTTTTTTGTTAGCAATCATAAATTTTCAGATATTTAATTTCTGCTACTTCAAAATCTTTCAAATATTCAAACTGTCTGCTATCTGTAGCACAGACAGATAAGGATCAGTCGTAGTTTCTACAACTTTCAGTTGTAGTAGTACAAACTAGAAACATTCATTTAGTAAACTAATATTTATTAAGTACATAGTATATGGCAAAGATGTGGCACAATTGTGAAGTCCTATCGGATAGCCTGAAAGGCATAGGAAGAATATCAAACAAGGTAGGAAAGTGCTTGGAGGCAAGATGGCATGAAACAGTTTTGGACTAAGACATGTCTTAATTATTTCTCAGTATATATTCAGTTACTAAAAAAATAAAATAAGATAGGCTTGTAACTAAAGAAATAATATGTTTGTTGATATATAGCAATGGAGAGAAGGGGATTTTTCTTTTAGTCTGAGGCCAAATACCAATATTGTAATACAACACTTAGGTGATTCATCTTCACTTTATTTCCCTTGGAAAATACTACTGCATGTCTTCATATTGTCGACCTACTTTCTAAGCACCAAATTTGTCTTAATAAAACTTAAGTTCTTACATAGATATTATTTTATAGTTTATCATCTAGAATCAATAGACTAATAATAACATAGTCAAGATATTACTATTTAATAAATCCATTAACTCTCATAAACATTCTGGTTTATAGGTATTAGAGGTTTTCTGAAAGTCATTTTTCCCCTAAATATGTTTTCATACTAGAAAGAATTACATAAATAGGGTTCTGGTTTTTTAAACAAAGGATAAATGCAGAGTATTGAGTGTATATACACACACACAATGTTAACTCAAGATTAACCTTTGTTGTTAAATGAACCAAATTTTATATCATCAGTTACATTTATTTCATTGTTATAAATAATATGACCATATTGTAATAAAGCAAAAGAATAAAAAAGTAATTCACACTTTCATTATACAATTCAGAATTATCCCTCTAGTCTTTGTCCGGAGCTTTAATTTTTTTTTTTTTTTTGAGGCAGAGTCTCACTCTGTCGCCCAGGCTGGAGTGCAGTGGTGTGATCTTGGCTCACTGCAGCCTCCACCTCCTGGGTTCAAGCAATTCTACTGCCTCAGCCTCCCAAGTAGCTGGGACTATAGGCATGCAACGCCAAGCCCGGCTAATTTTTGTATTTTTAGTAAAGATGAGTTTCAGCAGCTTTAATTAATTTTAAATGCTAAATACATCTATATTTAATGGCAAAGCCAATATACATATTATAAATAAGTTAGAAGGAAATTTGGAAATGTTCACATTTAGCCAGTTTGTTATACGGTAACTTTTATATCAATAATTGTCTAAAGATTTTATTTCCATTCATGATGAAAAGACACAATGCCACCATTAGAAAATTATAAACAATGTGTCCAAGTACTTTCAAGTGTCACGTTTTGTTTCTAAAATCCAGTCTGGATTCTGCATTGCCACTGGCAGGCAGCTTTAATGAAAATCATCTCCCAGGCAGCTGAAACTTCCACTTCAGTTTTAGTCACAGCAGCTCTCCTGATTAGCACCTGCAGGAGCTGCCACAAGGCTGAACCTAAATCTGCTCTCCAGAGTCACAGACATGCGTACCACACAGCCACTAGTTATCAAAATTCGTAAATGCAACGTGATAACCTTTCTGTTTGGCTTAAACATTTTGTATGCTCAGAATAGCCATAGATGTTCCCATAATACACATTGTTAGAACTTTGAGCATAAGGCTAGTAATTTGTTATTATGTGATTTTTGCCCACTAATGATATATGATGTACAAGAGCATGGAGAGCTAAAATAACAGCAGAAACCATAGCCACCTAAGGTTTCATTCTATTCTTTTGTATTTAATTGCATGTGTTTGAACTCTTGGTTTCCTGTATAACTCAACAGGTGCAGGATCTGCATAGTTTTCTCCAATTCTTATGTAGAAAAGGCACAGCATGCAGGTGAGGTTTTATTTAGAATAAATTTTACCATCAGAAAGTCTAATTGAACAGTCCTTATGCTGGGATAAATTGTTTTGAACATGCAGGGCTTTATTATGATACAGTTGTAAGTTTGGGCTTTGTTTATTCATTCTGACTTAATGTACTACGAAGTCTTATATTCTCACTAGTTATTCTGGACTCAAGGAAAAATTTTAATTCATGGATATGCAAACATGAGTATGTGTTTGTGTGTGTGTGTGTGTGTGTGTGTTTGTGTGCATGTGCTTTGGTACATTTATCCCATTAGATAGGGTCCTCAAGAGAGCTAAAATTGGAGACAAAGGCATACACAGAAGTGGTAATCAGACAAAGGATAACATAAGTTGAGCATTTTTAGGAGTCAAATGAAAAACAACATTAGGGTGTAGAGTGGGTAGGGAAGAGTTTGAGAAGTGGGAGGTTCTGTTTTATGAACAGAAAATCAAGTTGGAAGGCAAATATGAGCACAAGACCAAAGAAGCTATGGTAGGAATTTGCATGTTGATATGGTTTGTCTGTGTCCCTACCCAAATCTCATGTTGAATTGTAGTTCTCACAATCCCCATGTGTCCTGGGATGTACCTGGTGGGAGGTAATTGAATCATGGGGACAGTTACCCCCATGCTGTTCTTGTGATAGTGAGTGAACTCTCATGAGATCTAATGGTTTTATAAAGGGCTTTTCCCCCTTTTCTTGGCACTTCTCCTACCTGCCACCATGTGAAGAAGGAGGTGTTTGCTTCCCCTTCTGCCATGATTGTAACTTCCCTGAGGCCTTTCCAGCCCTGTGAGACTATGAATCAATTAAACTTTCCTTTATAAATTACCCAGTCTTGGGCAGTTCTTTATAGAAGCGTGAGAATGATCTAATATGCATGGTATCTCCACATCCTAGTAAATAGTTCCATATGAGTCTAAAATAATTGGAGGTTTTAAGAAAAGCTTTAGGTCCACTTCTCCCTATTTCCCTGCATCCCCAAAACACTTATGTTTGGGTGAGAGAGGGAGGAGATACTTGAGCTGGGCTACACAGCATTGGCAATTAATTTCAGAGAAAATCCTAGATCCTGTTTTTTTTCCAGGGTCTGGAATGGGTAGAAGTAAAATAATAATATAAGACGATCCTTATTGACTAACATATCTTTGTTGGGTACTCTTTTAAGAGAAAGCAGCAAAAATAAAAATAAAAATAAATTTTAGTGTGGCTTTTGGACATGAAAAATGAGGTAAAACTGAGTACCAATTGAGGACAGAGGATAATAAAGACATGCTTAGCATAGATACATGATTGATGAAGGGGAATAAGGGAAGACAGAGAAGGGAAAAGTGTATTAGAAGAATTGGAGGAGGGAGTACAAGAAGGGTGTGGTTGCATGAGTCCTCTCAGTAAAAGCATGGCTCAAGTCCACAGTGTGGGCACACAGTATGAAGTAGCCCTCAGAGCTTGAGCAGGAGGAGTGGAGTCTGTGTGGATTCCCCTGATCTAGACACCAATCACTGCCAGATTTATGGTCATTATATAACATGACCATTTAATTCAACGCGTGAATTAAATCAGATATAATAGGGTAAGGAATGGAATTGACATTGAGAGACTTGGAGAAGTATTTCAGATTCCGATCCATGTAAATAGATGAACAGATCCCAGGTACGAGGCTGCCTGCCCTCAAACCTTATTTGAGCAGTTATTCTATCATAGCTGATTAATATGGATGCCCCAGTGATGTTGGGCTGTTTGCGAGGAGCAAAGACTCTAGACAGAACTAACAAAGAGGCACTCAGAATAAAGCTAAGAGAGGTGCCTTTTCTTTATATTCAAGTTACAACATACACAAACATGAACACCAGGACTAATATCCTTTATGGAGTAACTTCACCCCTTTCTTAAGTTTCGCATCAGATATATTCATAGAGAACAGTGAGGGGATCACTTTTGTAAAATAGTATTTAAGCAAAAAAGTAGGATTCAGGACTGGGATTCAGCAACATGATTTCCAGGAAGATGGATTAAACAAAATGGCACCATCTCAGTAAATGCTCATGTGCTCAGGGTAAATGTACAAGTTTGTTATGTAGGTAAACTTGTGTCATGGGGGTTTGTTGTACGGATTATTTTGTCACCCAAGAACTAAACCTAGAAACCAATAGTCATTTTTTCTATTTCTTTCCCTCCTTTCACCCTCCAACCTAAGTGTCTGTTGTTCACGTCTTTGTGTCCATGAGTTCTCATCATTTCAGCTCCCACTTACAAGTGAGAACAAACAGTATTTGATTTTCTGTTCCTGCGTTACTTTGCCAAAGATAATAGCCTCCAGATCCATCCATGATCCCACAAAGACATGATCTTATTCTTTTTCGTGGCTATGTAGTATTCCATAGTATATATGAACCATATTTTCTTTATCCAATCTTTCATTGATGGGCTAATTCTGCGAAGAATGTTATGGTAGTTTGATAAAAAACAGTATTGAATCCATGCAACTCTTAATCCTTCTTCATTCCAGCAAACTCTCTGTTCATTTATTCATTGAGGCCTACGGCTAATGACAGCTTCAGATTTACACTCTAGTCCTTGTGATTTTCCCACACCCTTCCCATGCTCTGTAATTAGTTGTTTGCAAATAAGTTTTCCTCAGAAGATCCTAATGTGAGTGTGCCATCTGTTTGCTGCTAGTGTTATGAATAATACAATCTCTAAATTAAAAATAGCTTGTATAGTCACTGATTTTATTTGTCAAAGAAGATATATTCCAGAAATCATTTATTAACATATAAGAAATAGCATTCCAGAGACCCCTTAAATGATTCCTTGGTAGAATGAGGAATTATTTAAATAAATAAAATACAATATTTATGTTATTGAAATAAATTCTTGACTCACTTAAAATATTCCAAATAGTGTAGACTCATTTCCAGTGAAAAATATTTTATAAATATTGCATAGAAATATCATTGTTTTTGGCTATTGCCCTTCTAAGTCATTTATGTTTTTCAAGCATCACCTGTATCAGGATTAGGAAAACAAATGACTACTATAAAATGGTCAAGTTTGTGTTTAACATTCATTTACCTGCAGACAGGATCATATAGCAAAGGTTAAATCAATAAGCAAAAATATCAAAATGAGGGGCAGCTTGATCAAAAGAATGTCTCAGTAACAACGGATTATCACAAGGAATGGACTTTAGAGTCAAATAGGCTGGCCTAGAACCCAAGTTTGCTACTTAATACCTAGGTGAACTCAGACACATTACTTAACCTGTTCCATTGCTTATAAGAATGTAGATAATGGGACTATCATGCAGCATTGTTTGAATGATTAATTAAAAATGAAATGACTGATGGTACAATATATTACAAAGAGCATAGGCTTTGGAGTCAAAACATTCATGTCAACACTGGCTTTTCCACTTGGTAGCCATGTTATTTTTTTTTTTTTATTTTTTATTATACTTTAAGTTTTAGGGTACATGTGCACAACATGCAGGTTACATATGTATACATGTGCCATGTTGGTGTGCTGCACCCATTAACTTGTCATTTAACATTAGGTATATCTCCTAATGCTATCCCTCCCCTCTCTCCCCACCCCACAGCAGGCCCCGGTGTGTGATGTTCCCCTTCCTGTGTCCATGTGTTCTCATTGTTCAATTCCCACCTATGAGTGAGAACATGCGGCGTTTAGTTTTTTGTCCTTGCGATCGTTTGCTGAGAATGACGGTTTCCAGCTTTATCCATGTCCCTACAAAGGACATGAACTTATCATTTTTTATGGCTGCATAGTATTCCATGGTGTATATGTGCCACATTTTCTTAATCCAGTCTATCATTGTTGGACATTTGGGTTGTTCCAAGTCTTTGCTATTGTGAATAGTGCCGCAATAAACATACGTGTGCATGTGTCTTTATAGCAGCATGATTTACAATCCTTTGGGTATATACCCAGTAATGGGATTGCAGGGTCAAATGGTATTTCTAGTTCAAGATCCCTGAGGAATCACCACACTGACTTCCACAATGGTTGAACTAGTTTACATTAAAAAGTCAGGAAACAACAGGTGCTGGAGAGGATGTGGAGAAACAGGAACACTTTTACACTGTTGGTGGGACTGTAAACTAGTGTATGCCATGTTCTTTTAGTCACATTCGTTATTTAACTTCTCTAATCCTCATTTATCTATCTGTATAATTATATGGGAAAATAATACCTAATTTATATACTCATTGTAAGAATTTAAATGGACATAAATTGAAGAATGCTATTTGAATTCAGGCATCAAGGTGCCAGAATACAGGAAGCCTTCACAGCAAGGCCTTTCTTTTATGTTTCAAGAGGGCAGAGTCTCATATTGGTTAAGCATGTGACCTCTGATGTCAACCTGCCTATGATCAATTATTGTCTGTGTGACATGTTCCTAAGCAAGTTACTTAATCTCAGTTTCCCTGCTTGAAAACTGGATATAATGATAGTACAGAACTCTTAGAATTATCATAAAAAGTAAATGACACAATGTTTCCAAAGCATTTTATAGAGTAGCTGGCAAATTGAGTTAGTGCTCAATCAGTGTAATGTATGTATAAATAATAAAGATGGTATTCAGAAAATTAAACAAAAGAGGAGGAACACATAAATGTCTTGACTTTCAAGAATGTTATCATTTTGGTCTATCATCCTTCTAAGTAAAAAGGAATAGAGAATTGTATGTAATTATGTATAATTAACTGTGAATTTGGGGTCAGTAGAAATATATCTAGACATGATATTTGGAAAAATATAAAAAGACCAAAAAACCATTTTAGATCTAAAATTGTGTAATTACACATACACATTCACACAACCTCCTACTAAATTTAGATTGATTTGGCTTTAGATTGCATAAAGAAAAAAAAAATTTCAACCTCCCCCATGAGAAAACTTAATTTTACTTATTCTTGAGTTTTCATTTGAAAACACTATGATTCTTCATAGCTCTTATGAGAGACACAGAATGGTGCTAAACCTGATGTCTCTGAGGCCACCAGGAGCCATCTCCCTCTGCGTGAGAGTGAGATGATGTTCATCTCAGAATAAAGATAATGCAATTCTTAAGCTTCCATTTCTGTGTACATATTTTACTGTATAATTTTTAATTGAGAAGTTTTCACACTGTTATTAATTAGGAAATAAAACTATCTCTAAGCGTTCTGAAGTACAGAGACTCTTCACTTTGTCGATATTTACATATAGACCAGGGGAAAAGTAAACAGAGAATATAGTTTTCTTCTAGAGTTTTCCCTCATTTACTGTTTACCTCTTCCTTTTGTAGTTCCGTGACTATTTGCTCCTCAGCAATCTGAGAACCTGCTGTTCATTAGGCATCTCTTACAATTTCAGTCAAATTTCTTGTGGCCTCTTCAGTGTAGGGTCCCTCTTCAGTGTAGAGTCCCACATCTTTGTGCTTCTTGAGTCGTTTCGTAGCTTGTGTATCATGATTCCTTAAGAGTTTTAAGTTACCTGTTTTATATTTGCCAAAAGATATGGTTTAGATCCTTGCTGACTAGATTCCTAGGGCATAATTCTGGCTTTAATTGCAATTTCATGCAGTACATGGATGTAGATATTTGCTCTATATTGTACACACAGACCTCCTTCAAGGACTGAAAAATCTTAAGTCTCTAGGGGCAGTCTTGATTGTTGTAAGAGGGTGATGACCAGAGCTTGAATCAGTTGTATTATCAGAGAAAGAATGCTATAGCTTAAAGGAAAACATATATAATTGAGGTTTTTTTTTAATGATTTTATTGTTTAGGGTTTAGAAAGAGAATACTTGGCTGGGCACGGTGGCTCACACCTATAATCCCAGCACTTTGAGAGGCCAAGGTGGATGGATCACTTAAGGTCAGTAGTTCAAGACCAGCCTGGCCAACATAGTCAAACCCCATCTCTACTAAAAATACAAAAATTAGCCGGGCGTATTGGTGAGCCTGTAATCAATCCTAGCTACTTGGGAGGCTGAGGTGGAAGGATCGCTGGAACCCTGGAGGCAGAGGTTGCAGTGAGCTGAGATTGCGCCACTGCATTCCAGCCTGGGCAACAGAGCAAGACTCTGTCTAAAAAAAAAAAAAAAAAAAGAAAAAGAATACTTGATCATAATAGCACATAGAACATGTGTTTTATTAATTTATCAACTTTTAATTTGAGATTTAAAAATTTACCCTATAGCTAAACTGGTCTCCTAGGAATCCTGGATAACACTATACATTGTCAGTTATGTATTTTAATTAATAATAATAATAATATATTTTCCATTTTTTTCCTGAGGGAAAAAGCTTAAAAACAATTGCAGAGATACTTGTACAATTATATTAAGGTAGGGGCCAGCCCACTCCTAAATATCCAACCAACTTCCCTATAAAGTTAAAAGGCTTGGCAAGCCTTATGATTAGTCTGTGTTTGACACAGTTGTGGCCTTAATGATAAAAATTAGAAAATATCATATAGATTGTTTGGTTTTCATAAGTATTGTCTCCAACATTAAATATTAAGGCATTGGTATTTTGTAGACTGGAGAAAAACTATAGATGAATAGCATCAGTAATTACATAATGTCTTAATATTTGTAGGCAATAGACTATCAATCTCTGATGTGCTCACCTCTTACATTAGCTGTATAGCAATTGGTAGCTGATGACACTATACATTCTACTAATGCTTTCCTATGTGGAACTCTCCAAAGACTTGCAAAGGGAAAATTCAATTATATCCGAGTCTATGAAAATGCTAAAGGGCAAATAACTTTGACAAAGATAACTTATCACAGGCAAGTGTATTTACCAGGAGGTTTATAACTATTAAATTTTATCTTTGATGATGTCTAGCATCTTACCTGTAAAACAAGATATGAGACACTCTGAAGCTGCTCAATTTTAATACTTATCACACTGCAGTGACACTTCTCCTGGGTACTCTCTAGCCTAGGCTAATGCATGCTAGATGATAAGCTTGTTAAACAGAAAAATCTTTCCTTATATAGTTCCACAAAACTAATATCAACAGCTGATCTTTACATACCACCTACTATGTTCTAGACACTATTCTAGGTGCTTTGTATAAGTTAACCTACAATCTTCTAATGCTGCTAAGGAATTTTTATTAATATTAGTATTAATCTATGTTTTACAGATGAGGAAACTAAAGCACAATTATGAAGGAACTGAATTCCCAGGAATTTGCTGAAGTCTCACAGCTGATTAAATATCTGATCCCAGTCCACATAGACTGACATCTGTGTTCTTAACCGCTGTAAAATGCAATATGTGCTTCTTAGTAGTTCACCAAGCTTTGGTTGACCTAAGATAAATTATATAGTATTTCTTGTAATTAAATTGTACAGCTTCTGGATCCAGAACAATATTTGGAATTACCACATGGAGAAACCTTCCTTTCTTTCTGATTATTCTGCAGGAGGAGAAAGTATTCACTTTTTTTCCTCTGGAAATTATAAATTTCCCTTTACATGCTTATGAAAATCTTATTCTTGACTGGCAGTTTGTAGAATCAGTTCGATATATATATATCGTAAAGACCATTATATTAATATCATAACTTGCTTTCAAATGCCTCATAATTCAACTGTGCTTACTTTTTAATGTGCCTGAAAAAAGTGTTTAAAATGCATTAGATAGCACATTTCTTTAAAGGAATTGTATGATAAATTTCTTTGCAAAACAAGAATGTCTGACATCATACTATGAACTCATTTGTGGGACTGGATAGTCAAAATTACATTTCATTAAAATGAGATAATTATTTCATTAATTGACTACAAAACATATATAAACACAAAGTCATGTTTCTATTTGTTCATTGGTGTAAAGTACATTCTTCCATTGTAATAGACACACAATAATGGGTTATGGTATCTTTTCTCTCCTCCATTAATGAAATTCAGCCAAACTTGAAGTCAGTTCTGCTATAATCTCTATTAAATAAAATACATGTCTAACATATAGTGAAGAGCTGGAAGCACATTAATTTAGAACTTGGTGGTTGGATACTTTTTTTTTTAATTCTATAATTGCTTAGGACTATACACATATTAAGATAAATAAATTTATTATTCAGTGATTTTTGTTTAGTCTGGTTTAGTCTTCTCAACAAAGGCAACATTTAAAGATTCTAATTCATTTATGGTCTAGCAGCAGTTACGAGAGAAATAAATTTCATGTTTCTATTTACTATTATTTAATGTGAAAATCTTGGAAATTTTGTATTTTCCAGTGAATTAATAAAATGTTTTAAAATTCTACTTCTAGCATAGTGTGTTATGAAATGTGTACATCCTTGTAAAATAATAAAACAACATTTCAATAAATATCTATTTAGTGTCTGAAATATGACCAATGTTGCTTGTGAAATTTTACTTACAATATTTTATTCTTATATTTATTGAAATTTTATAATGCTAATGTTTCTACAGATCAGAATTGCACTTTCAAGGCCTTGCTTATATTCAATAAATGTAACATTTAAATTTTCACAGGTACCTTTACCTCCATATGCAGGTGCAGTTCTCAGGAATTCCACTTCGAAGCACATTACTACAAGACTGGCTATAAAAGATCCTTTAGCTTCTCACACCTGGGCATCTGCCTTATCCCCATTGCTTGTATTCTTGTATTGGTAACATTTTCAGACAGAACATTACGCTTTCTAAGAATACTGTCTACCTTGATTTTGGCAATCTTTCCTCTTCGATATAGTATAGCATAGTATAGTGCGGTACCAAAGAGAGAAGATTCTGGGATTGATCAGCCTGAATTCAAATTTAGAGAGTGGAATGATAATAGTAAAAAATGGAGACTAGCAAGGGGAATGGAGACTAAAGTGAAAGAGGATGGATGATAAAAAATTACTTAATGGGTACAATGTGTGTTATTCAGGTGATGGATACCTTAAAGCCTTGATTTGACTGCTCAGCAATCTATACATACAACAAAATTAGGCTGTACCACATAATTTTTTTGCCAAAAAAATTAATCTGCTTTACCACCAAGCATGCATGTGATCCAGGGCAAACCCCTCAGTCTCTCAATCTCTTGCATGCTCTATAGGCAAATGGTTTTTGGTCTGAGTGGCTGTCATATCTTCCAATATGAATTTCTGCATAAACGCATTTTTTCCTTCATGAGTTTGATTAACATTGGTTCTTAAAACGGAGGAATAATTTTTGTTACATTAAAATTTTGGTTTCATGAAAAATTATGATTATACATTTTGTAGCACATTACCATTTACCAAACTAAATGTTGGTTTGAATGTACCGTGCACCAAAGTTTTCCATCTCTTTCCTTTTAATTATTCTGTAACATCAGATTTATGTGGTCTAATTGTTGCACCTTTTTGTGCAAAACTATGTTTATAATCACTGAGTCAGTTTTTTCTTTCACTCATTTAAAATCTCTCATTCTTGTAGGTATACTCAAAAAAGATGTTATATACAAGAATGTTTATTGTGGTTTTATAAAAATAGCAAACAACTTTAATATTTACCAGTATGAAGCTGGTTGAATGCAATATTATAAATATATTCAGTTAAATACTCCTTAACTTTTTAAAATAGTGTGCTAATAATACTAAGGGATATCCAGGATATTGTAAATAAAAAAGCAGAACTCTAATCATTACACAAGGAGTGTCAAAACCATTAGCAGGGATTAATTCTGAGACTAGGCTCAGGATACTTTTAGTTTTCACTTCATGCCCCTACACCTTTTAATAAACAAGGTCAATTAAGTAGTTCTAATACAAAGCAGATTCATTATTTCAATTACATGTTCTTACAAATGATATTTTTCTTATTACAGACAGAGAAAAAATAAAATGTAAAGAATTGATTAAATTTACTGTTGCCAAGGATTATGGGCACTCCATTTCTTGTTAGTGAGCAATAAAGCTTATCCATTTTTAAACAGTAATTTGGCAATTTCTACGTCAATTTAAAATATGCATGACACTTGAACCTAGAAAGTTTATACCTCAAAATCTTGAAGAAATTCTTATAAGATTGCACAAACATATGCATGGAGTTATGCATACATTTTTCAAGGGCACTTTGTTTCTTAAAGGCTAGAATTTGGCTTTATCAATTATAAAAAAGAAAAATTTAAAATAGTCTAAAGTTCAGTTAAAGAGCTCAGATTAGGTAAATTATAGCACATAATATGACAAATACAATGTGAGAAAACAGCTAACAATACACCTGGTAGATTTGAACACAATACCCTAGAATAAAGTCTGCAATACAGTGCCATGTGAAGAAAGCAAATGGAACCCAGCTTAGTAGAAACAATTAAGGAATAGGTATGTATTGAAAATGCTATGGAATTGTATTAAAATAAAGGCATGACTGACTCTGAGGCCTGATACGACATGGATAAGTATGTTAACTTTCCACCAAAATATTATTGAATGTCTTCCAGTGAGTTCCTTGCATTGCTTTAAAATTAAAAGTGTTTTTGACACACAACATTTTTTTCTCCCTGTGTCTGTATTTCCATCATCATCACCCTGTCCTATATCTAGTCACCCTGATCTGGGTTATAGGAGCAAATAATCTGGAGTTAAAGAACTCTAGGTTAACCTTATCTATATACCCTTCTGAGACTTGACATGTCTTGTTAAGTTGTTGGTCAGTTTTTGCTTGACCTCTTCCATTGAAATCTCACTAGCACCGTTAGCAGCTCCCACTCATTGATAGGAGATCAGCAGAGTGGTTTAAAGACCAGTCTTTGTTTGCCATCAGACAGTTTGAATACCAGATCTGTATTTACCAACTAAAGGACTTACTCTTTATGCTCCAATTTCTGCATTTTAAAAATGAGGATAATGCCAGTGTGTTAGTCAGCTCAGGCTGCCACAACAAAATGCCACTGATGGGGTAGCTTAAACAACAGAAATTTATTTTCTCACAGTTCTAGAGGCCAAAAGTACCAGATGAAGATGCCATCAGAGTGGTTTCTGGTGAAAGCTCTTTGCCTGGCTTGCACACAGCCAACTTCTCATTGTGTCCTCTCATTTACTTTCCACTGTATGCATGCAGAAGGAGAAACAGGTCTCTGTTGTCTCTTCCTCTTCCTGTAAGGACACCAGTCCTACAGGCCCTTCCCTTGTGATCTCTCTTAATCTTTATCATCTCTTTATTGCCTCTATCTTCAAATACAGTCACGTTAGGAGTTAGGGCTTTGAAATTTGGATTTAGTGGAGAAACAACTCAGTCTATAGTAAACGGTCTCTAATTCACAGGGCTCATGTTAGGTTTAAAAAAGGTAAGTGTAGGAGAGGCAAAACTTCACCTCTACCCTCTAGTGTCCCAGCTGGGCCCAAGAATCAAATTGACATAAGACAAATTAATAGAAGAAAAGTATACACATTTTATGTAAGTTTTACTTGACATGGGAACACTCATAAGGAAATGAAGACCCAAAGAAATTGCAAAACCTATGCACTTCTGTATTAGGTTGAGAAAAGAGAGGCTATGGTGGAAAAGTAACTAAATTGTGTGAGGAGGCTAAATAATAAGAATTATTTTAACAAGGTTTGTACATAATAATCTTGACTATGACTCCCCGTTGAAGAGTGTTTATTTTCTCCTGGTACAAGGAGGACATCATTCACACAGGAGTGTTTTTTTCCCTGTTTTCAGGAAGAAATGGGGAAATTAGCATGTCCTTCTTGCATCTGCTGTTTTTCAAGTGCTATTAGCTTGAATTAATCTTTATGTCAAAGTGGCATATTTTGGGGTGGCATATTCTGCCACTCTTCATAAGCACATAATTCACTTGGCACAGTGTAAACACTCAATACATTAGAGATGACAGTGTCTTCACTACAGCTGTTGGTTATGATTATTCAGCTTAACAATGAATCAAAGTCAAGCTATTCCAGGCTGCTCACACAGTATCTCACTGTATTCTGCAAAATATACTGTTTTGTTCTGCTTAGGCTATTTCTTCACTATCCTATAAATAATGAAACCCTTTATTCCTCTGTATATATGTATGTATGTACATATGTATGTGTTTTCTAATATTGTTATTTTCCTAGCACCAAATAAAAACAAGTCTGGACTTAGATAAGGAGGGTTTATTTGAAGACTGTTGCAAGACTGGGAAAGGGATGATTACAATAGGGTGAGAGGAACCACTGCAATAGAGAGAATACTGTGATGAGAAGACCTGCAAGTTATCTCAAAGGTCATGGAGAAAAGGGGTTTTCTTTTATAGGGAAAGGTAAACAAAGCTATAAGAATCCTGGTGAGAGGAAGCGGGACAACTGGGTGTTGTGATAGGATAATTGGTTGGGGAATATCCTTACTTGCAATCAGCTGATTCTTGGGATGGGCCCTTACAGAGCTCAGGCTAAGGATAGGTCACAGTTTGTGAGCCTGGAAGAAGGGGAGAAACTTAAGTTTGGTCAAGTCAGGGAGCATTTTGTCCTGATTGGTCAATAGGGAAAAAACATCTCAGATAATTATTTATGAATCAAAGAATGAAAATGTGGAGGGTCTGTGTCTGGCTGTGCCTTAAGTAAAGAAGGAGGACATCCATGATTATTATCTAAATCACATGGGGGAGGATGATTATTTGAAGCAAGTTGTTTCCCAGAAAACAGAAGGATGGGGATTTTCTTAACAGTTGCTCTTTTCCAGGAGCAAAGGACTCAGGCAGGTAAATTTAATCTTGTCACTAGAAATATTCTCTCCTTTCCCTTTCACCCATATAAATCTTAATCTCTTTCAAAAGGTTCACTTCCTTCATTAGATCTTACAAACAAAATCCCACAACTATACTAGTTTATAAAAACCAAGTCCTAGTTTGAAGTATGAAGAGTTAAAATTCTGACATGCCTTTTTTTTTTTTTTTTTTTTTTTTTTTTTTTTTATGGCTTTTCTACTAGAGAGTAAGGTTCTGGGAGAACCTTTGATTTCTTATATCTCTTCAACTTCCTTACATGGTAGGATGTGATGCTCCTCATACTCACTATTATTTTCTTTAAGTGTGTGGGTTCTAGAATCAGATGGTGCAGGTGGGAGAGCTACTCAAAACATCCTATCTAGGTAACCTTGGATAAGTTACTTAAGCTCTTTGTGCTGGAGTTTCCTCATACATAAAATGGAAAAGAAAACCAGTAATAACTATCTAATTGGATTGTTGTATGGATTATAAATGTTCAGAATATTTTCTATCACATTGTTACGTGCTCAATAGATATTAGTTGGCTTTTAACATGTTATAAGTACAGATTTTGAAAACAGAATGATGTTACCCTTATTGAATTCCAAGTGATACATGCGGTAGATTTATTTGTGTTCTACAAACTTTTTTAAAAAAGAGAGAGAGCAGTCTATGGTACAAGACAAGAAAATTAGTCCTTTTAACACTCTGAAAGTCTTCCTAAATATTGGTCCTTTTTATTTTTTTACAGGACCAATAAATATGAACATCCTCCTTGTCCTCCTTGTCTCCTGTATGTAATTTACCATTATAGTATCACATAACATAATAAAATAAATATAATCATTACCATTATCATTGGGGTCAGACCATAGATTTGGCCCTCTGAGTCCTCTGGCTCTTTGTCTAGTCTTCAGGAACCTACAGGGCTATTTATTGACATAAGAACTAATCTCTCACTTTCTTTCCTTTCTCTTGACACTCTAGCAAACAAACCAAATGATGTCCTTCATTTTGTTCATTTTATTCCCCTGGTTTCCTGATCATGATCAACATGTCTACTTTATCTTGATATGTTTAATATAGGAAAAAATTATGTATTTATTCATATTACCATCTAATAAGAACAATATAGTAACAATACAAAGCAGGAAGATTAAGGGAAATTATGTAAAAATGATATAAGGGAGAGGACTGGTGAACAATAAAGACTGACAAAGATAATGCCATCTAGCAAAAGCACAGGGAAATTGGCAACACTGTTCTTATCCACATGGTCTTTTATGAAAAGAAAAAATGAGGAAAAGAAAAAAACTTAAAAATACAGAAGCAAAAAAGATGTTTAGGCAAAGCTAATTCTATTGACATGTTTTCTAAAGTTGTTCTTGTCTATTCTTAACAATTCTGCCCTAGAAGTTATTTCCCATTGGAAACAAATCTACCATATGACTTTTCTCTTAAAGACTTATTTTATAATTTCTTATTAACAGAAATAGCAGGAGAATAAGGCATTAGTACTATTTTCAATAAATCATTTTCTTATCAAATATAAAACATTTTCCACAAATATTTTCACTAAAATTTTACCTGTCTAGCCTCCCATCCCATGACCTACCTCTGTCCCCTGCCCTCCTAGTTCCATCCCCAATCTGTTTAGTAAGGTGACAGTGTATGTCAGAGCAGGTGTGAGAGTAGACAATCCTTCCGTGCTGCTTGAATAATTGAGTTTTAGCCAGACCTTTAAACACATACTGAGATAGTGAGGAGCCAGATGAAAAGTACTGACTATGCCACAAAAAATGGATTAACACAAACTTAGTGATTTGGCCCATGACCTTCCAACTCAACGTTCTGCAGGTCCAGCTGGGGATGATATGTTTCATTGGCAAGCCACAATTATGGAACCTGATAACAGCCCATATTAAGGCTGTGTGTTCCTTTTGAAAATTCACTTTCCTATAGACTATCCCTTCAAATCACATGAGGTTGCACTTAGAAAAACAATTTATCAACCAAATATTAATAGTAATGATAGCATTTGTCTTAATATTCTAAGATTAAAGTCATCTTCTGCTTTAACTATTTCTAACGTTCTCTTATTCATTTGCAGGGAACAATAAGACAGAGATAGGCACAAAAGAATATCTCGAGAATGGACTTAGAAGTATGCCATGTGATGCTACCTTAAAGTCAAAATTAGGTGCATTGTAGCTCGAACATTAAAATATTGTTCAAATGTTTATAATTAACATTATACATGCTAAATTATTGTTCTTTTTTACATACCTAACAAGCTCAAAACAGAATATCTAATCAAAAGGAACTAAAGATTAATTTTGATTTTGCATAATTAAGTGGTCCTTTATCATTCCAAAGATGCTTCCTTAATTGCCTTATTTATTTTACACATGAAGTACAGAGGTAGAAAGAAACAGGGACACATTATCTTGTTTCTCTGTTTTGCACTGCCAATTTATGGTAAGCTCAAATAATAACTCAAGTCTTCTTACTGTGTCGCAAAACTTGAATGCCAGTTGCAGTATGCAAATTATTCAACTCATTTTTCTTAAAATAGTTTATTCTCTGAAATTGGTCCAGTTTGTGAATATAGCCAGACCCTCAAATTGTTTTGGTACTAAAAAGCATGGACTTGGATTATTTAAATCGCTTTAAATTTTGCTCAGCTCGTGGCTGCATGCTTCCCTTTTATATACCAATGTTTGTGATGACAATAATAATGAAACATTCTGCTCCAAAATATCTAAATTGCCTCTAATATATTTGACAAACCTTGAATTAATGAAAAAGTCTTTAAAAAATATATTTCTGGGCCGGGCGCGGTGGCTCACGCCTGTAATCCCAGCACTTTGGGAGGCCGAGGCGGGCGGATCACGAGGTCAGGAGATCGAGACCATCCCGGCTAAAACGGTGAAACCCCGTCTCTACTAAAAATACAAAAAATTAGCCGGGCGTAGTGGCGGGCGCCTGTAGTCCCAGCTACTCGGGAGGCTGAGGCAGGAGAATGGCGTGAACCCGGGAGGCGGAGCTTGCAGTGAGCCGAGATCCCGCCACTGCACTCCAGCCTGGGCCACAGAGCGAGACTCCGTCTCAAAAAAAAAAAAAAAAAAAAAAAAAATATACATATATATATATATATATATATATATATATATTTCTAAGAGGAAATCCTGCTTTTCTTTCTAAGACATTGTTTGTTCCAAATGAGAAGAGTTTCTGCCATGTTCTCGGCATGCTCACGGTACTATAAAGAAACCAGTCAAAATCTTCATGAAATTGCTTTTTTACCAGTCAGTGAAAACCAACTCTGAAAAGGTCATTTTTATTTTGTTTTGTTTTGCTTATCAGGATTAATCTTTTTTTAGAATGTAACCTTCAGTCTATTTTGTCAATATAGCTATCGGAGATAGGAAAATATTATATTATTTTCTGGATTATAGGAGGAACTTGATTTATTTATTGAATAAATACATGAAAGCTAGAGGAGGACAACTAATGAACAGTTGATTCAGGTGAAACATGACTTTTAGTGATTGGGAACAGTCTTATGAGTTAGTTCCCCAATGTTAGCTCTAATGTCTTTTCTCCCTTCATCTTTCTCACTCTCCCTTATTCTGTTATTCTGTTACTGTCTTTATTCCTTCATTTGAAGCCATCTGTTATTGCAAGATTTCCAACCATGGCCCAGAGTCCCAGTTTACGGTTACCACTCACATTTCTCTGCAGCTGATTAGCCACCGCTCACTGACTTCAGTCAACATTATTCTTACTTTTCTTTTTAACTTTTATTTTAGGTTAAGGGGTACATGTGCAAATTTGTTATAAGGTAAATTGTGTGTCACAGGGATTTGGTGTACAGATTACTTCATCCCCCAGATAACAAGCATAGTACTTGATAGTTATTTTTACGATCCTCACCCTCATCCCACCCTCCACACTCAAGTAGGTCCTGGTGTCTGCTGTTCCCTTCTTTGTGTCCAGGTGTACCCAGCATTCAGCCCCCACTTATAAGTGAGACTATGCGATATTTTGTTTGCTGTCCCTGTGCTGCTTTGCCTAGGATAATGGTCTCCAGCTCCATCCGTGTTGCTGCAAAGGATATGGTCTTATTCTTTTCAATGTCTACATAGTATTCCATGGTGTATATGTACCACATTTTCCTTACTAGTCTACCGTTGATGGGTGTTTAGATTGATTCCATGTCTTTGCTACTGTGAATAGTGCTGTGATGAATATATGTATGCACGTGACTTTATGGTAAAAAATTTGTATTTCTCTGGGTATGTACCCAATAATGGGATTACTGGGTAAAATAATAATTCTGTTTTAAATTATTTGAGAAATCTTTAGACTGCTTCCAACTAATGAGCTAATTTACATTTCCACCAGCAGTGTATAAGCATTCCTTTCTCTCTAAAACCTCACCAGCATTTGTTATTTTTTGACTTTTTAAAAATAGCCATTCTGACTGGTGGGAGATGGTAATTCATTTTGGGTTTGATTTGTATTTCTCTAATGATTAATCATGTTGAGGATATTTTCATATGCTTGTTGGCTGCATAAATGCCTTCTTTGGAAAATTGTCTGTTCGTGTCTTTTGCCCACTTTTTAATTGATTTGTTTTTGCTTGTTAACTTAAGTTCCTTATAGATTCTAGATATTAGACCTTTGCCAAAGGCATAGTTTGCAAATATTTTCTCTCATTGTGTACATTGTCTGTTTTCTCTATTTGTCTGCAGTGCAGACACTCTTTAGTTTAATTAGGTCACGATATAGATTATATTGTCCTCAAACAGAGATATTTGACTTCCTGTCGTACTATTTGGGTGCCTTTTATTTATTTACCTTGCCTGATCGCTCTGGCCAGGACTTCAGTACTATGTTGAATAGGCTGATGATTCTTGTCTTGTTCAGGTTTTCAAGGGGAATGCTTCAAGCTTTTGCCCATTCAGTATAATGTGGTTGTGGGTTTGGCAAAGATGGTTCTTATGGAAAATATTATTTTAAATGCTGTAAGAACAGTGACTATGTCTCCAGTTAAAAAGAATGGTACTTTGTTGTATGTCTCTCTTTAAATGAAGAAAACAACTCACTTCCACTAGAAGCAGTTGTAGTTCTCAAATATGAAAATATAAGGATTACTCTTGATGCCTGATCAGGACCTAGGCACCATTTATTTTCCCATCATAGATAAATAAATAAGGTGCTGTGGGTGGGTAGCAGAGAAGAGGTGTGAGTAGAAAGAGACAAGCAGGGGGGTGGGAATTGACTTGTGCTAAAAAGACAATCATCTAAATGTCAGTGCCTGTATGTATATATAAAGCATATATTATTTTAAATCTGATTATTTTGGATCATGTGGCCAAAGAAAGAGTGGTTAATTTGTTGTTTTTAATCTTAAGGTTAGTAGATTCTATTTTCCTTTTAAACATATATGTATGAGTGGGTATTTTTTTAGTTTGAAGTTATTTCTATGTGAATGTATATCACATAGCATATATTGTTTACTCATGACAACTCCTCACTCACAATCCTGGTTGTACTCAGCTCTCCTCCTTCTCCTTGTTCATATCAGGCAGCAAACATGGTCAGAGAAAAAGGCAAAATTGTGCCCATTGGTTTCACTTTAAATTAATGCACAGTGACCTACCTATTTGGCCTTTAGCACTGCCTAGGAAGTCTAATACGTTTCTTAGTTTTTTGTTTTGTTTTGTTTTGTTTTTTTTATGCTCCCAATCTCAGACTACTATTTTGCCTCCTCTCTCCTAAGTCCTTCCTCGTGCTTCCTCCTTCCTCATGATCACTCCCTGTAGTTATTTTGCTTTCTGTTTCACTGACAAAATAGAAGAAAGGAAATTATTTATACACATTCCCATACCTCATTACTCAATCTAGTCATATTTCCTCTCTGCCCTCCTTTCTGTTAGTTTTATTTAAGAGCATTTATATTTAAGAACAACCCTTCATTCAGTCACACTAGCTCTCATCCACTCAAGTATTACACTTAAGCAATAGACCCCTTCTGTATTCCGTAACATCAAATTTTCCACTCCAATTGAGTTATTCTCATGATCATTCAAACATGATGTAATACTATCCATGTTAATTAACAAAAACCTTGAACACACATATATCTCCAGATACCACCCCATCTCCCTGCTAATTTTAAAGCAAAATTTATTAAAAGATTTGTTAGATTTTCTATTTATAATTCCTCCCATTCAGTGTTGAAACTTCTCTAATTAGGCTTTTTTCTCACAACTGCAATGAAGCAGATTTTGTCAAAATCACCACTGGCTGTTATGTTAATTCCTGGTTCTCAATCTACAGTTCTCATCTTCTTAATCTATTGACTTTATCACTTTCTCCTTCTTCATACAGGATCTAGACAGGATTCTCTTCTTGTTCTCCTCATACTTCATTGGCCATTTTTCTCTAGTCTTATTTATGAATTCCTCCTCATCTTCCTATGAATGAATATTGGTGTGCCCAGGTCTCAGTTCCTGACAGTTCCCTTTTATCCTCGCTCTCTTAATGATCTCATCATACGGCTTTAAACATCATCTGTGTCTTGGGGGAGGGTTGGTTGGTTGTTTGTTTTTTGAGACAGGGTTACTCTGTTACCCAGGCTGGAGTGCAGTGGCATGATCTCGGATCACTGCAACTTCCACCTCCCAGGTTCAAGCGATTCTTGTGCCTCAGCCTCTGGAGTAGCTGAGATTACAGACATGCACCACCATGCCAGACTAAACTTTGCATTTGTGGTAGAGACAAGATTTTGCCATTTTAGACAGGCTGGTCTTGAACTCTTGGCTCCAAGTGATCCATCCACCAAAGTGTCTTCCCAAAGTGCTGGGATTGCAGGCAGGAGTCACTGCGCCTGGCCATCATTTATTTTAAGAACACGTGATTCCAGACTTCTAGTTTAACAACAGCATTGCATTTCCAATTGTTTGTTTAATTCTATGCAGTTTCTAATATGCATTTCAAACATCACGTTCTCAGACGTATTTTTTATTTCACAACTTCTCTCCACCTATTTTTCCATAATCTTATCCATCTTTGTAACTTTAATTCCTTTCTTACAGATGCTCAGGGAAAATCCCTGGGATCCTCCTTTACTCTTCCTTTTTAAAAAATCATACCCATAAATCTGTCACAAGTGCTACGATTTACAGCCTCAAAGCATATACAGAATTTGGCCATCTCTACGACATCCACTTTTACTATTTTTGTCCAAAATCATTTCTCTCCTTGCTTCTGCTTTTTTCTTCTTAAGTCTCCGTAAGCTCAAACTAGAAGGTCCTATTAAAACAAGCCAGATCCTGTCACTTCCCTTCCTCAAATCCTGTAATGGCTTCTTATTTATCTCAGACTGAGAGCCATAGATTTTAGAATAGCTGACAAGGCCCTTCTGGAACTTCTCTGCTCTATCTCTTACAATCTTTTCTTCAAACCCTGCACTCTTGCACACTGGAGTGATTCAACAAATATTTATTGAGCCCCTAGTATGAGGTCAGCACTTTTAAGATAGTACAAAGTAGTAAAAAACATATCTTTTTACTACTCCTCCTTGTTTTTCCTCAAATATAACATACCTGCTACCCTGGATCTTTGCATTTGCTAGTTCCGCCTGTAAACTCTATTATTGTTGGGGCTCAGAAGATGATACACCAAAGTGTGATGATTGGCATGCTGACTACTTTGAACTGAAGAAGATTGGAAGGCCTCAGAAATAGCTTCATAAGCAAAGTCTGTCTCTGACCTTTCTCTGCATTCTTATTTTCTGCCCCTCTTACCAACCCCCACAAAAGTGAGTCATAAAAACCAGAATTATTATTTCCTAAGGTGAGTCATAGAAACTAGAACCTCTCTTTCCCAAAGCAAACCATTCAACCTAGAAATATGCTCTTTCTCCTGCCTTTCTGTGTAGAAGTTGCCCATAGAGAAATTCTCTAACTTACCTTGTCTGATAGTAAGTCTTAAGATCCTAATTCCAGAGGAGTCCTGTGCCCTACCTAGGAGGAAGAAATGCCACACAAAGAGGCCATAAAGCATCCGAATGGACAGGCCTTACCAGGTTTTCCTCCTCAACCTGCTACCATTAGATGTATCCTTTTCTCAATCACATTTCTATATGGCTTTTCATTCTTTATCGAAGCTATGAATAAAAGTAGACAGTTTTCCCTAGGTCTTTGGGTCTTCATTTCTGAAGACTCCCATATCACATAAAACTTTGATTATATAAATTTGTCATGCTTTTCTTGTTAACCTGTCTTTTGTTACAGGAGTGTTGGCTGTTATTGTTATGATAGGTGAGGAAAGTATTACATCATCATATAGTCATATGGATGGCTCCCTTCCCTCCTCACATCTTTGCTGCAGTAAAAGCTTCACTGATCTCACTTCTTTCTCATCCCCTAGCAGTATGCCCTACACTTTAGCTCTCCTTTGTTTTTCTTCATATCACTCATCACCAACCAACACGCTCTATATTTAGCTTTTTTTATTTGGTTATTTTATATCTCCACCCATTAGAATATATTACATTTTTTTTTCTGGCAACAAAATGGGATAGAAAAAGAAAAGGAAGAATAGATTTTTAAGTTATTTTTAAAAGCAGGGATATAAATAATGCAGATGAAAAATTTAAAGCTACATTTATTACAACATTTTTCATTTCACTGTTTTGTACATATACCACTTTCCCCAAAATCAAGTCAACAGACTCCTATTTGGCTTATTTAGATTCACTTGTGAACAATACTTCATTAACACAAATGGTTTACTTGGCTTTTTAAGGACTCATAGCAGAATAGTGCTAAATAAAATCTTTCTGATTACTTTATTATCAAAATATTATCCAAATCCAAGCACAGTGCATACAGCCAAAACGTTGTTTATGCTCATTGAGAATTGGAGTCATTGCTGGGAGAATCCAAGTAGCTCTCTATGCTATTCATGGATAAGAGCCAACCCTAATCTAGTTGCTGGCTGGATTCATCACCCCAAAGTATTTCTACAGAGTCTATTGCAATCGGAGTCTATATTTAAATTTATATTTATATTTTATTTATTTGTTACATGTCATAAAAATCTTGTATATAATTTTCAGCCTTTGTTATCTGAAGTAGTCATCTTTTCATTAGGAAAGCAGAGAAGTAGAAATCATGATTGGAAATTGGATTGCTTATGAGGCTAATGTTCATGAAGCTCTCAATTCATTGAAGTTGTGTGACCTGCCATTTGGCAAAACAATCAACAACCTTCGATATGGTTTTGAAATATGATTTTATCATAATATTATCTTAAAATATATTTTTTAAATTTAAAAATTATATTCATAAAACAAATATTGTTCCAGTAAGTTTTAACATATTAGCACTTTAGTACTTGATGCAGAAAAAAAGTCCAATTTCTTATCTTAGCGTTGAGGATCTTCCAAAATATGCCCTCAATTTATCTTGCAGTCTTCTAACCCATAATTTACCCTAAAACTATCAGGGATTTTCACCATTTCTCAAATACTTACTTTGCTTTCATGTTACTCAGCCTTTGTGTGTGCTACTATTTTTTCAGTCCCCTTATACATTTTTTTGTCTGCTCATCTTTGAAGTCTGCAGTCACATTTCACTTCCTTTAAAGAATATTTACTGATTTTTCTTCTTACTTGCTTTTCCTCTGAATTATTTTACTGTGTTTTCATAAAATTTTGCTGAAATGTCTCTGCTTACACTAATCACAAACTGATATGAATTAGGTGAACTAAAATACATTTTTAGTAAATATTTCTTCCTTACCAGACGATAGGTACCTTGAGGAAAAGAGTGACTTCTTTGTAGGCATTTCAATACCTACTAAAGTCTAGCACAGTGATTCTCAAATAGGGGGCGATTTTGCCCCCCAGGAGACTTCTGAGAATGTCTGGGGACATTTTTCTTGTTATGACTTGGGGGAGGGGCTGAAGTGACACTGGCACTTAGTAAGTAGAGGTCAGAGATGTTTCTAGACATTCTACAGCACACCAGATGTCTGTCACAACATTGTCTGGTCCAAATGTTAATAGCGCCAAGGTTAATAAGCCCAGCATATGCCCACCTGTGGTATCTACCATATTCCTACTTATGAAATACGTTTATCAAATTTAGGATATCTGAACAGTTTTGCCAAAATTTCTTTTAGTTTTTTTTCTGTTATACATTTTAAATGATCATCAGCTTCATTTTAATAGAACTTATTAGGACTTAGGACTCTAAGTTAGTTCCCAGCTTTTTCTCTTGCTTTACCACTCTCCTACAAGCTTAACAGTAGAAAAGAGAGGGTGAAAATTAAGAGAACGTAGTTGTGCAGTACACTGACCTACAAAAAAAAATTGTGATGGTCTTCTCTACAACCTGCCAAGCTGCATGCCTCACCTTGTCATTCCCATGATAGGAGACAACTTACAGCCTCACTTGTTCCTTTCATGGCAGTAAGTTCAGCCATTTTATTTCCCTGAAGATTCCCCAGACTGTCAGGTTATAATATTTTTGAGTATAACATAAGAAGAATGCAAAGTAGAAATATGTAAGATTAATCAGTCAAAAGATCTTGTGCACATGTGGGCTAGAGTTAAAAGTAATGTACTGTATTCAAGAATTTTGCTAAATGACTAAATTATACCTACTCTTGTCATGTTGGGGGAGGGGGATGAGTAACTACGTAAGATGATGGATATGTTAATTTGTTTCACTATAATAACACTTTTACCATATATATATATATATGTATCTTAGAACATCATGTTGTATACTTTAAATAGATACAATAAAATTTATTTTTAAAAATTAAAAAGTTTTAAAATAAAAGTATAAAATTCTTTAACAGAACTACTCAAAAGAAACAAACCACAGAACAAGACTGGAGGAAAAACATTGTGGGAAATTGACCTTGGATTTCTGACCTGGAAAGCTGAGTAGGAGACAGAGGGAAAGAGAGGTCTCTGATTATTGCTCCCATTACTCTCTTGTTCCCCCAAGCCCCCTGCTCACAACTATCACATCACCTTACTTATTTTGTATTCTTTGTTCCAAGTCTTCTGAACATAGACTTTGCTTCCCCCGATCTCTTAATTTCTCTTCTGGGTCTTGGTCATCCCACTTCGTTTTACTGAAATATCTTTCTATTTCCTTTGATTATTTCTTCAACTCTTATTTAGACTTTAGGAGTATGCCTAACTATTAAGTCAAAGAAACCTTCCCTGGTTGCCCACACCTCTTAAATGAGGATTAAATGTCCTTCTAAGTAGTCTCTTAGCCCTCAGTGCTTTCTCCTAACAGAGCACTGAATACACTGAATTACTTTCTGATTCCCTCCATGAGGAGAGGTATCCTGTCTTCCTTTCAGTGCTTAAATAATTACTGGTTGAACAAATGGTTAAGAGGAACAAAATAATGAATGAATAATACAAGTCATACTGAGCATCAGTTGCAGGCTTTTGAAGTACTGAACAGTGAAGTCCATGGAGGAAATGTCCAAGGAGTTATTCTGCTCTTTTAGGCCTATGTGAGAGGTAAATATTTAATAACTGGAAAAAAAAAAAGAAAAAAGGGCTGGGCATGGTGGCTCACACCTGTACTCCCAACACTTTGGGAGGCCGAAAAGGGTGCATGGTTTGAGCCCAGGAGTTCGAGATCAGCCTTGATAACACAGTGAAACCCTGTCTCTAGCAAAAATAGAAAAATTACCAAGTCTCATAACCCAGACTCAAGATAAATAAATAAATAAATAAATAGATTAATGTGTTTTAAAAATGCCATTGTGTCACTATATTTCCCATGTGACAATATTGCCGTTTGTTATGTAACTTTCTTTTTTTTTAATAATATTAGCTGTGAGCTTTTAATAAATGGCCTTTGTTGAGGAAATTTCCTTCTGTACCTATTTTGCTGAGAGTTTTTATTTTTTAAAATCCTGAATGGATATTGAAGTTATCAAATCTTTTTTCTGCATCTATGGAAATGACCATTTGGTATTTATCTTTTATTTGTTTACCTTTTTGAGGGTGAATAATTTGTTTCTTTATGCACTGACTATTACAGAGGGTATAAAAAGAGGTGTTTTTACTAATATGCACAATGTTTTTATATAAAATGTTGCTATACCATGCAGTAATGTGTGAAAACAATGAATGTGACAATATTCAGTTAAGAGAAGTTCTGTTTCTGAGACAATTCTTTTTTATTTATTTAGCTATCTATTTATCTATCTATCTATCTATTTATTTATTTTACTTTAAGTTCTGGGATACATGTGCTGAACGTGCAGGTTTGTTACATAGGTATACATGTTTTGCAACTAACTTTCTATTTGAAAGAAGTATGGCAAAAATTTCAGTCTCTTGTATCCCAGTATCTCTGCAAAATAAATTGACCAAAAAAAGGTAATATTCTATCTGACACTAACTACTTGGAAAATTTATGTAAAATATAAGAGTTAATATAAATGTAAAACGAGAGCTTATGAGCTGATTTTCCATAGCTACATCTTTTGTGAAGGCATGAGTGTTAATCATAAAACCTAAGAACTGTAACACAACTCTTGTGTCATCTTATCCTTTACTTTTATCCTACAAAATTATAATAATCACTTTCATGGAATAAACAACATATATTGAATAGCTGGAGACACCCTTCAGTGGGAAGCAGTGGTTGAATAGTTGTAAATGCAGATGTTATTCTCAACATGGTATGCAGTAACCTTGAAGTGGCTTGACATCAGACACAGCAAAGGTATTTGATTTCTCATCCTAACAGCAAATAATGTTGAGACTTAAGCTGAGGAAACACTGTAGAATAGTATAGTAGGATATGAACTGTCCTGATGATGTCCCGATGATTTAGGTAGAAGAGGTTAACTCCAAGAAAGACTCATCTGCTCCTGGGTGTAGAAAAGAAACAGGGCTCATGTGAAGGACCGATCCCTTCCACTGAACTGTTCTTAAGCACCCAGAACAGGTGCTGCTTATTTCAGGTTCAGTGGTAAAGAGCTAAGATTATCTAAATAGATGCCAAAAATGAGCACAGTGGAAATGTTGTAAAGCCACCTGATGTTTAATGCAACATAATCATATCTTCTTCTGGGAACTCTCAACCCACATCTCCTCACAAAACCTGGGAATACTTCACATAGAGAAGCAGTACTCTTACAGCAGCAGTAGCATTTGAATTCTCTGAGAGTACTGTGAGACTTCTAAGAGGGCTCATCGATCAGGAAGAGTCATAACAGTCATGCACTAAGCAAAAGATGATGCCAGCTGAAAAAATCTATCCCATTGTGAGTCAGAGGAAAAAATGGCAGTTCGAAAGACTGAAACCCAGGGTAGACATTGAAGTTTTCATTTTTTATTTTATTTTTCACAATGAACTAGAACTCAAGGTGGTAAAATTTTAATTACACCTAATAGCAATATCTATATCCTCATTTCAAGATCCTAGTGCCCTGGGTCAGCAAACCAGGAGCAGCAATTGTAATGAAACGCTGCTTCACCCTGGCTTATTTTTGAATAGGCGATGAAAACAAGGTTCAGAAGTGGGGGCAAAAGATGGGCAATTAGACAGCCAGAAAGCACTTCTCTAAACCTGAGAAACCAAAACACCAAGTGAACCATCACACTTTCAAGAGGTCTTTTGAGAAAAAACACTGAAAGTCAATGGAGAGGTAATGCAGACAAGAGGTGGATGTTTCAGGAAGCTAGGAAGCATGCAGAGTTGCCAAGTACCAGGACCAGCTTCCAGCCTGAAGAATTCCTAAAAAAGGGATAAGTGAAGAACCTGCAGGGCAGCAGACTCCTGCTGTGGACCTCTGGGAATCTACTCCAGGAGATTCCACAACCCTCATAGACATTTGAATTGGCAGGGGGAACCCCTCAGAAAGTAGGCAGAGACAAAGCTGGAGCCTGTGTGGTTATGTGTGAGGGGCAACTGCAGCAAAACGTTCCCATAGGCACCCATTCCCGAAGGCTTTGAGTGGTTCCAGTCCCTCTTGACTGCCAGTCCTCTTGACAGCAGGGCTGTTTTTCCTGTGGAACCAGGGTGCATCCAACCTATGTGCCCTTTGTCAACCGGTCCCTCCAAATGCCCCTGTCTGGCTGCTCCCCCAAGGGCATACGCACAGCACATCCTCTACTTTCCCAACTAGGAAAACTACTTTTCCAACAAAGTTTCCCAAAACTTTCTGTTTTGCCAGTGGCCTGGGAGCACTTCAGCTCCCCGGCACAGCTGGTGTTTGACCCTGAGGAGCCAGAGGACAAAATCGTGGGACCGGTCCCCATCCCCCAGGGTGTAAGGACTGGTACCAATCCCTCAGCTCTGGAATATGGAGCTGAGATCTGTGCCTGGAGCTCAGGTAGTGGGGAGCCCCCACTCTCTGAGCACTGGGAAGGGTGAGGCATGGGTTCGTGGGCCAGCTCAGGAGCTGGGTATTCTTCCCTCAGTAAGACTGGTCCAGGAAGGATGTAGCCTGTTTGCCATCCACAGCATTTGCCTAAGGGAGCCTTGTGGCCTGGAACTCCAAACAGCCCAGTGATGTGATCTAGGTGCAGAAGGCTTGAGACAAAACTAGCTGGTCAGGCCAGCTACTGGGACAGACATGGGAAGGAGACCCAATTGGGGCACTATGAGGTAGATGGTACCCGCAGCCCTCTACTGGGCAAAAATCTCTGGGCTATGGGCACCACAAAGCTGCACACCACCCACAGCAACACTCTCCTGCCTGGGAACCCTTTGCCTTTGGCCCACTACTTCAACAGAGTACCTCCAGACTTATCTCACAAACCCCTCCAACTCTGCCAAACACAGAAGATCAGCAGGGCCCTAGAAAATTACAGGTCATCTGGCAATCTAAACTTGGGTTCCAGCTACCCTTAAGGGAGGAAGGAGGGCAGCCCACTAGGGACCCCATAAATACTAAGGAAATGTGGGCATGGCCCCAGTGACTGGAGAGGGTTCCTCAAAGGCCAAGGAATGGACGTAGTAAGTGGGTCATCTCTTGCCCACCTCCTGTCTTCCCCACCCCAGAACACTGCTGTGAAAGTGCTGAAATACAAAAGAGGCATGTAGCTGAACCTATCTGCAGGCCTTTACTTTTAACCACCATCTACTGGATTTCAGCCTGAATTAAACCAGCAAACAAAAATTATTTCAGCACATATGGCTGGGTGAAACCCAGTGCAGGAAGATAGCTCCACACAAAGATTCTGCACAGAGCCTTGGTCCTCTGAAAGCACACCGAAATGAAGTTAATTGACTACACTCAACGCACATCACAGTCAAATCCTCAAAAGAAATAAAGACTATAAAAACAAAAAGCTTCACTTAAATGGCAGCAACTTCAAAAAGATAAAGAAACACTAGCCCTCTCAGATATGGAATAATTAGTACAAGAACTCTGAAAATTATAAAAGTCAGAGCATCTCCTCATATCTAAGTGAATGCATTAGCTTCCCAGCAATGGTTCCTAACTGGAATGAAATGACTGAAATGACAGACATAGAATTCAATACCTGGATGGCAAAGACACTCAATGAGATTCAGGAAAAAGCTGAAACCCAATCCAAGGAAGCCAATAAAGTAATCAAAAATTTGAAAGGCTATTTTTACAAAGAACCAAACTTAATTGCTGGAATTGAAAAAAACTCAAAACAGGAATTTCATGATACAGGGGGAAGGAGTAAGAGCAGAATATACCAAGCTCAAGAAAGAATGTCAGAACTCAAAGACCAGTCCTTCAAATCAACACAGTCAGACAAAAATAAAGAGAGAAGAATTTAAAAGAACGAGCATAACCTCCAGGAAATATGGGGTTAGGTAAATAGACCAAACATATGACACATTGGAATTCCTGGGAAAGGAGAGAGGGTGAGAAACTAAGGAATATAGTCCATAAAAATTTCTCCAGTCTCACTAGAAAGGTCGACATACAAATTCAAACAACTCCTGAAAGATACTATACAAGATAACCATCCCTAAGAGATACAGGCAAAAGATTCTCCAAGGTAAACATGAAAGAAATAATCTTATGATCAACTAGATAAAAGGGTCAGGTCACTTACAAAAGGAGCTTCATCAGGCTAACACAGGACTTATCAGCAGAAATCTTACAAACCAAAAAACACTGGGCACCTATTTTCAAAATCCTAAAAGAAAGAAATTCAAACCAAGAATTTCGTATCCTGCCAAACTAAGCTTCATAAGCAAAGAAAAAATAAAATACTTCCCAGACAAGTAAATGCTAATGGAATTTGTTACCACTTGACAAGCCTTACAAGCAGTCTTCAAGGCAGTTTTAAAAATGGAAACACAAAAACAATACCTGCTTGTTGCGGGAAGTCAGGGACCCCAAAGGGAGGGACCGGCTGAAGCCATGACAGAAGAATGTGGATTATGAGGATTTTATGGACATTTATTAGTTCCCCAAATTAATACTTTTGTAATTTCTCATGCCTGTCTTTACTGCAATCTCTAAACATAAATTGTAAAGATTTCATGGACACTTATCACTTCCCCAATCAATACCCTTGTGATTTCCTATGCCTGTCTTTACTTTAATCTCTTAATCCTGTCAGTTGAGGAGGATGTATATCATCTCAGGACCCTGTAATAATTGCGTTAAGTACACAAATTGTACAGCATGTGTGTTTGAGCAATATGAAATGTGGGCACCCTGAAAAAAGGACAGGATAACAGCAATTGTTCAGGGAATAAGAGAGAGAACCTTAAACTCTGACCGCAGGTGAGCCGGGCAGAACAGAGCCATATTTTTCTTCTTTCAAAAGCAAATGGGAGAAATATTGCTGAATTCTTTTTCTCAGCATGGAACGTCCCTGAGAAAGAGAATGCGCACCTAGGGGTAGGTCTCTGAACTGGCCCCCCCCGGGGCGTACCTGTCTCTTATGGTCGAGATTGCAGAGGTGAAATAAACTCCAGTCTCCCATAGCGCTCCCAGGCTTATTAGGAAGAGGAAATTCCCGCCTAATAAACTTTGGTCAGACCGGTTGATCTCAAAACCCTGTCTCCTGATAAGATGTTATCAATGACAATGGTGCCAAAACTTCATTAGCAATTTTAATTTCACTTCGGTCCTGTGGTCCTGTGATCTCGCCCTGTCTCCACTTGCCTTGTGATATTCTATTACCCTGTTAAGTACTTGATGTCTGTCACCCACACCTATTCGTATACTCCCTCCCCTTTTGAAACTCCCTAATAAAACTTGCTGGTTTTTGTGGCTTGTGGAGCATCACGGATCCTACCAATGTGTGATGTCTCCCCCGGACGCCCAGCTTTAAAATTTCTTTCTTTTGTACTCTGTCCCTTTATTTCTCAAGCCAGCCGACGCTTAGGAAAATAGAAAAGAACCTACGTGATTATCGGGGCAGGTCCCCCAATACCTGCTGCCACAAAACACACCTACCTAACCACACAGCCCACAGACCCTATAAAGCAACTACAAAATCAAGGCTACAAACTACCAGCTAACTACGTGATGACAGGATCCAAACCTCATATAATCTGGAAGTTAAACGGTCTAAATGCCCCCACTTTTTTTGTTTTGAGTCTCACTCTGTTACCCAGGCTGGAGTGCAGTGGCACAATCTTGGCTTGCTGCAAGCCCCGCCTCCTGAGTTCATGCCATTCTCCTGCCTCAGCCTCCTGAGTAGGTGGGACTACAGGCGCCTGCCACCATGCCCGGCTAGTTTTTTTTGTATTTTTAATAGAGACGGGGTTTCACCATGTTAGCCAGGATGGTCTCGATCTCCTGACCTCGTGATCTGCCCCCCTCGGCCTCCCAAAGTGCTAGGATTACAGGTGTGAGCCACCACGCCCAGGTAAATACCCCCACTTAAAGGGCAAAGAGGGGCAAGTTGTGTATAAATATATAAAGTTTATATATATATATATATAAACATAAACTTTATATATATATAAACTTTATATATAAATACATATATAAACTTCATATATATACAAATATATATACAAAGTATATATATAAATATATATACGAAGTTTATATATAAATATATATAATTTTATATATAAACTTTATATATATAAAAAAGCTTTATATATAAATATATAAAATATATAAATATATAAAAATATATAAATATATAAATGTATATATAAATATATATATAAATATATATAAATGTATATATAAATATATAAAAATATATAAATACATATAAATATATAAATATATAAAAATACATATAATTACATAAATATATATACATATATTAAAAAATATAAATATATGTACATATATAAATATATAAATATATATGTACATATATAAATATATATAAATATATATGTACATATATAAATATATATGTACATATATAAATATATATAAATATATATATAAAGTTTGTGTGTGTATATATACATATATATATACATATATATATATGTGTGTGTATATATATATATATATATATAAACTTCTGGCTTCTGTCTTTAAGAGATCCATCTTACACATAAAAATACCCACAGGCTCAAAGTTAAAGAATGAAGAGAGATCTATTATGCAAACAGAAAACAACAAATAAGTGACAACTGTCACTTATTCTTGTACCAAATGAAGCAGACTTTAAGCCAATAACAGTAAAACTGGAAAGGAAGGGCATTACATAATGATACGCTGTTCAATTCGACAAGAAGGCATACCTATTCTAAATCTTTATACACCCATACAGCCAGATTAATAAAAAAGTACTTCTAAACCTATGAAAGGACTTAGCCATACAATAATAGTGGGGGCCATCAACATCACACTGACAGTGTTAGATCATCAAGGCAAAAAACCAGCAAAGAAATTCTGGACTTCAACCCATGCTTGACCAATTTGACCTAGTATACATATACTGAATACTCCACCAAACATCCAAAACCACAGAAACCACAGAATATACAAATATATATTCTTATTTGCACACAGAACATACTGTAAGACCAATCACATTCTCAACCATAAAGCAATTCTCAATACAATTTAAAAAATAAAAATCAGACCAACCATACTCTTAGAACATATTGCAATAAAATTAGAATTCAGTGCCAGCAAGACCTCCCCAAAACACACAATAACATGGAAATGAAACAACTTACTCCTTAATGACTTTTGGGTAAACATAAAATGAAGTCATGCTTACAAAATTATGTGAAATTAATGAAAACAGAAATAAAGCATACCAAAATCTGTTATTCAGCAAAAGCAGTGTTAAGAGTAAAGTTTATTGTGCTAAGTGCCTATGTCGAAAAGTTAGAAAGCTCTTAAATTAATGCTCTAACATTACACTTAGAGGAACTAGAAAAACAATAACAAACTTATCTCAAAGCTATCAGAAAAAAATAACTAATTAAATCAGAGCAGAACTGAACAAAATTGAGAACCAAAATCCATACGAAAAATCAAAACAAAAAGTTGGTTTTTTGAAGGAATATGCAAGATTCTTAGGTCACTAGCTGGATTAACAAAGAAAAACAAGAGAAGATCCAAATAAACACCATCTAAAATGAAAAAGTTGGCATTACAATTGAACGCACAGAAATACAATAGTATTTGTATTTCAAATCCCCAAAGACTGTTGTGAACACTTCTATGCAAAGCAACTGGAAAATCCAGAGATGGTGGATAAATTAAATTCCTGGAAAAACACAACCTTCCAAGACTAAACCAGGAAGAAATTAAAACATTAAATAGATCAATAATGAGTTCCAAAATCGAATCAGTAATTTAAAAAACATATCAAACAATGACAACAACGACAACAAAAGCCCTGGACCAGATAGATTCAGTGCCAAATTTTACCACATGTACAAAAAGGTGGTATCAGCCCTGCTGGAACTATCCCAAAAAGTCATGGAAGAGGGTGTCCTTGCTAGTTCATTTAAGGAAACCAAAATCCTCCTAATACCAAAATCTGTCAGAGACACAAAAAGAAAGCTACTGACCAAAATCCCTGATGAACATAGATGCAAAAATTGTCAACAAAATACTAGCAAAATGAATCTAGTAGCACATCAAAAAGTTAATTCACCATGAGCAAGTAGGCTTTATTCCTAGATTATAAGATTGGTTCAACATATGCAAATCAACAAATGTGATTCACACATAAACAAAATAAAAAATAAAAACCATATAATCATCTCATTAGATCTGGAAAATGCTTTTGATTAAATCCAAGATTGCTTAATTTTATAAAACCCTCAAGAAACTAGGTATCAAAAGAACAGACCTCAAAAGAATAAGAGCCATCTATGCCAAACCAAGAGCCAGCAACATACTGAATGGGAAAAAGCTGAATGCATTCCCTTTGAGAAATGTAACAGGACAAGGATACTAACTCTCACCAGTCCTTTTCAATATAGTACTGAAAATTCTAGACAGAGCAGTCAGGAAAGAGAGAGAAATAAAAGACATCCTAATAGGAAAAGAAGTCAAACTATTTATTGTTGCTGGTAATGCTATTTGATACCTAGAAAGCCCTAAAGAATCCACGAAAAGGCTTCTGGAACAGATAAAATGTTTCAATGAAGTTTCAGGATACAAAATCAATTTTAAAAATTAGTAATATATCTATACATTTATAATGTTCACGCTGAGAGTCAAATCAAGAATACAATTACTTTTACAATAGCCAAAAAAAAAAAAAAAAAATCTAAGCACATATGTAACCAAGGAGGTAAAATATCTCTGTTAAGTATAATTACACAACACTGCTGAAATAAATCAGAGATAATACAAAAAATGAAAAAAAAATCTATGCTCATGGATTGGAAGAATCGATACTGCGAAAACTGCCATACTGCCCAAAGCAATTCCCAGATTCAGTGCTATTTGTATCAAACTACCACTGTCATTTTTCATAGAACTAGAAATTATTATAAAATTCATATGGAAACAATAAAAACTATATGATAAGGATACAGTAACTCAAACAGCATTATACGGATACAAAAACAGACCTATAGAACAATGTAAAATTCATGAACTATTGTTCATGAACTAAGCTGCACACCTATAGCCATCTGATCTTTGACAAAGTGGCCACAAAAAATAGAGAAAAAACTCCTTATTAATAAAGGCTGCTGAGATAGGTCACCATGAAGCAGAAGAATGAAACTGGACCCCTTCCTTTTGCCATATATAAAAATTAACTCAAGATGAATTAAGGATTTAAATGTAAGACCTCAAACTATAATAATCCTAGAGTAGACCTAGGAAACATCATTCTGGACATGGCAAATTATTTATGACTATGTTATGAATAGCAATATAACAAAAACAAAAATTCACAAGTGGAACCTAATTAAACTAAACAACTTCTCCACAGCAAAAGAAACTACCAACAGTGTAAATTATCTACAAAATGGGAGAAAATATTTATGCACAAAGCATTCAACAGAAGTCTGGTATCCAGACGCTATGAGAAACTTAAATAATTGAAAAAGCAAAAAACAAGTAACCCTGTTATAAAATGGACAAAATACATGAACAGACACTTCTCAAAATAAGACATACAGATGGCCTACAAACAGCTGAAGCAATGCTCCACATCACTCAGCATCAGATACATGCAAATCAAAAACAAAAAAGATACCATCTCACACCAGTCAGAAGGGTATTATAAAAAATGTCAAAAAACAACAGATGCTGGTGGGGCTGCAGAGGAGAGAGAACATTTATACACTATTGGTGGGAATGCAAATAAGTCCAGCCACTGTAGAAAGCAGTTTGGAGTTTTCTCAAATAACTTAGAACTACAATTCAACACAGTAAGCCCAATACCAGATGTATATCCTAAAGAAAATACTTCATCCTATCAAAAAGATGTAGGCACTTGCATGTTCATTGCAGCACTATTCACGATAGCAAAGACATGGAATCAATCTTGGTGCCCATCAATGGTGGATTGGATAACAAAAATGTGGTGTATATATATATATCATGGAATACTGCACAGCCATAAAAAAAATAGTCTTTGCAGCAACATGGGTGCAGCTGGAATCCATTATCCTAAATAAAATAAAGCAGGAAGAGAAAACCAAGTACCACATGTTATCACATGTAAGTGGGAGTTAAGCATTGTGTACTTGTGAACATAAAGATGGCAACAATAAAAACTGGGGGCTGCTAGAGTAGAGAGGAAGGGAGTGGAGTAAGAGTTGAAAAGTAACTAGCGTGTATGATGCTGAGTTCCTGAGTAATGAGATCATTTGTATCCAAATGCCAGTACCATGCAATATAGACAAATAACAAACCTGCACATGTTCCCTCTTAATCTAAAATAAAAGTTAAAAACATTACAAATTACCTAAGAGAAATTACAGTGGACTTGTCAACAGAAATCATGCAATCAAGAAGAGCATGGAATGAAATATTTAAAGTGTTTAAAGGACAAAACTCAACAACCTAGAATCATATATCCAGTAATATTGTCCTTTATAAATGGAGAAACAAAGGTTTTCTAAGACAAAAAACAAAACAAAACAAAACAAAAAACCCTGCAGGATATGTCACCAAAAAAAAATTAGAGAAAATGTTTTTAGGGAGAAAGAAATGATAACATTCAGAAACATGGTTTTACATAAAGGAAGAAAGAATGTCTGATAAGGAATATATAAAATGAGTAAAATCTTTTATTTTTCTCATTCTTAATTTATCTTATGGACCTCTGGATTCAAAATAGTAATAGTAATAATCTATTGTGTGATGACAGTGTATTGATAAAGGAAATAAATCAAATCAGTATTAATAAAAACTGGGGAAAACAATTAGGAATATTCTGTTACAAGTTAACGGCACTACACCTGAAGTTCTATAGTATTATTTGAAGGTAGCCTTAAGTTATCTAAAAAGACATATTGGAAACTTTAGTGCAACAACTAAAACGTTCTTTTAAAATATAATTGATACAATAAAATATGAGATAAATGGAAACATATAAAACATTCAATTAAAACCAGAAAAGACAAAAAAAGAACAAAAACAAGAAATGTAATGACTATTAAAATGTTATAAATATGGTAGATATGAATGTGACTATCACTTAAAATGTGACTAATTTAAATGTAACTATTAAACAACTGAGGTTGTCAGATTATATAATAAAACAATAATCAACTGTATGCTCTATGTAAGAAATCCAGTTAAAATATAAAGACTCAGGTTAAAAGTAAAGGGATAGAAAAAGATATACTACAGCTAAACAAAATGTTACCAGGATCCAGGTGTCACAAATTCCTAGGACTAGTTATTATTTTATCTGATTAATTGATCTAGTTTTAATTACATACATAGGTAATGTACAAAAATCAAGTGTTTTAATTTTCACAAGACAGTAAAAAAATTCCAAAAAATTACATATATTATGTATAATACACTCCTTTCTACTAGAAAATATCTGCAATACTACTATATGAGATAGCAAAAACATTATATTCTAATAATAGTAACAATAATAATTGTCTAGATCTTTGTTTTCAGAAAATTATTATTTTAAAATTAATAGTTTAATAAAATTGAATCTTATTTTGGTTCACAGTTATGAGTCACTTTTACCATAGAGAAATAATACCTAGTATATTTATTGCAATAGACAAAATTTCTAAACTAAACTTTTATTTTAATCTTGTACACACGTTCTACAAAATAAAATGAATTATCTTCATTTTTATTTCTACTTCTACTTTTTCTTATATCAGTTATATATTGCTAGAGTAAATACATGTGGTAATATAATATCAGAACCTTGTTATATCTCATCTCTGAGTTCTATTTTTACTATAATAGTAAACTATTTTTACTATCTGTACTGTATTAAAGATGCTCAAAAAACTAAAAGATGAGAAACTCAAGAAAATTATACATTAACAAAATGTTAACATCAATAAAGATAAAATATATAAAGAAAACAGAAAGAAATTCTAAACTGAAAAGTACAATAAATGAAATAAAAATTTTACTTGAGTAATTCAAAGGCATATGTAAACAGGCAAAAGAAGAATCAGTAAACTTGAAGATAGAACAATAAAAATTGCCAGTCTAAGGAACAAAAACAAACATAAAAACATTGAGGAAAAGTGAACATAGCAAAAGGTGTTTGTGGGACAACATCTTGCAGACCAACATTTGCATTATGGGAGTTCCAAGAGGGGAAGAGAAAGAGAAAAGGGCAGAGAAAGTATTTGAATAAATAATGACCCCAACTCCCCAAACTCAATGAAAGACATGAATATAAACATCCAAATATGACAATGAACTTCAAGAAGAATAATTAGAAAAAGATCCACACTAGAGAAATTACACTCAAACTGTCAAACCCCACAGAGTTAATTTTGAAAGGAGCAAGAGATAAGTGAATCATTACATATACCAGAACCTCACTAAAATTATCTGCAAAATTCTCTTCAGAAATTTTGGAGACCACAAGGCAGTGGGATGATTTATTTTGGATATTAAAAGAAAAAAATGTCAACTAAGAATCCAATATCTGGCAATATTGTTCTTCAAAAGTGAGAAAAAAATTAAGACATGACCAGATAAACAAAAGCTGAGATATCTCCTTATTATTACACATATTCTGCAAAAAATGCTAATGATAGTCATGCAGGTTGAGATGAAAGAACACTTTAGCATAACTAGAAGCAATCAGGAGAAGTAAAGATCTTAGCCAAATAAATATATGAATAATTATAAAAGCTAGTATTATTGTAACAAGGGTGTGTAACTCCAGTTTTTGTTTTCTGCATGATTTAAGCAATTAATACATTTTTCAAAACCCAGACACTTATTAGTTTCAAAGATAGTATTATTGTAACTTTAGGTGGTAGCTTTACATTTGTATTTTACATAACTTAGAAGTTTAATACATTTTAAAATTATTAGCTTATGTTTTTGGACACAATTTATAAAGGTATAATTTTGTGACATCAACAATTGACATGGGCTGAAACAGAGTTATCAAAGGAATAGAGTTTTGGTATGTTATCAAAGTTAGGCTTGTAATTATTCAAATTAGAGCATTATACCTTTCAGCTGTTAAATACCCATGAAAACCACAAAGAAAATATCTTAAAAATAGGTACAAAATGAAATAAGAAAGGAATTTAAATGCTTAACTACAAAAAAAAATCAGATAAGCACACAAATAAATAAAACGATAATGCAGGAAATGAGGAAAATAACAGCATATGGAAAACAAATACCAAAAGGACATAAGTAAGTTATTAACAATTACTTAAAATGTAAATGGCTTAAACATTTCAATCAAAAGCCTGAGATTAATAGAGGGTGTAAAAACACGTGGCCCAACTATATGCTGTCTATAAGAGAGTCACTTTAGATTCAAAGACACATGTAGGTTGAAAGTATAAGGATGGAAAAGGATATTCCATAGAAAAAATAGTAAGCAAATGAGAGGAGGAGCACCTATATTAATATTAGACAAAATAAACTTTAAATAAATAAATTTTACACAAAAGACAACTAAAGACATCTATATTAATAAAAGTTTTAATGCAGCAAGAAGACATAACAATTACAGACAATTACATTTATAGTAATAGATCATAGAAATATAAAGTAAACATTGATGAAATTGAAGATAGAAATAAAAGTTCTACAATAATAGTTGGAGACTTCAATACTCCACTCTCAATAATAGAACAGCCAGACAGAAGATAAGTAAGAAAATAGAGTACTTGTACAACACAACAGATTTAACAGATCTATAAGAACACTCTATCCAATAAAAATAGAATATACATTTTTCCCAAGTGTACAGCTGACATTTCCCAGGATAGATCATATGTTATTCCACAAATCACATCTCAGTATATTTAAAATAATACATATCTTGCATAGTATCTTCTCCAAACAAACTGGGATGGGTTTAGAAATCAACAGTAGGAAAAAACTGAAAGATTCATAATTTTTAAAACATTAAATAATATACTCTTAAACAAGTGAATCAAAGAAGAAATCATGAGGTAACTATGAAATACTTAGAAACAAAAGAAAATGAAAACATAACATGCCAAAGCATAACATACAAAAATTGTGGGACACAGCAAAAATAGTGTTAAATCAATATTTATAACTTTAAGTGCTTACATTAAAAAGCAAAAATGATCTCAAATGAACAATCTAACTTTAAATGTAAGACACTAGAAAATAAATGAAACTAAACCCAAAGCTATCAGAAGGAAAATAATAGTAGGTATCAGAACAGAGATTTTTAAAAAAATATAGAATATAAAATAATAGAGAAAACCAATGACACTGAAAGTTGGTGCTTTGTGAAAACCAACAAAATTGATGTCTTAATAGACATATAATTGGTATGATGATTAAATCAGCAATCAAAAATTTATTGGCAATGAAAAGCCCTGGACCTGTTTGTTTCACCAGTGAGTTCTACAAAATAAAGAATGAATACCAATGCTCCTCAAACTTTCCTAATAATTTTGTAAGGAAATAACGTACTCCAACTCATTCTATTAGTCTAGCATTACCCTGACACCAAAGACAGACACACACAGTTAAAGAGAAGAAAGCTATAGAACAATTTATGTTATAAATACTGATGTAAGGATCTTCATCAAAATACTCAAAAACCAAATTCAGCAACATATTAAAAGAATTATAAACCATGACCAAGTGGAATTTGTTCCTGGAATTCAAGTATAGTTCAACACATAAAAGTCATCAATATAATATATGACTTAACAGAATGAAGGAAAAAAGAACATATGATCATCTTGATAGATGCAGAAAAACAATTTCTCGGAATTCAACCCACTTTCAAAAAAAAAAAAAACTCAACAATCTAGGAATAGAAAGTAATTACCTTTACATAGTGAAATATATATATATTAAAAAAACAGTGAACCTCATCCTTAATGGTGAAAGATTGAAAGCTTTTCTTTTAGACTAAAGAACAAGGCTAGGATGCTTACTTTCTCCATTTCTATTCAACTTAGTACTAGAAATTGGAGTCAGATAAAATAAGGCAGAAAAAATCCAAATTGTAAGGCAAAACAAAATTATTTATTTTCATAGATAACAAGTTACATATGTAGAAAAAAATCTAGATTCCCCTCAAATCAGAACTAATAAAGGATTTTAACAAAGTAGCAGGATAGAGTTGACACAGAAACATCTGTTATGTTTCCATATACTAACAATAAATAATCTGAAAAGAAAATTTAGAAAATGATTCCATTTACAATTGCATCAAGAAGAATAAAATACTTAGAAATTAATTTGACCAAGGAAGTAAAATACTGTATAATTAAAACTTCAAAATATTGCTGAAAATATTAAAGAAGGCATAAACAAATTAAAAGATATCCATGTTCATGGATTGGAAGCCTCAGTATTGTTAAGATGTCAGTATTATCAAAAGCTATCTACAGATTTAATGCAGTCCCAATCAAAAATCACAATGACATGTTTTTTAGAATTAGACAAGCCCATACTAAAATATATATGGAATCTCAAGGGATCCCAAATAGCTAAAACAATCCTGAAAAGGAATAACAAAGCTAGAGGATTCACACTACCAAGCTGATTTCAAAACTCACTATAAAGCAATAGTAATGAAAACAGTGTGGTACTAGCATAAAAAGAGACATACAGACCTATGAAATAGAGTCTAGAAATAAACCTTAAAATATATGTCTAAATGATTTTCCACAAGGGTGCCAAGACCATTTGAAGAGGAAGAGTCAATCTTTACAAAAAATGCTGCTGGGAAAACATATAGTATGTTCGCATAAAAAAGAATAAAGTTGGACCTTACGTAACACCATATATAAAAATGAACTCAATGATCTATGATCTAAATGTAAAACCTGTAACTAAAAATCTCTTAGAATAAAATATAGGACAGAAAATTCAAAACATTTAGTCTTGCAATTATTTTTTGAATATGACACCAAAGGCACAGAAAACAAAATAAAAAGTAGATAAATTGACCTAAGGAATTTTTTTTTAAAATATGCATCAAAACACACTGCCAACACAGTGAAAAGGCAACCCACAGAATGGGAGAAAATGCTTGGAAATTATATATCTGACAGCGTATTATTATACAGAATATACAGAGAACTCTTGAAACTAAACAACAACAAAAAGCAACCCAATTAATATTGTTCAACAAATTGTGCAATGTTCAAAGTCACTAAAAATTAGGGAACTACATATCAAAACTACAATTAGATACCACATCACACTCATTAGAATGGTTACTATAAAAAATGGAAAATATATTGGCAAGCATGTGGGGAAATTAGAACACTTGGACATTGTTGGTGAGAATGTAAAGTGATACAGATGTTTGTGGAAAATAGTATGGTGTTTCCTGAAAACAATAAAAATAGCATATGATACAGCAATTTCACTTCTAGATATTTGCTTGAAAGAATTGAAAAGAGGGTCATAAAGAGATATTAGAACATCCATATTCATAGCAGCCTTATTTACAAAGCAAAACATGGAAGCTACTCTAGTGCCCGTGAATGAATAAATGGATAAGCAAAATGTGATATATGTATTCATTGAAAATTATTCAGCTTTACAAAGGAAGGAAATTATAATATATGTCATAACATAGTTGAATCTTGAGGAAATTATAAGTAAAATATCAATCACAAAACATAAAACATTATATCATTCCACTTACATGAAGTACTTAGAGTAGTTGAAATTATAGAGACAGAAAGTAGAAAGCTTGTTTTCAGGGTCTGAGGGGAGGGGGAAAGAGGTGGTTATTGGTTAATTGCTATAGAATTTCAATTTTTTCAAGAATAAATGAGTTCTGGAAATGGCTGGGAGGAATGGTTGCAAAACAATATGAATGTATTAATACTTACAAATTGTATACCTAGAAGTAGTCAAGACAGTACAATTTTTTGTTATATGTATTTTGCTACAATAAAATATTAGAAATATATATTGCATAGTATGTACATAATAAAAATAATGAATGTTTAATGTATTATATAAAATGTGTATATATTAAGGTAGGTAACAACATATCACATATATATAATATATAAAATTATGTCTATACATTATGAATATCAATATATTCATAGTTTTATACATTTTAATTGCTGAAAAATACCATTGATAGAGGATTTTTTTTCTCCTTTATTAAACTTGCTTCCTGGAAACTGGAGAAATAAACCTCTCTTTCATCTTCCATTGTTCAATTTAGTTTATATTTAGTTGTATGACAAATCTGACACATCATTCATCAACATTTTACCCTTAGTAAGTGGCTAAATATTAGTCAACTGTGATGGCATTACATCAAAATACCAAATATTTTGGTTTAGGCTTTCTCTTAATTTGTAAAAAGTAAAATGCTTTGTCAAAAAACAAATAATGCTATTTTTAACAATAAAATTCTATGCAATAGTTTGACAGATAATTTTATATTTTTTATATCAAGGAAAGAATTATCAGCTAAACAACTTTATCAGTTTTAAAAGAGGCAAAATTTTGTTAGCAGGAATATTCTTGTTCCTGCTTTCTAAGTACAGTATGTCTTATGTTTTACCGCATGGAAACTTTCCTAGCTGGCGTCTGTCAATCAATGAAAGGCTTTACAATAGGCACCAAGGTACAGCTAAAAAAATAATGAATTTCAAACCTTGGGTGCATAGAATAGCAGAAAGAGGACCTTTTATAAAACAGTGGTTTTATGAAATCAGAGGTGGTTTCTCAGGGAAAGCCATTTGTGGTAACTCCCAGACAGGGAAGCTGTCCACCTGAAAGTTTAAAGCATCCTGTATAATCCCTGTTGCCCTATTGATTTCTATCTTAGAGCAGTTGTTCAAAAATGGAAGGATAAGCAAAGAGTAGAAAATCATCAATATCAGAGCAGAAACAGAGGCGAAGAGAAAAACAGACAAAAGTCCTGGGAAAGATTGACAAAGACACTTCATTTTCCAGTTGTTGGTTTACCCGTCTGATTCTACCTAGACATTTATCTCACTTGCAAAAAATTTAATTTTCTATTTCTTGGATCATTTGGAAATGTGAAAGATCTACTTCTTCTTAAAACTCTCCTTGGTGGTCTAGAATGTTCAAGATGTGTTTTTACATTTTTTTTATCTTTTCATATTTTTTTCCATACTCTTTTCAGTTTTGCGGACTTCTACAATCTGTTACCTGTGTAAAGAAATCATTAGTCACATTTGTGCAAGCTAATCTTTGGCTAATCCTATTACGAAGGGAGGGGCAATTTCAAGAAATGCAAGTATGTTCTAATAAATGTAGTTTCCTAACAATGACACCTGCAATAATTTTATCATACAACTTCAAACTGTGGAATCTAAAGAATACGGACAATATACTTTTTTTTTTTAATTTTACTTTAAGTTCCAGGATACATGCATGGAATATGCAGGTTTGTTACATAGGTATACATGTGCCATGGTGGTTTGCTGCACCTATCAACCTGTCATCTAGGTTTTAAGCCCTACATGCATTAGGTATTTGCCCTAATGCTCTCCCTCCCTTTGCCCCCCACTCCCTGACAGGCCCTGGTGTGTGTTGCCCACCTCCCTGTGTCCATGTGTTCTCATTGTTCAACTCCCAATTATGAGTGAGAACATGCAGTGTTTGATTTTCTGTTTCTGTGTTAGTTTGCTGAGAATGATGGCTTCTAGCTTCATCCATTTTCCTGCAAAGAACATGATCTCATTGATTTTTATGGTTGAATAGTGTTCCATGGGATATATGTGCAACATTTTCTTTATCTATTCTATCACTGGTCGGCATTTGGGTTGGCTCTATGTCTTTGCTATCATAAATAGTGCTGCAATAAACATACGTGTACATATATCTTTATAGTAGAATGATTTATAATCCTTTGGGTATATACCCAGTAATGGAATTTTGGATCAAACGGTATTCCTGGTTCTAGATCCTTGAGGAATGGCTACACAGTCTTCTACAATCATTAAACTAATTTACATTCCCACCAACAGTGTAAAAGCATTCCCATTTTGCCACACCCTCACCAGCATCTATTAAAGCAACTGCAACAAAAGCCAAAATTGACAAATGGGATCTAATTAAACTAAAGAGCTTCTGCACAGCCAAGGAAACTAGCATCAGAGTGAACAGGCAGCCTACAGAATGGGAGAAAAACTTTGCAGTCTATTCATCTGACAAAGGTCTAATACCCAGAACCTACAAGAAACTTAAACAAATTTTAAAGAAAAACCAAACATCCCCATCAAAAAATGAGCAAAGGATATGAACAGAGACTTCTCAAAAGAAGACGTTTATGCAGCCAACAAACACAAAAAATAAAGCTCATCATCACTGATCATTAGAGAAATGCAAATCAAAACCGCAGTGACATACCATCCTAGACCAGTCAGAATGGTGATTTTTTTTTTTTTTTTTTTTTTTTTTTGAGATGGAGTCTTGCTCTGTTACCCAGGCTGGAGTGCAGTGGTGTGATCTCAGCTCACTGCAAGCTCCACCTCCTGGGTGGAGCATGCCATTCTCCTGCGCAGCCTCCGGAGCAACTAGGTCTACAGGTCCCCGCCACCATGCCCAACTAATTTTTTGTAGTTTTAGTAGAGACGGGGTTTCACCATGTTAGCCAGGAGGGTCTCAATCTCTTGACCTCGTGATCCACCCGCCTCAACCTCCCAAAGTGCTGGGATTACAGGCGTGAGCCACCACACCTGGCCCAGACTGGTGATTATTAATGTAGTTTTTAAACAATTAAAAAACATTTGTTTTGCCTTCGAAAGAAAATGTATTTTATTTTAATGAAATGTCTACCATCAGTTTTGGAACATTACCTAAGTGAAATAAAGAAGTTTCTAGTAGTTTTGTTCCAAACATAGGAAAAAAAAACCACAAGAAAAAAAACAAACTTTTTTCCTTTACATGTTCTATATCAAGAAGTGAATAATACTGCTCAGAAAGACATCAGAGACCGGGGAAGGCAGAAGAAAACATAACTGAGATACTTGTTAAGAATACCTGAGAAGATACTAATTACATAGTAAAAGGAAAAATCATGGATTTGGAAAAGGAAAGTAATCAAGAAGTCTAACTATCATAAGTAATATGCAAAGAAGGATCCAGATGAATACATTCTGTAAACTCTTGGAAATTTGAGTGTGGAACTTAGGAGAGATACCAAAAAGGAGATACAATGATACACAATTTTATCACCTACAAGATACAGGTAAAGTCATGTGAATAGATGAGACCATTATATTTATATAATATATATATAATATATTTATATATATATATATATAGAGAGAGAGAGAGAGAGACAGAAGGTGAAGAAGAAAATAAAAGAAGAATGAAGATTATGAAGAATGGAGAAAGGAAGAATATGTTTGGTCATAAGTACAGAGGAAGTGACTCACCAGGGAAACATACCAGGTGTTAGAACAAAGAGACCACTCAGGAAAGTTCTGTGTCATGAAGATGTCAGAGATGCATGAGTTAAGGAAGAAGGTGGGGTGATAAGAGAATAACAGGTAGAGGAGAGACCTTGACTTCATTCATGGTTACTAGAGCCTATCTCTGTAAATACATCTAATAGGTTTGTATGGGTAAACCATTCATTAAGAACAATGCGTACATGTTTTGGATGATTCTTTCTGTGCTTGTACTTGAAATAAAGCAGAATGTCTTCTGGTGTTGTATACTTACCAAATCAGAAAATAGTGAAGTATGAAACTATAGAATTCAACGTGCAATTTGTATTTATATGTCTAGAAGACTGATTATAATCTTTAGTAATGAAATTTGATTTGGTAGTTAAATAATAAATACTACTTGGTTATGTGGGAAGGATAAAGGAAGACATTCCAAAGAGTTCGGAGACACATTTGGGAAAGAGTAAAAAATTTAAAACAAACAAATAAAAAAACGTAAAGGCACAAATGGCAATGGAGTGTCTATGGAGGTTTGAGAAACAATGAAGAGGTAAGCCTGGCTAAAATGGGATAACTATGCTGAGAAAGTGTGAAAAACATAAATTTGGGAGAAACAGGTAATAAACAAATGTATTAGATTGGTGTAAAAGTAATTGCGGTTAATAAAAGGCTTTACAAATATAATAGTTTTGGATTTGTGAATAGATAACTAGCTCTTATTGAACAGTCTTTAATCTGGAAAAAAATATTTTTTGGGAGATGATTATTTGCAAGATTTTAGAGACACTGTTGATGGTGTTGGTGGGCAGAGAGGGAAGAAAGATTCAATGGTGAGCACATCCTGAAAGCAGAGAGATAAGCCAGTAAAGGGCTCCTGAGAGGTGGCAGCCACAGGAATGAAAGGGAAAAATCTAAATTAAAATGATTGAAGCAAATTATTGCAATAGAAGAAAAATAGACAGTGTGATGGGATACTGGTCTACCACACAGATTTGGTTTAAGCTAAGATACTAAAGAAGCCAAAAACTTAGAATTGGTTATTTTCAATGGTAACTAGTAAGCAAATCGGTAATTGTGCATGCTTAAATATAGTATTCCAGCCAACACACTTGAAAGTATACGGAAAGGGATAAATAAAATACATTTTTCACCTCAATTAGAACAGGGGAAATTATTTAAGGGATTGTGAGTCTGAGACTCTAATTTTATGATTATGCTTTCCTCTTTTAAAGAATAATAAGAGATAAGATAATTTTAAGTATATACTAGGATTTGTCCTTTACTTATGTATTTATCCACTTATTTATTCAGTTATTAATCAACATATTGAAATTTTAACATAAAAATAGGATTCATTTAAAAAAGAACCTTTACTTTTCAATTAATATTGGTGAGATAGCCATAATCTTTTACAGTTCAATATGAAAATTAAAATATATCACAATACCAGTTTTATTTTCTCCCTTTAAATCTCTATTTTTCAGGAATATTAGTAAATATTAAAACTTATCCAACAACTAAACTGGTGTGCTTAAGGAGACTATGTTTTAAATTTAAAGAAGTTTTCTCATAATGAATTTATTAACTTCCTGTGCTTTATACCAACTATACTCATCTTTCAGGAACTGATGGCCTTTGTTCCTCCTTGCTGTGACTCCAGTCTTCTGTCTTCCATCCCAATGTGTTCCTTAAATCCATTTGCACACTTCCCCATACAAGATCCGTGATACTTTCATTAGAGATAAAAATCCTCTCAGGCTTATTCATTTCCTATAAAACCCAGTTTAATGCTTTCCCTTTTTGTGAATAAATCCCTTATTTATGTTTGGGAAAATGTCCTACTCTCCAAATTTTTGTTGCCTTTCCTTTGCGTTGGAAAGTACTGCACAAATATTTATCTTGTCTTGTACATTCGTAGGCTGAACCTGTACCTCTTTTATTACATTCTCCTGAAAAGCCAAACTCTAAAAGTAGAGCAGAGTTTATTTTCTCTACTGTTAAGTTTCTTTGTTTCCCATCTCAAGAAAATCATATACGTAGAATGATTGCAGAAAATGTGGAATATGGTGTTTTCTGTTGGGACATATTGAGGAATTTCAGTAGAAAAATGGTCATTGTTTTATCTGAAAACAATTCGTGAAATCTTTAAAATTTATGATGGCAGAATGAACAATAGATGGTGAGTAAAAAAGATTCTATTTGAGTGCCTATAAGGGTGAAAAGTATTCTGTCCCCCAGGCATACATATTTTCTCTGCTGGATTTCATTGAAAGCTGACTTTTTGTTAGAAAAGGTAATAGCCTAGAGTTATGATCTCAATAGCATAAAACACTGCAGCCAATTTTAGATGAACTTGCTACTAGGAATATTTTATTGATTATATGCCCAATTGTCTGCAAAGATTAATAAGATGGCAAAAAAAAAAAGAATTACAATATCTAATTCAATAATCTTTCATGGATTACAATAAAGTATCTATCATTTCAGCACAGATTTTTATTATTTTCTTTATACTTCTTTTCTGGATATTCTCTGTGTGACCTTCTACTGAACTATTTTGACTAGGTGTGAAGATCATTCCATCAAATTAATAGAGGAAAAAAAGGCTCTGCTTTCATTATAGTCTGAAATATCTATTTGTTCAATATACTAAAAACAGATACCTACTAGCACAGCAAGTTTTCTTTCTTGAATAATAGTTTTCTAACTGGATTTTGAAAATGTTTTTAAGAAAATCTGTCCAGTTTTCTATTATGTTCAGTTAGTTTTAAATAATTTTCCAGGAAAATATTTTCAAATTTCCCATTATTATATAATTACACTATATTTTTCTGAAAAGTATTTAGAAATGGACTCATCTATTTTGGTAGCAAATATGGATCTGAACAGGAATTTTATAATACTTAATTTCATACTTACGTGAAATTATATATTTAATAACAGGGAGATGGTTTTATTTTATTTCACTGGCCTACCACAGTTTCCAATTGAAGATTGACTTGTTCTGCATACATTGAATAGTTTTTTCAAGTAGTATATTATAACATACAAATAACTTCCCATATATCACTGGGCATATACCTGACTCTTGCTAAATGATTGTGAATAAATAAAATAATGTATAGCAATCAAGGAACTATAGGGAAACAGCCTGTTGCATGGCAGGAGTGATGTCATCTTGAAACTAAGCAGGTATAATGACTGATATTTGACTCCTGCTAGCAAGGTGTTCTGCAAGGCCAAGAAACAATGCCTGTAGCATAGATAATCCCTCATAAAGATGCTATCTAACTTCCTCAGCAAACAAGAGTTTCATAAAATGGTCTGAGACATGACCAGCTGCACATATTTTACCAAAAAAGCTTGCTATATAAAGAATACTTTCTGGAGGTTGGTGTGGGATCTACCATCCCACGGCCAAGACCTTGCTTCTGTTCATAAGCCCCTATTAAATGTTTCTTTCATGCGCGTCTGTGTGAAGAGACCACCAAACAGGCTTTGTGTGAGCAACATGGCTGTTTATTTCACCTGGGTGCAGGCGGGCTGAGTCCAAAAAGAGAATCAGTGATGGGAGATAAGGGTGGGGCCGTTTTATAGGATTTGGGTAGGTAAAGGAAAATTACAGTCAAAGGGGGTTTGTTCTCTGGCGGGCAGGAGTGGGGGTCACAAGGTGCTCAGTGGGGGTGCTTTTTGAGCCAGGATGAGCCAGGAAAAGGACTTTCACAAGGTAATGTCATCAGTTAAGGCAAGGACCGGCCATTTACACTTCTTTTGTGGTGGAATGTCATCAGTTAATGTGGGGCAGAGCATATTCACTTCTTTTGTGATTCTTCAGTTACTTCAGGCCATTTGGTCATATATGTGCAAGTCACAGGGGATGGGATGGCTTGGCTTGGGCTCAGAGGCCTGACATTCCTGCCTTCTTATATTAATAAGAAAAATAAAACAAAATAGTGTTGAAGTGTCGGAGTGGCGAAAATTTTTGGGGGGTGGTATGGAGAGAGAATGGGCGATGTTTCTCAGGGCTGCTTCAAGCGGGATTAGGGGCGGCGTGGGAACCTAGAGTGGGAGAGATTAAGCTGAAGGGAGATCTTGTGGTAAGGGGTGATATTGTGGGGATGTTAGAAGGAACATTTGTCATATAGAATGATTGGTGATGGCCTGGATACGGTTTTGTATGAATTGAAAAACTAAATGGAATAACAGAAGGAGAAAAACAGGTATAAAAGTTCTAAGAATTGGGACGACTCAGGATTATCTGATTAGAGAGTGCTTAAGGAGATTCGGCATAGTCCTGCCAGCAAAGATTATTTATTTACTTCAAGAGTTAAGAGTGGCAGTTTGGGGATAGCACCAGGAGATATCAGCTGTGATGGCTTGGAAAAACAGTGTAAACCGGCTAAACAAGAGCAGGGCATGTATGAGTAGTTGAGAACGGTGAATAGGAGTATGACTAGACAGAAGATAGGGATGACAAGTTTTTTTGGGACACAGTCTAAGTTGGTCTGGTGTCTGGAATGAGACTGGGGCCTAATAAAAAGGAGCGTCTATACAGGAGCTTAAATGGGCTGTACCCTGTAGCATTCCGAGGACAGGCCTGAATTCTGAGAAGGAAATGTAGTAAAAGTATTGTCCAGTCCTTTTTAAGTTGGTGAACTTGGTGAGGTGTGTATTTAAAAGACCTTTAGTCCATTCTACTTTTCTTGAAGATGGAGGACCGTAAGGGATATAAAGGTTTCACTGAATACTAAGAGCCTGAAAAACTGCTTGCCTGATTTGACTAATAAAGGCTCATCTGTTATCAGACTGTATTGAGGTGGGAAGGCTAAACTGAGGAATTATGTCTGACAGAAGGGAAGAAATGACTGCGGTGGCCTTCTCAGACCCTGTAGGAAAGGCCTTTACTTATTCAGTGAAAGTGTCTATTTAGACTAAGAGGTATTTTAGTTTCCTGACTTGGGCATGTTGAGTAAAGCTAATTTGCCAGTCCTCGAGCTTGATGTGTAGGGAAGGGATGGGGCCTGAATAATCCCTGAGGAGTAGTAGAATAGCAGATGGAACACTGAGAAGTTATTTCCTGGAGGATAGATTTCCACGATGGAAAGGAAATGAGAGGTTTTAAGAGGTGGGCTAGTGGCTTGTACTATAGCATAACCTGCCTTTCTGGTGTGTGGCGATTAGGCCTGGTGGAACAGCCATCAATAAATCAAGCGTGATCAGGGTGAGGAACAGGGAAGAAGGAAATTTGGGGAAATGGGGTGAATGTCAGGTGGATCAGAGAGATACAGTCATGGGGGTCAGGTGTGGTATCAGGAATAATGTGCGAGGCCGGATTGAAGTCTGGGCCAGGAACAACAGTAATTGTGGGAGACTCAACAAAGAGTGAGTATAGCTGAAGGAGCCGGGAAGCAGAAAGTATATGCATCAGGTATGAGGAAGAAAATAGATTTTGGAAGTTATGAGAACTGTAGAGAGTGAGTTGAGCATAGTTTGTGATTATGAGGGCCTCTAAAAGTATTAGGGCAGCAGCAGCGGCTGCACAGAGACATGATGGCCAGCCTAAAACAATAAGGTCAAGTTGTTTGGACAAAAAGGCTACAGGACGCGATCGTTGTCCTTATCTAAGAATTCCGACTGCACAGCCCTGCACTTCGGCTGTGTGTAATGAAAAGGGTCGGGATGAGTCAGGGAGAGCTAGGGTGGGGGCAGTTTCTAAAGCTGTCTTCAAGGAATGGAAAGAGGAGTGGGGAAAGGATTTAGGATCTATGGGGTCAGCTAGGTTTCCTTTTGTGAGTTTATATAATGGTTTTGTTAGGATGGCAAAACCAGGTATCCAAAGGCGAAAGTATCCAACCATGCCCAGGAAGGAAAGGAGTTGTTGTTTTGTAGAAGTGGTTAGGGTTTGAGAGATCAGTCGGACACAATTGGCAGGGAGAGTACGTGTGTTTTTATGAGAATTATGCTGAGATAAGTAACAGATGAGGAAGAAATTTGGGCTTGATTGAAGTAATGGGGGCTGTCTGTGAAGCTTTGCAGCAGTACAGCCTAGGTAATTTGCTGAGCTTGATGGGTGTCAGGGTCAGTCCAAGTGAAAGCAAAGAGAGGCTGGGATTAAGGGTGCAAAGGAGTAGTAAAGAAAGCATGTTTGAGATCTAGAACAGAATAATGGGTTGTAGAGGCAGGTATTGAGGATAGGAGAGTATATGGGTTTGGCACCACGAGGTGGATAGGCAAAACAATTTGGTTGATAAGGCGCAGATCCTGAACTAACTTGTAAGGCTTGTCTGGTTTTAGGACAGGTAAAATGGGGGAATTGTAAGGAGAGTTTATAGGCTTTAAAAGGCCATGCAGTAGCAGGCGAGTGATAACAGGCTTTAATCTTTTTAAAGTGTGCTGCGGGATGGGATATTGGCATTGAGTGTGGTAAGGGTGATTAGGTTTTAATGAGATGGTAAGGGGTGCATGATCGGTCGCCAAGGAGGGAGTAGAGGTATCTTATACTTGTGGGTTAAGGTGGAAGGATACAAGAGGAGGACGCAAAGGAGGCTTTGGATTGGGAAGAAGGGCGGCAATGAGATATAGCTGTAGTCCAGGAATAGTCAGGGAAGCAGATAATTTAGTTAAAGTGTCTCAGCCTAATAAGGGAACTGGGCAGGTGGGGATAACTAAAAAGGAGTGCTTAAAAGAGTATTGTCTAAGTTGGCACCAGAGTTGGGGAGTTTTAAGAGGTTCAGAAGCCTGGCCGTCAATACCCACAACAGTTATGGAGGCAAGGGAAACAGGCCCTTGAAAAGAAGGTAATGTGGAGTGGGGAGCCTCCGTATTGATTAAGAAGGGGACAGGCTTACCTTCCACTGTGAGAGTTACCCGAAGCTCGGTGTCTGTGATGGTCTAGGGGGCTTCCGAGGCGATCGGGCAGTGTCAGTCTTCAGCCGCTAAGCCGAGAAGATCTGGGAAGGAGTCAGTCAGAGAGCCTTGGGCCAGAGTTCCAGGGGCTCTGGGAGTGGCTGCCAGGTGAGTTGAATAGTCCGATTTTCAGTGGGGTCCCACACAGATGGGACGCGGCTTAGGAGGAATCCCGGGCTACGGGCATTCCTTGGCCCGGTGGCCAGATTTCCAGCACGTGTAGCAAGCTCCTGGGGGAGGAGGTTCTGGAGGAATGCCTAGCTGCTGCGGTTCAGGCATTTGGAAGTTCTTGTGTGCTGGAGATGCGGCTGGGGTTTGTCTCACAGTGGAGGCAAGGAATTGCAACTTTTTTTCTGTTATTGTACACCTTGAAGGTGAGGTTAATTAAGTCCTGTTGTGGGGTTTGAGGGCCAGATTCCAATTTTTGGAGTTTTATTTAATGTCGGGAGCAGATTGGGTAATAAAATGTATTTTGAGAATAAGACGGCCTTTTGACCTTTTAGGGTCTAGGGCTGTAAAGTGTCTCAGGGTTGCTGCCAAACGAGCCATGAACTGGGCTGGATTTTTATATTTGATGAAAAAGAGCCTAAACACTATCTGATTTGGGATAAACAAAAAGGAAAGGAGCATTAACCTTGACTATGCCTTTAGCTCCAGCCACCTTTTTAAGAGTAAATTGCTGGGCAGGAGGGGGAGGGCTAGTCGGACCAGGTGTGAGGAGGGGAGGTGATAAAAAGATTATAGGGTGGAGGAGCAGAGGCTGAGGAAGAATTGGGACCTAGCTCGGCCTGGTGAGGAGCAGCCTGGGGAGGAAGGGAGAGGTCAGATGGGTCTGTAGAAAAGGAAGATTAGAAAGACTCAGCGACGCTTGGGATTGGTACTGAGGAGACAGGCGGGAGGGAAAGAAGGAAGATTTGGGACCAGTTGCACTGGTCACAGAGACCAGGAAGGGACTGATGTGTAAAAGAATGCCTGGACATCAGGCACCTCAGACCATTTGCCTATTTTACGACAAGAATTACTTAGATTTTGCAGGATGGAAAAATTCAAAGTGCCATTTTCTGGCTATTTGGAACTACTGTCGAGTTTATATTGGGGTCAAGCAGCATTGCAGAAGAAAATAAGGCATTTAGGTTTTAGGTCAGGTGTGAGTTGAAGAGGTTTTAAGTTTTTGAGAACACAGGCCAAGGGAGTAGAAGGAGGAATGGAGGGTGGAAGGTTGCCCATGGTGAAGGAAGTAAGCCTAGAGAAAAGAGAGTAGAGAAATGGAGGGAAGGGGTTCGGGGGTTCTTACCTTCCAGAAAAGTGGGAAAAGGGGTTGTGGCACAGAAATAAGGGATGGGGTGCAGAAATAAGAGGTTGGGGCGTGGAAATAAGGGATTGGGGCGCAGAGATATAAGAGGTTGGGGCGCGGAAATAAGGGATTGGGGGGCAGAGATATAAGAGGTTGGGGCATGGAAATAAGGTATTGGGGCACAGAGATAAGAGGTTGGGGCGCAGAAATAAGGGATTGGGGGTTCTTGCCCCGTAGAAAAGCAGGACTTGCCACTAAGGGTGAAGGAGAAGGGGTTGAGGGGTACTTGTCCGTCCCCCAGAAAAGCAGAGAAGGGGTAGAGACAAGGAGAGAAGGGGTTGGGGTACTTGCTCCTTCCCCAGAAAAGTGGGACTTGACACTAAGGGTGAAGGACCAAGGCAGGCGTCCCTGCGTGGTCTGACACCTTTGAAACGTGGGTGAATAATCAGAGAGGTGTCCCTGCAATGATTAAACACCAAGGGAAGGCTGCCTTCCCAGTCCGTGACCAGCGCCGGAGTTTTGGGTCCACGGATAAAACGTGTCTCCTTTGTCTCTACCAGAAAATGAAAGGAATTGAAATTAAGAGAAGGGAGAGATTGAAGTGTGGCACCAAGATTGAAAGGAGAAAGAGGTTGAGGGATAGTGAGGGAGGTTGGAGAAGAGAGTAAAAAGAGGCCGCTTACCGGATTTGAGATGTTTCTTGGGCTGGTCTGTCTGACGACCTGAGGTCGTAGGTGGATCTTTCTCATGGAGCAAAGAACAGGAGGACGGGAGATTGATCTCCCAAGGGAGGTCCCCCATTCTGAGTCACAGCACCAAATTTCATGCGCGTCCGTGTGAGGAGACCACCAAACAGGCTTTGCGTGAGCAACATGGCTGTTTATTTCACCTGGGTGCAGGCGGGCTGAGTCCAAAAAGAGAATCAGCGATGGGAGATAAGGGTGGGGCCGTTTTATAGGATTTGGGTAGGTAAAGGAAAATTACAGTCAAAGGGGGTTTGTTCTCTGGCAGGCAGGAGTGGGGGTCGCAAGGTGCTCAGTGGGGGTGCTTTTTGAGCCAGGATGAGCCAGGAAAAGGACTTTCACAAGGTAATGTCATCAGTTAAGGCAAGGACCGGCCATTTACACTTCTTTTGTGGTGGAATGTCATCAGTTAAGGTGGGGCAGGGCATATTCACTTCTTTTGTGATTCTTCAGTTACTTCAGGCCATCTGGTCATATATGTGCAAGTCACAGGGGCTGGGATGGTTGGCTTGGGCTCAGAGGCCTGACAGTTTCTTTCTGAGAAACTGGATTTGTCAGTCCCTTTCTTTGGCCTCTCAGCTCCCTTGACCTTTATAGGTAGGTCTGAATATACCTGCTCAGAGTGGAACATACATCGTTATCTAATCTACTAGAAGAGACATGAAGGCATGTAAGGAGTGAAAAAGGATTACAGAGTAATTTACGGGGAATATTGTTAGATGTAGGCAGGAATATTGGAGCAACGACAGTTTCTTCTCAGAAGAGGTGTGCGGCATAAATATTTTAGATCCTTACAAGAGTCACAATTGGAAAACCATAAATTAATCGACTAATCATCTAATGAAACATCTTTGTTTTTTAGGTGAGAAAATTGTATTCCAGAAGGTTAAAGGAAAGAGTTGAAAGTCATATAACTTCTTATTGTTAACCCTGTGGTGATGATTCACAACTCCTGGCACCTTAGTTAATTTTTAAAATTATAACAATAATGGAGTTTACATTTTAAAATGATTTTTAATATTAAAAAATATACAGAATACAGATTAACAATTGAATTGACAGACATACCAGCCAATAGCTTTCCAACTATCAGTTAACAGAATGATGCTATCTTACTGTGAGGATTCTGGGCTTACAGCATTCGTTTCCAGCATAACAGTGATGATATGCTTTATTTATTGAGTTTCCTCATAATAACATGTTAAATATACATTTCATATTTACTTTTTATGATTATGGAAGTAATGTACTAACCCTTCATGAAAAAATGAAAAAATATCAGGACGATGTAAAGGCAAAAAGACACATCACACATCTCATTCAAAAATGAGTTATATTAGTATATTTCATATTAATATTTTTCTTTCACAAATATTGATTTATAGTTATATTTTATAACATTAGAGCTATAATATACAATAACTTAGGTGTCTGACTCTTTACTTTGGCATTTAATGCAGTTGACAACTGTGTAATATATTTCTTTGCATGGATACAGTAAAGTTTATCCAAACCATTTAAGTGAATCTAGTTTCAGCATATGTAATGTTTGAATGCACAGCACTGTGTAAAGGTATTTATACACATATCTAATTATTTTCTCATCTTAAATTCCTGAAATTTAGTTACCTGGTCAAAGTATTAAAATTACTTTAAGGATTTAGACCTTTGTCTATGCTGCTTACTTTCTGAAAATATTTCAGCTTATACTTTATCAGTGGTGGATATTAGTTCTATTTTTACTAAACTTTACTAAACATTTAGTGTTACCTAGGGGGAAAAAAAAGCAATTTGATAGGAGTAAAGTGTATCTCATTAAAGTCTTGTACTATACTCCTGCTGATGCTGTAACAAATTTCCACAAATGTACTATTATATAATAATGTACATTTAAGGTTTTAACAGTTCTGGAAATCAGAAGTTCAGAATAGCTCTTACAGCACGAAAATCATCAGAGGTTCTGCAGAGTTGCATTCTTTTTAGAGGCTATTAGGAGAGAATCTGTTCAATGCCTCTTCCAATGTCTAGGGCCTGCCTGCATCTCTTGGCTAGTGGCTGCATTTCTCTGATTTCTGCTTCCATCGTCATATCTCCTTCCATGACTCATTTGTTTCCACCTTCTGTCTTATAAGCACCATTGTGATTATATTGGTCCTACCCAATAAATCCAGGATAATCTTCCATTTTATGATCCTTAACTTAATCACATCTGTAGGGTCCCTTTTGCCATGTAAGATAACATATTCATAGATACAGGCAAGCAGGAAGTGGACATCTTTGGGTGGTTATCACTTGGTCTACCACAAACTTCTTTTGCATTACATGTTTATTGCTCATTTGAGCTTCTACTGTAAAATATCAATCACTTAATCATTTATTTAGTACTATCTTATTCTAAGAAAATATTTAATTTCGCTTAAGAAAAAAGTGTATAATAATGTCACAATATTAAATGTTTTAATGTAAAAAAAATGAGGTCAAAAAAGTAAGAGTAGGAAATTCAAGCTAGCATTAAAGCTACTAAATAAAGAGCCTGAAGAATCCCAAAGACCACCACTCTAAGGCACAGATACACTAATATTAGCATTTGCACCCAAATTTCACATTTTTCTTTACCTCTCACCATCATAAGTGTAGGAACTGGTGTCCCTGAGAATTTCTCCTTAAGCATTCTTACGGGTTCAATATGTCTCAGTGTTGAGGATGGACATGCTTCAAGCCAATGTTCTTTTACCAGGCTGCACCGTGTCTTTGCTGTCTCCACTGGTGCTCTGCTGGGCCAGCTACCACTGTCGCTCTGGGAAGAACATGTCTTTCTCTAGCACAATGCTCAGGCTGCTATAACTGCAAAACTGTAGGTGCAGTCCTTCCTCAGGGTGTTGGAGCACAAATGGGAAGATAAATTATGTCTCCTACTGTGTGTTTCCCATTGGTACCTGGGTCCAGAGGAGCATTGTTTATAGCCAGAGTCGCACAAGATTCCTCTTGGAAAAAGCTTCTGAAGCTTTTCTGTACCACTCCAGAAGGACTTACAGGGCAAAGTCCAGTGGGAAGGCTAGATCTGGGTAACAGAACAGACATTGTCATGCCCTATCATTGTGCTACTGTTCCCTTTCTTTTGAGATGGGGTTTCACTCCCATTGCTCAGGCTGGAGTGCAGTGGCATGATCTTGGCTCACTGCAGCCTCAACTTCCTGATTTCAAGTGATCCTCCCATCTCAGCCTTCCATGTAGCTGGGACTACAGACATGCGCCACCATGCCCAGCTAATTTTTTGTATTTTTAGTAGAGACAGGGTTTCACCAGGTTGCCCTGTTTGGTCTTGAACTCCTAGGTTCAAGAGATCCTCCCGTCTCAGCCTCCCAATGTGCTGGGATTACAGATGTGAGCCACTGCACTGGGCCTACTGTTCCCTTTCTTGTTTGCCACACTCCCAGAGAAGTTGACCACAGTGTTTTTGTTGTCGTTTCTTGTTTGTTTGGTTTCTGTAACCTTTTTAGCAGCCAACATCAGAAAGAAAACTCAATACATTATGAGGTTCACAGCAATCAACATAAACAAATGATTTGTTTCTTAGGAGAAACACAACCACTCTTCATATCAAGACAAGTGAAACATTTCTCCTGTTGTTTTATAAAAGGTGACACTTCTGTGCAACGAATTTGATATGACCAAGAGTTTCATAGTTAAAATTTTTATGTCTCCCAAAACAGACTGTACTGATGGAAACAAACATGGCTTTTGCAGGAATGAATTTTATCGCAAATTATGATTTATGTAATTTTAATTAATTATATAAATAAACATTTTTAGTTATATAAAATTCTAATTATATAAATTATATAAATTTTCTAAAAATTTTTGTATTTTTAGAAAAGACGGGATTTGGCCATATTGGCCAGGCTGGTCTCCTACTCCTGACCTCAAGTGATCCACCTGCCTCAGCCTCCCAAAGCGCTGGGATTACAGATGTGAGTGATTGCGCCTGGCCTATCAGTATCATTTTCAAAGGAAAATTTAATTATATAAATTATATGGTTTATATAATTATACTTTTATAATTATTGCAAATTATGACATCATGTGAAATCATGACAAGTGATTTGTGGGTTTTTTCAGGGTGCAGAGGTGAATACATTTGAATGCTGCACACTTTATATTGCTCTTGTAGATGTACAAATCACCTTAGTTTATTATCAGGCTCTGAGGAGTCTTGTGGAAGAGAATTATTTTTACCTTAGGTGAGCTTAGTGTGTTCCTAACGTTTTATCACAGAAATTTTCCTTTATGTTTCTCTACTAATAATTCTGGGAATATTAATCTTCACATGAACACAATTTGAGGAATACTTGCCAATGAAATTGGAAGGTATATCCTACAGAGTTCTCCATAAATATTGCTTGTCACAGTCAAGTTTTTGAAATTTCTTGAGTGGAAACAGGTTCAAGATTATATTCTGACAAAGTCCACAAATGTAGTTATTCTACCGAGGGTAGGGTTGGCCTTCATTATGAAAATAATAAAAGCACCCAGAACAGATATCGTCTGATTGGAAGGAGTGTTTCAGCCTTCACATTGGAAATACAGTTTGTCTGAGAGTGAAAATCTTAGAAGAACATATTTTTCCTTAAGTTTTTGTATTCATTGTTGCTTTAATTTCAAGCATTTACCAATGTTAAAGAAATGCAGAGTTTTTCCTGGCATGTGTTAATTAATAATCTGGTTTTACTTCCTTCATGTCTTCTCTTCACTGAGTACTTATAGTTCTTTTTCTCCTAAAAACTTGTCATGTGTTCTAGATAAATGGTTAAGTTATTTTGTTTTAAATATTAGTATAATTTCCTTTTTGTTTTGTTTTATTTTTTGAGATGGAGTCTCACTCTGTCCCCCATGTTGGAGTGCAGTGGCGTGATCTCAGCTCACTTCAGCCTCCACCTCCTGGGTTCAAGCGATTCTCCTGTTTCAGCTTCCCTAGTAGGTGGGATTACAGGTGACCACCACCACACCCGGCTAATTTTTGTATTTTTAGAAAAGACGGGATGTAGCCATATTGGCCAGGATGGTCTCCTACTCCTGACCTCAAGTGATCCACCAGCCTCAGCCTCCCAAAGTGCTGGGATTACAGGCGTGAGCCACTGGGCCTAGCCTATCAGTATCATTTTCAAATGAAAAATATTTATTTCCAGTTTTATTTCTGATGACTGCTTTTGTTTCTGTTCTGCATTTTTTTTTTTCCTGAGGAACACCTACTATTAGGCTTCCATGTTGTTTCATCATATCTATCACCTTCTTGTTGACTGGTTTTATCTCTTTGGTCTTTTCTGCTATTCTAGGAAAAGGATAGCTTCTCAAATTTATCCTCCTCATAACTGTGCCATAGTCATTCCAATCCTTACCATCTCCAGGGAGGCATTTAATTTTCATAATACAATATGTATTTCCTTTTGATCATTTTGTTCCATTCCAACTCTTTTCTTTTTGGTTTGTGTCGTCATATCATTTTTTTTTAGCTCAGCCTCTTCTGTCCTTTTGCCTGTTTTTTTTTTTTTTTATGTGTGTGTGTGTGTGTGTTCCTAGAAATTGAGACTCTCACCTCCCACTAAAAGATGTAAAATTTTTCTGAATTTTTATCTCTGCTCTTTTTTCAAGTAATTTTCATAGCTGTCATATTTTACTGAATCTACAATAGTTAACTCTATGATGCATCATTATTTTTTGTATAGCTAAGAGAGAAAAAATATTGCAAATTAAGTTGTAAAGTTTCTTAACGCATTGATTGTTAGCTGAGTCCTAATTTCAGACATGTTAAAATATATTAAAATTATGTGTATTAGGATAAATGAAACAATATATTATTTTTCTGAAGCTTCAATATGTTATTCTTGAGTTTTTTTAAACTGTTTTTTTCCTATTATTTGTGATTGCTTTAGTTATGTTAAATAAAATTTATGGGAAGCCATTGTTTTAAACTGAGATGCTGCACATGGCCGAAAGAGACCAGACCAAATCATGAGAGTCACTTGTGCTTGGTGCCATGTAATAAAATGTAACTTAGAAATTGGCCAGTTTTCCAAAAATAGGACATTTATAGCAACCAATAAAAAGGGGCCCAGTCAACATGAATCTGCATGATAAGAAGGTTCCCTCTGCCTTAGTCCTTTAAGGAAATGCACTTTGAAAGGGCCAGTCTCCTTTCTGTTCCCGGTTTTGGCTTTCTTCAACCTTTTCTGTTTGTAAAGGCTCATCCTCTCTATTCAGCTCACAGGAGCGCCATTCTGTTTTATAGATGACATGCTACCTGATTCATGGATCATTTAAAAAAGCCAATTTGATCATTAAATTCAATTCGTTAACATTTTGTTTTTTGACATTTATTTTTGAACAATAAAATTTATAGGGACTCTACTTGACAGGAAAAGGGTGTGTGGATCTCCTTTTCTTCTATTCACTGTACACCTGCCTGATAGTATTCAGCAATAGAATGCTCAAACCTCCCACCTCTGAATCTTTACACTTACTGTTCTTTCCAGCTAGAATGTAGTTTTTGTTTTGCTTCTTAATATAGAAGTCCAGTGGTGCTCTCTCTCACCTCCTTCCAGGTGGTTCAAATGTCACATTCTCAATATGGGCTTTAATACCAGCTTATTTATTATTGTTATTATTATTATTATTATTATTATTATTATTTTGAGACAGTCTTGTTCTTTTGCCCAGGCTGGAGTGCAGTGGCACAGTCTCGGCTCACTGCAACCTTCGCCTCCCGGATTTAAGCGATTCTCCTGCCTCAGCCTCCTGAGTAGCTGGGACTACAGGCATGTGCCACCACACCTGGCTAATTTTTATATTTTCAGTAGAGATGGGTTTTAACCATGTTACCCAGACAGGTCTCGAACTCCTGACCTCAAGTGATCCGCCTGCCTCAGCCTCTCAAAGTTTGGGGATTACATGCCTTTTTAAAAATTTAATAATCGATTTTCTCAGCAGCTTCTAATGTTTTTCTCTGCTTATTTTTTTTTCATAGCACTTCTTGCCTTCTTTATATCATCTGTTTCCTCTGAAAGAATGTAAGTGCCATGTATTTTGTCCACTGTGTTTACTGCTGTCTCAAGTATATAATGTTCTCCACTTAATACATACTCAATAAATAAATTTCTTTTGTAATAAATGAATGGTAAGTCTAAGTATCACTGTGACTATTTTACACGTGAGAAAACTGAGGCGTAGAATTACAGACAATGAGTAACAAAGCTGGGATTCCAATGTAAGTCAGTCTGATTTAAAGTCTATGCTCTTAGCATCTAGCTGGACTTGATAATAATGGTTGTGAAAATCTTCTTTAATATTTTAGTTTTGGATGTCAGGTAGATTTTAATATGTGTGTGGTTATTCTCTCACTTACCTAATCTCAAACTGTGGATCAATATTCCTGGTGGTTAAGGGACTTTCACCACACACAGATAACTCTGTGCACCTATTTCTGAATTCCACTAAGTACGATCACTGGACACATAAACCTTCCACTTCATATCATCACAAAGGTTCGAAAAAATTATTAAAAAAAAAATCACCAGAACAAAAATGAATCTTTAAATTTTATTGGAAATTCTTGGTGCTTGAATGGCATTAAGAAATTGAAAGATCAACCCCATAAACTGTTATATCAGGCTCTGTGATAGACAGGAATAGATATTATTGGCACCTGTGTAGGTATCAAGTACTCTATGTATTGCTAACGTCATCTGGGTTTTATGTAGATAGTACTGTGTGCTTTAGCATATTAATGTTCTTCTCATGCTAAGCAATTTGTTTCTAATTTCCTATTTAGGCCATTGTATACACTAATTAGAGAAGCTGCCATAACTGGGTAATAAAAATATTTTCGGCCGGGCGCGGTGGCTTACACCTGTAATCCCAGCACTTTGGGAGGCCGAGGCCGGCGGATCACGAGGTCAAAAGATCCAGACCATCCTGGCTAACACGGTGAAACCCTGTCTCTACTAAAAATAGAAAAAAAAATTAGCAGGGTGTGGTGGCGTGTGCCTGTAGTCCCAGCTACTCGGGAGGCTGAGGCAGGAGAATGGCGTGAACCTGGGAGGTGGAGCTTGCAGTGCGCCGAGATCGTGCCACTGCACTCCAGCCTGGGCGACAGAGTGAGACTCCGTTTCAAAAAAAAAAAAAGAAATTCTTCAGAGAAAAAGCAAGGTGAAAATAACTAGAAGCAGAAAATGAGAAAGGTAAAATAAAGTAGGAACTAGTTTGGGATCTTGTTGCTTTTTAAATCCAACTTCTAAATTGACTTCTAAATTTGACTTTGTCTATGAATTTTAGACTTACGGGTTTTCAAAATAAATGCCTTTATTTTTCTGGATAGCACCATTTATGACAGAATCTACTAGGAAAGTCAAAGTGGTGTTAGGGCTCAAAAGTATGAAATAATGCAAATTTTATTCAGAGTGCTTTTCAAGGCTACTGCAGAAGACTTTTCTACTTTCTTAGGTATGAAACCATTGAAAAATGATGGATTAAAACTTAAACATAGAATTAAACTTAAACATAGAATTGTGCATTCTAGACTACAACTAATATAGGATTCCAGGCAAGAGACAGAAATTAATATGCCGAAATATTTTGCTGCAATATGAGTCCATCATTTGTTACTAAGGTTTATTGTTAATTATCTAATTCCTCCTTCCCAGTGAAATGAGTAAATTAAATAATTAAGAAGATGAGTCTTGAGTGTGACTATAGTCTGGCATATTAGTTTAGAGGACTGGCTGGATGTTGAATTCTCTTGGAATTTATGTTTTCTTATATCTTATAGTGTTCTGGGTCAGGAATTTGGAAAAGGCCCAACTAAAAAATTAAGCATCTCCATGAAACATTGACTGGCTTCGTGAGCAGCTACTCTGGTCTTGATAAAGTAAAAAAGTCGGTTTCCCTCACATGCCTAAAGCCTTGATGAGTATGATGACTGGACCTCTCTGCCTTTCTCTGTAGTCCCAGGGCCTCTTCATATAGTCTCTGTGGCTGGGTAGTCGGAATTCTTATGTAATCCAAATCCACAGCATCCTGCTGCTGAGGTTTTGGGCTTACTTTACGTTTCCAAACCCCAGATCTCCTCATTTGGAAAGTAAGAATAATAATTGTACCCGCCACACCATAAGTGGTAATTTGGATATTGGCACAATGCCTGGCACATAAGTAATCATACCTATAAATGGTTTTTGGTGAGCTGGATTTTAAAGCACAGGGAGATTTTACCAGGTATGATGAAGAGAGAAAGGTATGCAGGGTGGAGTGAATGCTCCAAACAAAATCGCCGTAATGAAACTCACATGGAAAAGTACTGAGGTGCCATATTTGAAGGAAATAGATAGGCAGGGTTGCAGTATTTAAAAACTCATTTGTAGATAGGTGGGGATGACACATAATAGAGGATCTTGAGTTGGTAGAAAGAATATAACTGGATTGTAATAATTAAAGCAAATCTCAATTATAATTAAAATAATATTATATCACTGCATAATTTGAATTCTGCCTAGTAACGAAGATCTTTCTCTAAATATTGACTGAAAATTTGACTATTTTTAAACACCTTGGTTTTCCCAAATGTACAAACGTGTACCATGAAGCAACAATTGAATTTTATTTACCTGTCAGCATATAAATTCACACTTCATGGAATAATCTTTTAACATAATTACCAGGTGATTAACTTTAATATTAGTTTTCCAAAGTTTCCCTCACTGAAGAGTTGCCTTTTCTAGATGCAGAGATTGGCTATCCTGCTTTAAAAAAGAAACAGTTATCTAAATACTAGGTTTCATGAGTAATTGTGATGTTCTTTATAAACCAAAAGAAATTGCTAATACTGACTTTATAATTGGAATTTCATACTCCTGGAAGATGGTTGCAATTTAATCAAAGTTGTATTAGAGTTTTGGAAAAAATATACTATAACTTAGCACTAAATTAATAGTTCAAATTTTATACTGAAGTCTAATGTTACTAATTCCCTCCAGCCATTAAAAACAAAACTCATTTTGTAATATTGTTCTTTTCACTGGCTATAATATTATAGTAATTTCTTACCTCCTTGACAGCCTCAAATATTATAATTTACTTATCTTTAATTCATGTATTTATTCAAATTTTTGTAGAAAACCTACTACTTAAACATTACCTATACCATGTTCTATCTTAATATAATATTTGGTATGTAGTAAATATAGTCCATATTAACTGTTATTATTAATTTAAATATTATTAACATTATCATTATTTTCAGGCAAATAGCCAACATAAAGTAGTTTAATTAAAATAAAATTAATAAATTTAAAATTATTATAATTTTTTCTTTTTATTAAGAGATAATTATAGACTCATAAGAAGTTTCAAAAGAATGTACAGGGAAGTCCCCACGTATACTTCACTCAATTTCCAAACAGTACAACTTTAGCATTAGGATGTTGACGTTGGTACAATCCACAGATTTTACTCAGATTTCCTGAGTTATGGATGTAATGTAGTCCAAAATTAGACTGGATATCAGTTACATCTGTGTATCTTCCTACATTCAGTTGTTGAAAAATAAAACAAAAAGTAGCAGAAAAATCCCAAATATGACGTTTATTACTCACAGAAGTGAGGTTGGGAAATGCAACTCAGTGTGAGAGCCTAATGGCTTACTGATGAAACCCAAGAACTAGGTAGACTTAATCTCCCTGATCATAACAGCAGGCTTCGCCTCCTGGAGGGTTACATCCAGTCCCTGAGGGCAGAGGAGAATGCTTGCCTCCAGAGTCAGCTGCATACTATGTGGTGCCTGACACAAAGTGAAAATGTGGGGCCACTTCTTTAGTAAGTTGGAAAAATGTATTAAAACATTAAAAGTTTCTTTTCTTTGTTTCACCGTCTCTCTCTCTCTTTCCCAATTAGGACATTTTTATTTGCTACTTAGTGTCATTCTAACTAAATGAAAATTGAAAATTTAAATTATTAGCATGAATTTTACCGTTCAATGTTATATTGTGCAATGGCAGTTTTAAATGAAACTATAAGAGAATTTAACTCATTAGCAAATTATCACAATTAATCTGTATTTTGTAGCTTATATATAACCTATGTATTTCGCTTTTAACATAACTGTGTAAATGATGCACAAAACTAACTCAACTGTTTTTATTTCACTTCTTGATATATACCCATTCCACCAACACTTTGCCTTTGGCCTACTGATGAGTAAGGAATGGTTGAAATGAAAAGAAACCAAGGGTGTCTCTATTTCTCTCTCTTCCTTCTACGCCCTTATTTCAATGTAGTGGCTGGCTAACACAGAGAAGTAACATGAGTAATAAAGTATATGAAAGGCTCTCTTGGTTGTCCATGCTTCTTAGAACACCATTGTCTTACTTCTGCATTCAAAGCAAGTTCTGGTTTGAATGGAAAACTTGGACTCTCTAGGTTGTCAGCACTCCCACTTTTTCAGTCTGAGATGTAGCAGGCTTACCTTGAACTCTTTTTAAATCTCTTTAAACTCTCATGGAAGGTGGGTCCACAGAAATTCTGTGTTCATGGGGCATTATGAATATCCTATGCTAACGGAGCAGCAACAATGGTAGATGTATATATTGCATTTATCTACTCTACTCCTAAGTGTGCTTCATTTTCCTGCTGGACTTCATTTCCATAATACAGTTTAAAGATAAAATTATTAAGAATTTCAAGATGGCAACGGTAGAACGTTAAACCAAGGAGGGCTCGTCTCAGTGGTAAGTTCTATGTGGCCACACAGGTGATACATTTGTGAAGCCAATTCTGCTTGCTCCCTTGAGGTAGCTCACTTTCAAGACAAAGTTTACTCCGTGGGAAGAACTACTGTTAGCATGTCTAATTCATTTGTCCCAAATTTATCAATTGATTACTCATTCTCCTGGGGAAAAAAGTGTAAAAGATGGAGAGGCCACAATTTACACTAACTGAGTTCTCTCCAGGTAGAAAAAAATAATTATAAGAATAGACAAGAAGTATTTTTTCTCATTTCTCTCCTGACTTGAGAACCATCAGGGAGTAGACACTGGAGTCTGAATTTGTGAAGATCCTATGTGGTAAACTTGTTTGACTAGCTTTAATTCAACATCTCCAAATCATTATTATCACAAAAGCTTTTGAACAATAACACAAATATGCTTGGAAAGTCTTCTGTGAACCCATTTTTTGGAAATGGCATATTATATAGTCAGCACGTGCATATACACGGAAAAGGGATTACCTTTCTCACCTTTATTTTAATTAACATACCTATTTTTCATTTCTAAAAATGTTCTGTTTCAACATGTTTCTTTTCTGGATATTGGAATATTCTATGTTTTATCCAGATGCTGATTACAAGGATGTGTTCAGTTTGTGAAAACTAGCTGAACAGTTTACTCATAAGTTATGCTTAGACATTTGTTTTCTATATTAGTTTATATTTCAATAAAAAAGGTTCAAAAATGAAGAAAGAATAGAGAAAACATTTTTTTGTGTTCATACGTGTGTGGAGAAAACTTTAGGAAATGAGGATAGAGCTTGAGGAGATTAGGGAGGAGTTTGCAATCCATAAGCTGACCTTCACAGCCTCATGTCCTACTAATTGTGAGTGCTCACTAACACCAAGGTAGAAAGCATCATGTGCTGTGGGATGATTTTGTGTTTTCCTGTTAGTCATGAGTGACTCTTGCAGAATTGATAGCTAACTTCTGTTCAGAGGTTTTAAGTAATAAGAATGTTTCCACCGAAAATAGTACAAACACAAAATGTTTGACCCATTTTCTCCCCTTTCCTTTAGCTGTATTTTTAAAGATGTTTGATCCATTTGAGAGAGTATAATATAGGCTTCAGGCTTTGAGTTATAAGTTAGGAATCTCTGCAGCATTTCAGCCTACTAACCTCAAGCATAAAAAGTCAGAGAAGTAATCTAAAGAGTTATGAAACTGAAAAATGAGCAAAAAAAATATTTGGGGCAAAAATAAAATTACTACCATTATCACATACTGTATTCAATTGAGATAGTTTATAATTTTCAGCACATTCTACAAAGATTTTTTGACTATTGTCGAAAAAAAAGCCTTGCTAAAAAGTCAGGATATGGAGAATAATTACAAAAGGAAGGAGTTTGACATTCTACATAAATGTATTACAGGAAAGATGGCAATTTGAGGCTATTTTAAAACTGTTTAAAAAGTCAGTAGTATCATCAACTTTGATACTTCTAGTGCTTATTATACGTTACCCTGTATACTTGCAGCTCACCACTAGACTTCATGAGCCTTGAGAAAGTAAAATCACTTTTTACTTTTTAGACTCCTACTGGGCTTGCACATTCTGTATTTTTAAAAATTAAATTATTGCAATTATTTTGTCACATGAGTGACAAAGTGTTGAGAAAATGGAATATAAGTAATAATTTAGGAAGAAAATAAAAGAAAATTACAAAGAAGATTGATAAAAGAAGATGAAATAACTGCATGGATTCCCATGACTGAGGGCCAGGGCGTAGACCTAAATAATCACTGAGTAATTGTTAATGCTCAGGTTACGAATTTAGTGTTTAGTACGAGGTCACTAAAAGATGAACATAGAGCTGAAAATCTAACTGAATTAATTACTCAAAATAACTCACTCTACTTAGGCTATTTTGTCTAGGGTTAGACCTGATAGATGAGAACAGACCTGTGGTAATATTATCAAAGTTGAAAATTATTTGATAAGTAGTTGAAACTTATTTGTGTTTTGGAGAATTGAATTTGGATCCCTAAATAATTCAAGTAGGACAGAGCACGGCAGTAATGCAAAAATCAGATTACACTATATTTTGCATTAGTATTTTTATTGCTACAAAACACAATCAGCTCTGTGGTTCTATTACATGAACTCATTATGGCTAAGCTGCCGTATTAAAGCATATATAGTTGTAAATAAGCAATTTAAAATGTAATATACAGAAACTAAAGTGCTTTAATAGAATGACCTGTAAATCTACCCGCACTTAGGTGAAATACATTCGTTTTACAACATAACAAAAAAAAAGTGAATTAAATGTTTGAGGATACTTATTATGGCCTTTAAAAAAATAAGTTAAAATTTAACCTGATTATTATTTTTAATATTTATTTATATTAAGTACACACGAATTAACAAAAGCCTACAAAATCTTGTCTATAAATATAAACTGTATAGCAACTTTAGAGGATTAATACTTTGAAAATATCTGAATCTCAGTATTTATGTTACAAGTTAGTTCTATTTCATTAGAAATTATTTTGTAAAAGTAGGGCTCTTGCGTCTAGTTATAGTCATTTTCACATAATTCCTTTTTAATGCTCTCTATTTGAAAATGTACCAGAATTTTTAATTCAAATCACATATCTAATTAACACCTGTTTATAAGTGCAGCCAAAATAGAAACTAACCTTCATTCTTATATATACAAGGAGCCTGGCTCCTATTATACCTAAGTTTTGTTTTGGCATTATATAATCTAGTCAACATTTCAAAGGTTATTAGCGTACCTGATGCCAAAAGGTCATACATATTAGCAGTAATTGGCTTTTATAAATATTGCTCATTATGCAAATGCATTATTTACAAGCACCATTAGGCCAAAGTGGTTGTAAAAACTTGAGTATTAGGTTTTCTGCATTCATTATGAGGCAAAATATTTGGCACTAGATAAATTAGAAGTTCATCTTAGATATTAGAATGTAATTTAGAATATGAAAAACTTCAGATGTTTGCTGGCTTAGAAGCCTTAAAATGAGACTGGTTAGGAGACAGAAATGACAATCAGTTGGTTGTGAATATCTGTTCAGGATACTCATTCTTAATGATCTATCATCAGCATATTGGTTACAAACTTTAGGAACTGATGAGAACATCTGAGAAGATACTATAAAGAGGCTGGAGAAGGGCTTCAGGATCAACTGCATATCTCATAACATTTTTTACCTGCATATTTTTGAAAATATATTGTAGCAACTCTGGATTTTTTCCTGAGATTTTTCATTCTTATTTAGTTGTTGTTGTTGATTGATTTGTTTTAATAACTTGCTTGGGCTAAATTTGCGGGATCTGCCTCTCTCCATGGTGTGCAGCAACTAATGCATCTGCTTAATATTTTTGAATACTTTTAATCTCTTTTGGTTGGCTTCCTAAGAGGTTGTGGCAGTTTTTGCATAGCTTAGCAGTCATACAGTAAATGATTATATGTTGTCTTCAAACACCTCAAACAGGAAGGCTTCTACCCCTTACGAATGGAGCTTAGTGTGGGTTGGGAGCACATTTCAAAGCTCAGTCATTTTCCAATCTATCCTGGCTTTATTTTCTGCTAGGCCTTCTTGTGTTTCTTCTGCACACATATGTAGACTCCTGGTTAGCCAGGGATATTATGGAGATATTAGCAATGCTTTCTGTCAGAGAGTGATCTTGGTGAGAAGCACATGGAGAAAGTCAGAAAACTAAGAGGAAAATCCTTTATATGAGACAGCCATTTGCTTCTCACTAAGATCACTCTCTTACAGAAAACACTGCTAGATTTTTCTTCTTCTCCGTCAGTTTATGTGCTCCTTCTCCATCAGCAAAGCTGCTGGCTTTCATGGCCAGTGCTACCCCTGGAGAACCACTTCTGTTTGTCATTTAATAAAAAAACCAAGGCAGAATATTGTGTTTAATGTGTTCCCAATTTTGCATTTTATAGATGTCCAAGATGTGTACCAAGACCATTATGACATTGAGGTAGATGTGAAAAAGAATTCCTGACGAAATATAATTTTATGGAAAATCTAGAAACAAACAGAAAACTCATTATGCTAAGGCAATATACATGTACAAGGTAACAAGGTTTTGAATTATGGTGGTAGCAATGGGAATGAAAAGTGTCTATGTAATATAATTTAAGAATATTAAAAATAAGTGGTAAAGATAATTTTGGCATTTTTAGCATGGAAGAAGGGTGGAACTATAAATCAAAAGCGAATCCAATGAAAACTTTGTTTCCGAGAAAGACAATAAGTTGCCTTTTAGACACATTAAAGTGGCAAGATTAAGGACATTCAAATGGTCAAGTCTAATAGGCAATTGAAAAATGAGGGTACTCAGTTAAAAGTAACAACTGGAGATAAGATGTGGAAATCATTCTCATAGGCATAATAATTTAATTTATGAGAGGGAATGAGTTTTCTAAGATTATATAATTTTATCTTTAATATATATGTGTGTATATATATAATTGAGTTTTTAAATATATATTCTCTCTCCCCTTCCCCATATAAACAGATTATATCCTCTCTCTCCCTTCTGCCATATAAACAGATACATCTAAAACTTTATAATACTTGAAATACAATTTGGAGATTATTATAAACAGATATATCTGTTTGTGTGGGGGAGGGGAGGAGGGAAGAGAGAGCATATAGCATATAGCAATATCTATGTCTATCTGTCTGTCTATCTATCTATCTATCTATCTATCTATCTATCTATCTAATCTATCTATTTATGGAGAGAGAAAGAGATAGATGGTAAGGGCAATTATCTTATAATTACCTTACAAAAAAAATGTTAGAAAAATCTGAAGGAATTTCTCCCTGAAGGCAGGAGAGGAGGAAGAGGACTCATCAAGGAGGGCAGAGAAAGAGTAGTCAAGAAAGTAGAAAATGAATTGAAATGAAGTTCCCTAAGAATTAAACATAAATGGGGATTCCAAACAGAAAGCCTGATGGTGTCAAATGCTGCCGAGTTCCAGCAAGTGGGATGACTGAGAACGGCGATTTAGTCATTAGGTTGTCCTTGGAGATTTTGCCCACATAACTCCCAGGCAACCTAAATTTATGGTAGACAATAGCTTTCAACAGAAAATGGAAGTTATGTCTACTTAGATTCCTTAAAAGCCTTAATTTACTAGTCTTTTTATTGTTTCAAAATAGGAAGAGATAAAAAATTTTTCCACTTCATCTATTCAGTGTTCTTAGTAAAACAATACTAAAGCAATACAACAATCATATCAATAATTACTCCTCTAAAGTTGTATTTTTTTTTTTATTTTGGAGCAGATGATTTTTAAAAAGACTTTTTGAATATTGACCTCATTATAGGATTGAACCTAGTGCTTTCATGCATTATGAAATTTAATCTTATAACATGCCTCTAAACTTGAGATTGCGCAAGAGGAATAAGAACCAGAATGATGATAAACCATTTGCCAAAGTGATACAGCCAGTGAGTAAAGGAGCTGGAATTTGAACCCAACTGTTAGAGCTGGTAATCACTTTGCCAAAACATGCTCTTGAGGAGACAGGGATATGAACCTCTGTGTGTACACACAAACTCACAGCATGCATATAGAATTCCCTCCCTTCTTATGTCCGAAAACATGTTATATCCTTTCTACATCTTCACTGTATTATTTCTCCTCTACTGAGCAATCCTTCTCATCTGTAATTTAACTTATATAGTGCTGCCTCCATTATCTTTTGAAATAATAATAGTGATCATCTATTCAAAAAAATTACTCTCACCTCTTTCTGAGCTTGAATTTAACCCTTTCTTTAGTATGACACCACATTTCCTTTTTTATCATATTTATTAATAATTTGTCTTACTCCTTGTCCTGACATTTACTTCCACAAAATTCCATTTGCACTAGATTGCAAACCATTTAACAGAAAGAACCATGCTATTCAACTTGATGTCTCCACTCCCCCAGATTTTTTTAAAAAATTATTATAATATTAATCAGATTGCCTGATGTTTGTGAATGACATGTATGTTTCATTGACTCAGTACCTAACACCTTTTCCTTTTGGATACTCAGTAGATATTTATTGACTGTAAAAATGAATGTGTGTCTAAGTGAAGGGAAACTTCTTAATTATCTACTAGGGGTGCATTGATAATCAGACACATACTGTTGCTTACCTCTACTCACTCTTGATAAAGCAGCAGGTGTTTCTTGATAAAGCAGAAAATCAGCAGGTGCTTCTTTTCTGTGCCAAGAAAACTCTCGTTGAAATTCACAATGAATTAGAGCTTTGTAATAGTCAGGAAAAAAAAAAAGAGAAATGTCACCCATAAAACCCATAATACCAAGCACGTGGATCCAGATCTAGTTTGGCTTTCGGGTTTATGAAAATAGTTGGGGGTGGATAGGTGGATAAAGATAATAGAAAGCTCAAAATAACACAATGTCTTGGGTCAAATGAAAATATATTTCTTTGAAAATAGGGATGATTATCACTTAATTTTTAGAGGCCCACCTTGTCTCTAGAGTGTATAGTGTGAGTGTGTGTGTGTGTGTGTGTGTGTAGTGAAGGGAGGTGTAAAAGAAACCAGGACACTGCGTTTTTAAACTGTTACCATCACATACTTGTTGTGGTCCTTACAGAGAAATGCATGGTAGTCTGGCAAAAAAAAGGGGTCTATACAGGTCAGATTAAAGAAAAATTAGTCTTGAATTTATTTTTTCTTTATGATTGTTGTTGATATAAACAGCTTTTGATTACCCAAATTTTCATTTTATAATAAGTTGTATTCAAGATGTGTGCATGGTCCAAAATAGTAAACTAATTTTATTGCATCTTTACACAATTCCAACTAATTGTAAATAGAAATCACACGTAAAACTTTGTAATACTTCAAATACAATTTGGAGATTATTATGAATGCTGATTTTCTCTCCTTATAGCTAAATAATGGATTAAGTTGCCAATCACAAATTAGTTAGAAGATGATAAAATTATTGGTTATGTTCTCATATGAGGACCATAATCTCGAACCTATTAAATATTTTTGTTTGGCTGAGTACTAATGGAATTGTTCAGATCAGCATGTGCTTAATTTATGTGCCAGGAAAACTCTTATTGAAATCCACAAACAAATTAGAACTTTGTAATAGATGTGTGGGGCTGGGGAGGATGGGTGGTATCACCCATAATGCAAAGCATCAGGATTCATATCTAGTTTGATTTCAAGTTTGATAAGAATAGTTGGGAATGGATGAGTGGATAAAGACAATGAAAATGTTCAAAATACCAATTAAGTGTGTGCATTGGCACTCGTTATATTGAATAGATGTATAACTTTATTTCTTTTTTTTAAATTTTACTTTAAGTTCCAGGATACAAGTGCAGAACATGTAGGTTTGTTACATAGGTATATGTGTACCATGGTGGTTTGCTGCACCTATCAACGTGTCAACTAGGTTGTCAGCCTTGCATGCATTAGGTATTTGTCATAATGCTCTCCCTCTCCTTGCCCCCTACCCACCACCTGGCCCTGGAGTGTGTTGTTCCCCTCCCTGTGTCCATGTGTTCTCATTGTTCAGCTCCCACTTATGAGTGAGAACATGTAGTGTTTGGCTTTCTGTTCCTGTGTTAGTTTGCTGAGAATGATGGCTTCCAGCTTCATCCATGTCCCTGCAAAAGACATGATCTCATTCCTTGTTGTGACTGCATAGTATTCCATAGTGTATATATACCACGTTTTCTTTATCCAGTCTAGCATTCATAGGCATTTGGGTTGGTTCCATGTCTTTGCTATTGTAAACAGTGCTGCAATAAACATACGTGTGCATGTATCTTTATAGTAGAATGATTTATATTCCTTTGGGTGTATACCCAATAATGGGATTGCTGGGTCAAATGGTATTTCTGGTTCCAGATCCTTGAGGAATCATCACACTGCCTTCCACAATAAATGAACTAATTTACATTCTCACCAACAGTGTAAAAGCATTCTTTATTTCTCCACAGCCTCACCCACATCTATTGTTTCTTGATATTTTAATAAATGCCATTCTGACTGGTATGAGATGGTATCTTCTTGTGGTTTTCATTTGCATTTCTGTAATTATCAGTGATTTTGAGCTTCTTATCATATGTTTTTGGCCACATACATGTCTTCTTTTGAGAAGTGTCTGCTCATATTCTTTGCCCACTTTTTAATGAGGTTTTTTTTTATCGTAAATTTCTCTAAGTTCCTTGTAGATTCTGGATATTATACCTTTGTCAGATGGATAGATTACAAAAATTTTCTCCTATTCTGTAGGTTGCCTGTTCACTCTGGTGATAGTTTGTTTTGCTATGCAGAAGCTCTTTAGTGAGATCCCATTTGTCAATTTCGGTTTTTGTTGCAATTGCTTTTGGCATTTTTGTCATGAAGTCTTTGCCCATGTCTATGTCCTGAATGATACTGCCTAGGTTTTCTTCTAGGGTTTTTATGGTTTTGGGTTTTACACTTAAGTCTTTAATCCATCTTGAGTTAATTTCTGTATAAGGTGTAAGGAATGGGTCTAGTTTCAGTTATCTGCATATGGCTAGCCAGTTTTCCCAGCACCATGTATTAAATAGGGAATCCCTTCCCCATTTCTTGTTTTTGTCAGATTTGTCGAAGATCAGATGGTTGTAGATGTGTGGTCTTATGTCTGAGGTCTATATTCTGTTGCATTGGTCTATATGTTTGCTTTGCTACAAGTACGATGCTGTTTTGCTTACTGTAGCCTTGTAGTATAGTTTGAAGTCAGGTAGCACGATGCCTCCAGCTTTGTTCTTTTTGCTTAGGATTGTCTTGGCTATATGAGCTCTTTTTTGGTTCCATATGGTTCCATATGATTTTTAAAGTAGTTTTTTTTTCTATTTCTGTGAAGAATGTCAATGGTATTTTGATGGGAATAGCATTGGATCTATAAATTACTTTGGGCAGTATGGCCATTTTCATGATATTGATTCTTCCTATCCATGAGGATGGAATTTTGTTTGTTTGTTTGTTTGTGTCCTCTCTTATTTCCTTGAGCAGGGATGTGTAGTTCTTGAAGAGGTCCTTTACATCCCTTGTTAGCTGTATTCCTAGGTATTTTATTCTCTTTTTAGCAATTGTGAATGAAAGTTAATTCATGATTTGGCTCTCTGCTTGTCTATTGTTGGTTTATAGGAATGCTTGTGATTTTTGCAAATTGATTTTGTATCCTAAGACTTTGCTGAAGTTGCTTATCAGCTTGAGGAGTTTTGGGGCTGAGATGATGTGACTTTCTAAACATAGAATCATGTTGTGTGCAAACAGATACAATTCGACTTTCTCTATTCCTATTTGAATACACTTTATTTCTTTTTCTTGCCTGATTGCCCTGGCCAGAACTTCCAATACTATGTTGAATAGGAGTGGAGAGAGAGGGCATCCTTGTTTTGTGCTGGTTTTCAAAGGGAATGCTTCCAGCTTTTGCCCATTCAGTATGATATTGGCTCCGGGTTTGTCATAAGTAGCTCTTATTATTTTGAGATATGTTCCATTGATAGCTAGTTTATTGAGGGTTTTTAACATAAAGGGATGTTGAATTTTATCAAAAGCTTTTTCTGTATCGAGATAATCATGTGATTTTTGTTATGGTTCTGTTTATGTGATGGATTAAGTTTATTGAGTTGCATATGTTGAAGCAGGCTTGCATCCCAGGGATGAAGCCAACATGATCTTGGTGGGCAAGCTTTTTGAAGTGCTGCTGGATTCAGTTTGCCAGTTTTTATTGAGGATTTTCGCATCGATATTTATTAGGGATATTGGCACAAAGTTTTAATTTTTTTTGTGTGTGTCTCTGCCAGATTTTGGTATCAGGATAATGCTGGCCTCATAAAATGAGTTAGGGAGGAGTCCCTCTTTTTCAAGTGTTTGGAATAGTTTCAGAAGGAATGGTATAAGCCTCTCTTTGTACCTCTGGTAGAATTTGGCTGTGAATTCATCTAATCCTTGGCTTTTTATGGTTGGTAGGCTATTAATTACTGCCTTCATTTCAGAACTTGTTATTGATCTATTCAGGGATTCAACTTCTTCCTGGTTTAGTCTTGGAGGGTGTGTGTGTCCAGGAATTTATCCATTTCTTCTAGATTTTCTAGTTTATTCGCATATAGGTGTTTATAGTATTTTCTGATGATATTTCTTACTTCTTTGGGGTCAGTGGTGATATCCTGTTTATAATTTTTATTGTGTCACTTTGATTCTTCTCTCTTTTTTATTAGTCTGTCTAGTGATCTATCTATTTTGTTAATTTTTTCAAAAAGCCAGCTCCTGAATTTATTGATTTTTTTGAAGGGCTTTTCGTGTCTCCATATTCTTCAGTTCTGCTCTGATCTTAATTATTTCTTGTCTTCTTCTAGCTTTCGGAATTGTTTGCTCTTGCTTCTTTAGCTCTTTTAATTGTGATGTTAGGGTGTCAATTTGAGATCTTTCTAGCTTTCTGATGTGGGCCTTTAGTGCTATACACTTTCCTCTTAACACTGCTTTAACTGTGTCCCAGAGATTCTAGCACATTGTCTTTTTGTTCTCATTGGTTTCAAATAACTTCTTTATTTATGCCTTAATTTCATTATTTACCCAGGAGTCATTCAGGAGCAGGTTGGTCAATTTCCATGTAGTTGTGTGGTTTTGAGTGAGTTTCTTAATCCTGAGTTCTAATTTGATTGCACTGTGGTCTGAGAGACTGTTATGATTTCAGTTCTTTTGCATTTGCTGAGGAATGTTTTACTTGCAATTATGTGGTTGATTTTAGAATAATTGCCATGTGGCACTGAGAATAATGTCTATTCTGTTGATTGGCATGGAGAGTTCTGTAGATGTCTATTAGGTCCATTTGATCCAGAGCTGAGTTCCAGTCCTGAATATCCTTGTTAATTTTCTGACTTATTGACCTGTCTAATATTGACAGTGGGGTGTTACAGTCTCCCACTATTATTGTGTAGGAGTCTAAGTCTCTTTGTAGGTCTCTAAGAACTTGTTTTATGAATTTGGGTGCTCCTGTATTGGGTGCATATATATTTAGGTTAGTTAGCTCTTCTTGTTGAATTGATCCCGTTACTATTATGCAATACCCTTCTTTGTCTTTTTTGATCTTTGTTGGTTTAAAGTCTGCTTTGTCAGAGACCATGGTGCTGCAAAATATGTGGTTTCAAAATTTTTAATGGCTGATTAGTATTCCATTGTGCATATATACCACAGTTTTAATCCAAGCTGTTGATAGGTACTTTGGTTGATTCCACATATTTGCTATTGTGAATAGTGCTGCAATAAACACATGAGTACAGTTATCCTTTTGATATAATGATTTCTTTTCCTTTGGGGAAATACACAGTAGTGGGGTTGCCAATCAAACAATAGTGCAATTTTTAATTCTTTGGGATATCTCCCTACTGTTTCCCGTAGAGGCTGTACTAATTTACATTCCCAACAAAAGGGTACGACTTTTCTTTTCTCTGCATCATCACCAACATGTGTTATTATTAGTCATTTTAATAATAACATTCTGATTGGTGTACATTTAATATGCCATTGTGTTTTTAATTTGCATTGCTCTGATGATTAGCAGCAATGTGCATTTTTTCTTAGGCTTGTTGACCATTTGTATGTATTCTTTTGAAGAATATCTATTCATCTTCTTTGCCCACTTTTTTTAAAATTTTATTTTATTATTATTATACTTTAAGTTTTAGGGTACATGTGCACAATATGCAGGTTAGTTACATATGTATACATGTGCCATGCTGGTGTGCTGCACCCATTAACTCGTCATTTAGCATTAGGTATATCTCCTAAAGCTATCCCTTCCCCCTCCCCCCACCCCACAACAGTCCCCAGAGTGTGATGTTCCCCTTCCTGTGTCCATGTGTTCTCATTGTTCAATTCCCACCTATGAGTGAGAATATGCGGTGTTTGGTTTTTTGTTCTTGCGATAGTTTACTGAGAATGATGATTTCCAGTTTCATCCATGTCCCTACAAAGGACGTGAACTCATCATTTTTTATGGCTGCATAGTATTCCATGGTGTATATGTGCCACATTTTCTTAATCCAGTCTATCATTGTTGGACATTTGGGTTGGTTCCAAGTCTTTGCTATTGTGAATAGTGCCGCAATAAACATACCTGTGCATGTGTCTTTATAGCAGCATGATTTATAGTCCTTTGGGTATATACCCAGTAATGGGATGGCTGGGTCAAATGGTATTTCTAGTTCTAGATCCCTGAGGAATTGCCACACTGACTTCCACAATGGTTGAACTAGTTTACAGTCCCACCAACAGTGTAAAAGTGTTCCTATTTCTCCACATCCTCTCCAGCACCTGTTGTTTCCTGACTTTTTAATGATTGCCATTCTAACTGGTGTGAGCTTTGCCCACTTTTTAATGGGATTATTTGTTTGTTGTTGAGTTGTTTCAGTTCCTTGTCTATGCTGGATATTAATCTCTTGTTGGATGTGTAGTTTGCAAATATTTTTCTTATTCTTCATGTTGTCTGTTTACTCTGTTAGTTATTTCTTTTGCTATGCAGAAGCTTTTTAGTTTAATAAATCCCATTTGTCTATTTTTGGTTTTGTTGCCTCTGCTTTTGCTTCATGAATTCTTTGCTGATGTTAATGTCAAGAAGAGCTTTCCCTAGGTTTTATTCTAGGATATTTATAGTTTCAAGTCTTACATTTAAGACTTTAATCCATCTTGAGTTGATTTTTGCATATGGCGAAAAAGATAGGATTGAAGTTTCATTCTTCTGCATGTGGCTATCCAATGTTCTCAGCACCATTTATTGAAAAGGCTGTCCTTTCTGCAATGTATGTTCTTGTCAACTTTGTCAAAGAGCAGTTGACTGTGTGTGGCTTTATTACTGGAATATATTTAACCAAGAAGGTGAAAGATTTCTATGAAAGACACTACAAAACGCTGATAAAAGAAATTGTAGATGACACAAATAAAAAAAGTCCCATACTTATGGATTGAAAGGATTAGTATTGTTAACATAACCATACTGCCCAAAGGAATATACAGATTAAAAACAATTCCTATCAAAATAATAATGTCATTTTTCACAGTATTAAAAAAAATCTAAAATCCATATGGAAATGAAAAATGCTCAAATAGCCTAAGTAATCCCAAGGAAAAATAAAAAAACATAGAGCCATCATATTACCTGACCTGAAATTATACTGCAAGGCTATAGTAACAGAAACAGGATGGTAGTGGTAGAAAAATAGATCAACATGTTTTCTTTAAGATATTAGAATAAAGTGTTGTGTTGATGATAAGGCCAATAATTTATATTTACATAATAAATCACATCATCTTATTTGACTCAACTTGTGAGTCAACAACCTGTGTTTAGATTAATAAATTTATCGACTCGTAGATGCTGTAATATACTTATTTTCATACCTCTTGTAAAAAGTGGAATCAGACCTCAAATTTAGGAAGAGTACCATTACTTAGATCCATGCTTTCTCTTCTGTATCAGAGCTGCTCCCAGAAGTTTATCATCTGCCCTCTCACTTAAGCCATTCACTCACCCTGATAGGAGGTAGGATTGGTATTATTGCCTCCATCTCATATATGTGACAGCTGATGGAAAAAGAGAGTCAATGATAGAGGTTAGTGGCAGGGCCATAATTGGAATTCATTTATATGAACTCAAGATACCTTTCAAAATCATAACAATCTCGTGCCAAATAAAATAACAATTCTTTGCTTGAGTTACTGCAATTTTTTATGAAGGCCACATGCAGGTTTTCAGGTAGATAATCTACCATTTCCTGAGCATGTATTTAAGGGTAAGAGTGATGCTAAGACTCAAGTTACTATTAACCTTTGATAAACAGAGAATAATATAATTAATATAATGTGTATTTCTTACCATGTGCGTTCATGTGTTTAAAATACAAACTCAGTGACTTCCAATGAGAACGATTTTCTTATTTACATTATATGTTCATTTGTGTGAGCCAATACTTATTCAAGGAGCCAGTATAAACAATCAGCCTCTGTTTGGAAAATGCAATTCTCATTTCAAAGGGAAAAGAGGAAGTCAGCTTGTAAAAAATGACTTTTGAAACTTCTGCTCAAACTTAGTAAATGTCATATCTGCTCATTCCATTGGCCAAAGCAAGTCACATGGTCAAGCTCAGTGTCAGTGAGGTGGGCATTTATACTTTTTCTACAGTAGGCAATACAACTGTTGGGAATCATTGGGAATGTAATCCTCTTATAGGAAGGGAGTAAATAATTATGAACAATAACAGCTACACATGGTGTTTAACTCAAAGTAATAAATGATGGAATTGAACTTTTAATCCAGGTCTGTAGACTTTACAATCATATTGCCTTTTAAAGGTAGCTTATTTTATAGAATAAAATAAGATTGTAAAATATATGCATTATTCTTGACCCATTCTTCTTATGATGAAATGGACAGAGATGGGATTGCAATTCATTATGATAGAGGACATGCTCATGCTTAATTATAAATACTAATTTGTTTTTTAAAAAATGAATTATTTGCTTTATTTTTTTCATTTTGACAGAAATTGCATGTGCACATTTTATATGACATTAAATAAGATGTTTAGAAAACAGTAAGTGGTTAATATGACAGCCCTTTTCACAGTTTGCTAATTTAATCAAGCTTTTGTTTTCATCAAAAAAGCCAACTATGCCTGAGAACATTACCAAATAATTAAATCAAAGTTCTCTGTTTTCTGGGTTGTGAGTCTCAAAATGCTGTAGGCTAGGTCTTTAAATAGAAATGCAAAAATATGAAGCTTGAAAGGATTAACCACCCATTTCAAGAAGCCAATATCTTGCTGAATCACTGAGTGACCAAGTGTAGAGGAGTCATGAGGTTGGAAATTGAATATAATAAAAGTCAATACAATAGCCTTCTCTTTCTTGTGTCAAGAAAACATTTTGACATTGTGAAGGAAAAGTTTGTCTTCATCTTTCAGGTTCTTCTTGTCCTCCTCTCTGCTCCCATCTGGTATAATTAGGAATAATTAGTAATCTTCCTCCACTGTGTCCCTCCTCTGTCAGTCCTGGTACACCACAAGTATGTGCATTTTGAGAATAATTCAGATATTGCTAGGCAAGTTCAGGTAGTTAGATGCAAAGACAGAAGAAAGGGAACATTTAGCATGGTGAGTTCTCCACTCTGTCCTAGGCTCAGAGACATTGATTTATTTATTCCTTTTTGTGGACAAAGAGGTAATATAGCTTAGTGGTTAAGAAAATGCATCCCAGTTCTGATCATTTCTACCTGTGTGATCTTGGCCAAGTTTCTCTCTGTGTCCCAGATTCTACATTTATAAGATGGAGGTAATAGTAGGTTTGAATTAATGATTAAATGAGTTTATGTATCTATATTTATATTCACATTTATATGCATATATAACTTAGATATTTTCTACATAGAATTGGTACTATTTTTTAAGTTATTCAATAATAGCTAGCTATAACTGAGAGGAAATATGTATTAGAAAACAACATATCAACCCATATTAGTTATCTAATGCTGCATTAAAAATTACTCTACAATTTAATGACTTAAATCATAATAATCATTTATATTTATCATGATTCCTGTGGAACTTGAGCATGGGTCAGCAGAGAGATTCTAACCTGGGTGTGTCTTGTGAGATTGTTGTTTAATGTCAACTGCTGCTATAGTCATCTGAAGGCTGGAAGGGAGCTGCTGATTCACTTCCAATGTAACTCATATGCATGGCTGGGAATATGGTACTTGCTAGTTGAGTGGAGACCTCAATTTCTCTCCATGCAGGTCCTTCAGTGATGCTGCTTGAGTGTTTTCACAGTATGGTAGCTGGCTTACCCCTAGAAGGAGTGATGCAAAAGACCAAGGTGTACTTTATCATACTTTTTATGACCTAGCTTGGAAGATTTTCTTTCCCACTGAGGACAATTGAATACCTTCAACTGAACAGTTGCCTTTTGAATTTATAGTTTAATGCTTACAGGACAATTTTATCAAAACTGAGAGGGAACAACCCAGTGTTCCCTCCATATGCTGTGGATACACCCTAAGCTTTTGTTCTGCTCTTTCCCATTTTTCTTGTCTTCACCGTAATTTGTACCTCATGCCCCACTTGGGTCTCTCAGAAGGGATTTATTCCCAAATTTAATTTCTACTTCCTATGGTAGGAGACTGTAGTCTACTACTCTTCAATCCACTCACTCACTAACTCACTCACTCATTCACTCACTCACTCACTCACTCACTCACTCACTCACTCCTCCTTGGTGAAAAATGACTTAATCTCTCTCCTTTTCCTTGGAGTAAGCTACCTGTGGGAAGCAAGTTTTATTCTTTTCTCCATGTTTAAAAGAATGTCAGGAATAAAGTCCCTAAAAAGAGAGACTGGCCCTAGCCTGGTCTAGTACAAACGGGTTTAGAGAGTAAGTTACTCTAATTTTATTTTTTGGGAGGACAGGGGGTGGGGGGACCAAATTATCTTAAAGTAGAGTCACATTCTTTATCAGTAATTGAGATGATATTAGGTCCTCTTCTGCCTTACTTCTCCTGTGATTTCTGGATTGGTTCAAAGCCCGGGCAGATTGGTATTAATTAGTGGCTCACTAAAATTCCCTACAGTGCTCTATTGTTTCTTATTTCCACATGATCTTTCTCTGTGGTATTGAAGTGATGAGGTACAGGGGGTTACAAAGCCAAGATAACGATTACATTCCAACAATGGGTTTCCTCATCAAAATGCCTTTATCTGTGATAGACATCATGTTTTGCTTTGGCCTCATTAAATTTTTTGCATGCAATTTGCCTTACTAAAACCCTCTAATTCCTGTTATAGAACATTATTTATTAATATATTTATTATTTATACTTTCTTTATATCTGAAGATGATTCAGTGTTGCTGTTTAAACATTATGCCAGACAATAAATGCAAATGACATATGAATACTCATTCTTTTTCTCTTGCATTACCACATAATCCTATATGTAACTTCAAAGTCTTCAACTGGGCTTCATAGCATTGTGAAATATTACAAAAAGAGTGGCAGTCAGAAACTTTAATTTGAGCTCTAGTTTGTGAATTTAGAGAACTCATTTATTAATTCATAACTCAATTTATGTATAATCACATCATCAAAATGCAGTAGTTTTGAGGGTTAAACAAAATAGTGTAGGTAAAATAAATTCAAAATTACTATGAAATTGCATTTATAACTAAGCTATTAATATTTAAAAGGATTTCTCTAATAGTTGTAATTTTAAGATATTAATCCAAGTATTTGGTGGTTTATGGAGTTACATATTCCATTCTAGATGTTAATAGTAATTATTGAGACAATATTTTAAGCATATGTACATCATGAGAGAAATACTATTTAAAACCTTCTTTACAAATATGCTCTTATCAGATTCTTGAGATAATAACATAGTTGTTCCTGACTAAAAATAATTTTCAGAAAGTATAAGCACATTCTCTGATCTATCCTTGTGCCTTGCTAATGTAAATAAAATGGTTACGTGTGTAAGAAACTGTTTAACTTTTTAATATTAAATAAATATTTATATTATTGTATATTGTGTATTAAAATATTTGTAGATACAACAAAAGAAAATAAATTATTAAGAATGTATGTTCACTACTGATGGCTAGAGTTTATATTTTATGTTATTCTATTAGAAGTTAATTGTGGATTCATGATTATTTATATCCAGTTCTCTTTGATTAGTGTTAAGATTTTTTACTCATCTTACTTCAATTCTTTCTCTGAATGGGTTTGCTTGTCTACATTTTCTGTTTCCTTTTTTTTGTTTGTTTCATTGCACTTTATTGTACTTTGCAGATACTGTGTTTTTTACAAGTTGAAGGT